>NC_000010.11:101506731-101809761 GCF_000001405.40 Homo sapiens | reverse complement strand
TTTCTATAAGAATTTTTTTTACTTTGAATGCTTTTTTTTTCTTTTTTTTTTTTTTTGAGACAGAGTCTTGCCCTGTTGCCTGGAGTGCAGTGGCCCAATCTCGGCTCACTGCAACCTCCACCTCCCAAGTTCAAGCGATTCTCATGCCTCAGCCTCCTGAGTAGCTGTTACAGGCACACCACCATGCCTGGCTAATTTTTATATTTTTAGTAGAGACAGGGTTTTGCCACGTTGGCCAGGCTGGTCTCGAACTCCTGACTTTAGGTGATTCACCCACTTCAGCCTCCCAGAGTGCCGGGATTACAGTCGTGCGCCAGTGCACCCAGCCTTGAATCCTTCTGATAGAGGAATATTTTCCAAATTAAGTAAAAAGAGCTTTACTGGAGGTACTAGTTCTTCTCAAATTTCAGTTTGCATAAGAACTGCCTTAAAAGAATGATTAGAAGTGAAGCTTGGAAGAATGCTGACTGCTGGACTTTATTTCCCAAATGGATAAGGTGGGGACCGGGAATCTAGGTGATTGGTGGTCAAGAACCACATTTTGAGAAATTATATATACCCTAGGCTGCTTGGCTTGAATTTACACCTGAGATTACAGAAACAGGGTTTTACCTATTAGACATTAGTTTCTTCAATTATATGGACGAAGAGATGTCTGGAAATGGCTAGTTTCCCAAGATGAGAAGAAAAACAGACTAGGTGAACCTAATTGAGTGTAAAGTCTGCTTAATGTAAAAGCTGCAGACTTCCTTTGGTCCAATGTAGGGGGCTTCCATTTTCCTTTTTTTTTTTGAAACTGAGTCTTGCTCTGTCGCCCAGGCTGGAGTGCAGTGGCGCGATCTCAGCTCATTGCAACCTCTACCTCCTGGGTTCAAGCAATTCTCTGGCCTCAGCCTCCTGAGTAACGGGGATTACAGGCATGTGCTACCACACCTGGCTAATTTTTTTGTATTTTTAGTAGAGATGGGGTTTCACCATGTTTGCCAGGCTGGTCTCGAACTCCTAACCTCATGGTTTGCCCGCCTCGGCCTCCCAAAGTGCTGGGATTACAAGTGTGAGCCACTGCGCCCGGCCCCATTTTTCTGTTATTTTAGTTTGCTGGTTTTTCTATATACATGTCTTATTTCTTTAGGCAAAGATTTATATGGGTGGCATTAAAATGTCTGGTAAAAAATTTAAGGCAGTTGAAATTTTCATGAATGAAGTTATTTTACTATTTGATAAAATTCTATTCTTTCTGATTCATACCTGGTTAGGTTTATCTGCAAAGGGATCAGTGTGCCTTTTGGGACTAGGACACAGCCTGGCTTTTTCATGTCTTAAGGTTACTTACTCATGTTTCTGTATTTTTCTGACTTTGTTGGGTCTTCTACAATCAGCAGCAGCCCATGAGGACTAGGAGGCTAGGCCACTTTGTTGGATCATATTGTCATATAAGTTGAGTATCCCTAATTCAGAAATCTGAAATGTTCCAAAATATGAAACTCTTTGAGCTCCATAAAATTCAAAGGAAATGCTCATTGGAGCATTTCAGATTTTGGATTTTCAGGTTAGGGATGCTGAATATAATACAGATATTCCAAAATCCAGGAAAAAACAAAAATGAAAATCCAAAACATTTTTGGTCCCAAGCATTTCAGATAAGGAATACTCAGCCTGTAGTGCATTCAAACCCAAATGAGAAATGGGTCCCAAAACTGTTTAACTTACGATTTTTTAATTGAAAATGTAAAAACAATAAATCTGTCTTTGAACATTCTAGTAAGGAAAATACTGGATTTTAAGTATAACTGTTAACGCTGTAATGTTTGGAATTCTTAATTTTTTTACTCTTGATTCTTTTTTTTTTTTTTCTCCTAGGTTTCTCAGTTTGGGTGCAGATCATTTGCTTTGCTTTTTGATGATATAGACCATAATATGTGTGCAGCAGACAAAGAGGTATTCAGTTCTTTTGCTCATGCCCAAGTCTCCATCACAAATGAAATCTATCAGTACCTAGGAGAGCCAGAAACTTTCCTCTTCTGTCCCACAGGTATTGTATATAATGGCTTTACATTTAACTAGTCTTCTTGGAATATATAACTTATAAAGGACCATGGGCCCCATTCTCTCTCCACTTCCCTCCTCCTTTGGTGTGTAAAAGTAGGAATCTTTTTTTAGAAGACATTTTTCAAGATCCTAAATTGGAGAAATTTTAGGAACTAATAAATGACAACTGACTAGGCAAAAGATTTTTATGTATTTTTAAGTACTGGAAGTATATGAACATTACATTGTCAATATTAAAAGAGGGATAGTATTGAAATGAAAACTGGAGAAAAACCAAATTACATTGCTTTTACCTTAGTCACTTCTCATTTCCTCCTACTTGTCCCCTTTTTCTGCCCATGCATATCTGTCCCTTTTTGCACTCCTCCCACTCCCATCTGGGCTCTTATTTCAAGTAGTCAGCATAGAAAGCTTAACAGTTTTTCCCGTTTTCCTTTCTTTTTGCCCCTCTGGTTTCTTTCATTGAAAATATTTTAGTCTCTTAGTTGCTTCTCAAAATTCAACTTACAGGAAGTTTTCCCCACACTTCCTTGTTCAGGAAGAATTTTAGATTAAATTATTTAACTTTCTTTGTGTGTATTGTGAGCCGAGAACCTTATTTTAGTTGAGTACTACATTAGTACCCAGAAGTTTTAAGATTATACTGGGAATTAATTAGCTGCAAGTTACAGTTTAAGTTGCAGTTGAGTACTAATAGCCATTGGTATATGCCTTTAAAAAAATTTTTTTTAAATTTTACTTTTAAGTTTGTATTATTTATTTAGAGACCGGGCTATAAAACTGGCTAATTTTTATATTTTTGGTAGAGACGGGGTTTCGCCATATTGCCCAGGCTAGTGTCGAACTCTTGGGCTCAAGTGATCCACCCGCTTCAGCCTCCCAAAATGCTGGGATTGCAGGTGTGAGCCACTGTGCCCAGCTGCCATTGGCATATTCTTGTATTAGTTCTATTATGATATTATCAATTCATTCTGTTTGGCGTTTAATTGTAACTGAGAAAAGTAGGCAATTCAGAATTCTGTAGAAAATGCTGCAGTTCTTGTTTTTTTAGTAAACTTGTATTTCTAGTAACTGTAGTATCGTAAGAATTGATCTGTACTACTGTTGGAGGAAAAATACCAGATTTTATGAATTTCTTAAATGAACTGCCCACTTTAGTTCCTTGTAGGAGGCCTTTTATCATTTAGATGAAAATAATTTAGAATTGGCAGACATTTTTTCCACATTCAAAAACCCATGGGCCTTTTGGGAGGCCAAGGCGGGCGGATTGCCTGAGCTCAGGAGTTTGCGACCAACCTGGGCAGCATGGTGAAACCCCATCTCTACTAAAATACAAAAAAAAATTAGCCGGGCGTGGCGGCGTGCGCCTGTAGTCCCAGCTGCTTGGGAGGCTGAGGCAGGAGAATTGCTTGAGCCCAGGAGGCAGAGGTTGCAGTGAGCCGAGATCGTGCCACTGCACTCTAGCCTGGGCATCAAGAGTGAGACTCCGTCTCAAAGAAAACAAACAAACAAAGAGAAAACCCATGAGCATTTTAATTCTGACTTTTTTACTTTTCTCCCTACATTTAGAATACTGTGGCACTTTCTGTTATCCAAATGTGTCTCAGTCTCCATATTTAAGGACTGTGGGTGAAAAGCTTCTACCTGGAATTGAAGTGCTTTGGACAGGTAAGTCTTTTAAGATTTATACAGTCAAAGTTGAATTAAGTAGGACTTGCAGAAATTGCTTGTTCTTGTTAATTGAATACTTTTTTTTTTGAGACGGAGTCTCACTCTGTCGCCCAGGATGGAGTCCAGTGGCATGATCTCGGCTCACTGCACGCTCCGCCTCCCAGGTTCACACCATTCTCCTGCCTCAGCCTCCCGAGTAGCTGGGACTACAGGCACCCGCCACCACGCCTGGCTAATTTTTTGTATTTTTAGTAGAGACAGGGTTTCACCATGTTAGCCAGGATGGTCTCGATCTCCTGACCTCGTGATCCACCCGCCTTGGCCTCCCAAAGTGCTGGGATTACAGGCGTGAGCCACCACGCCTGGCCTTTTTTTTTTTTTTTTTTGAGACAGAGCATTGCTCTTGTTGCCCAGGCTGGAGTGCAGTGGCACAATCTCAGCTCCCTGCAAACTCTGCCTCCCGGGTTCAAGCAATTCTCCTGACTCAGCCTCCCAAGTAGCTGGGATTACAGGCACACGCCACCACACCCAGCTAATTTTTGTATTTCTAGTAGAGACGGGGTTTCTCCATGTTAGCCAGGCTGGTCTCAAACTCCCGACCTCAGGTGATCTGCCCACTTCGGCCTCCCAAAGTGCTGGGATTACACATGTGACCCACTGCACCTGGCCCAGAGAACTTGTTAAAATACGCTTTCTTTTACAAAGTTTACATATTCTCTTAATATGAAAAAACATCTATCATGGTTGGGGAGCCTGAGTGGGGAGCCTGAGGTGGAAGCCCCCAGGAGTTCAAGACCAGCTTAGACAACATAGAGAGACTGTAGAAAAAATAAAAAACTTAGCCAGGTGGGCTGGTGCACACCTGTAGTCCCAGCTACTTAGGGGGCTGAGGTGGAAGGATCACTTGAGCCCGGGAGGTAGAGGCTGCAGTGAGCTGTGATCATGCCACTGCACTCCAGCCTGAGCAACAGAATGAGACCCTGTCTCAAAAAAAATTCAGTTAATAAATAATAAAGATTTATAGGGAATTGGGCTAAAAGGTATTGATCCCATCCTTAAGCAGCGTTAGGAAACTCTTCTATTTTATAAAACGAAAAAAATAAAGCTCAGTAAAAGACATGTTGTGTTTTCAAAAGAAAAATTGTGGCTGGGTGCATTGGTTCGTGCCTGTAATCCCAGTGCTGTGGGAGGCTTGAGTTGAGGTAGGAGGATCGCTTGAGGCCAGGAGTTTAAGATTAGCCTGGGCAACATAGCAAGCCCTTATCTGTACAAAAAAATTTTAAATTACTGTGACATGGTGGGGCACACCTGTAGTCCCAGCTACTTGGGAGGCTGAGGTGAGAGGATTGCTTGAGCTCAGGAGCTCAAGGCTGCAGTGAGCCATGATTACTCCATTGCACTTCAGCCTGGGTAACAGAGGAGACCCTGTCTCAGAAAAAGAAACGTTGTTATAAAATGTACATGTAAGGGGCCAGGCGCAGTGGCTCACGCCTGTAATCCCAGCACTTTGGGAGGCCGAGGCAGGCGGATCACAGGGTGAGGAGATCGAGACCATCCTGGCTAACACAGTGAAACCCCATCTCTACTAAAAAATACAAAAAATTAGCCAGGCGTGGTGGAGGGCGCCTGTAGTCCCAGCTACTCAGGAGGCTGAAGCAGGAGAATGGTGTGAATCCAGGAGGCGGAGCTTACAGTGAGCCGAGATCACACCACTGTACTCCAGCCTGGGCGACACAGCGAGACTCTGTCTCAAAAAAAAAAAAAAAAAAGTACACGTAAGGAAAACAATAAAAAGTTATATATGCAGTATATTTTAAAGAACCATGATTCTTTTTTTTAAATATATTTTTTAATTTAAAATAAAAAGATAGGGTCTCGCTGTGTTGCCCAGGCTGGTCCGAACTCCTGGGCTCAAATGATCTGCCCACCTCTGCCTCCCAGAGTGCTGGGATTACAGTTATGAGCCAATGCGTCTAGCCAAGAACCATGATTCTTTTAACGAACGGTTGTCGTTATTTCTAGGTCCCAAAGTTGTTTCTAAAGAAATTCCAGTAGAGTCCATCGAAGAGGTTTCTAAGATTATTAAGAGAGCTCCAGTAATCTGGGATAACATTCATGCTAATGATTATGATCAGAAGAGACTGTTTCTGGGCCCGTACAAAGGAAGATCCACAGAACTCATCCCACGGTTAAAAGGAGTCCTCACTAATCCAAATTGTGAATTTGAAGCCAACTACGTTGCTATCCACACCCTTGCCACCTGGTACAAATCAAACATGAATGGAGTGAGAAAAGATGTAGTGATGAGTAAGTAGCCTGTACTTGATCTTTCACCTTGGGAGGAGAGCTGGGGTTAACTAGAGCCAGTGGAAAGTATGCATTCCTTTGTCATCACAACTTAAACAGTTTTATTTATTTTTTTAAAAACGTATTTTGTTTTACTAAGGAGGAAACAAAACCAAGTGGTTTTATTATGGTATGTTGTTTCATTCTGTTGATGAAGATGTATATGATAGAAGAAAGGTTGAGTGTCTTTGGACAAGTCACTTAACCTCTTTGCCTTAGTTTTTTTTTTTTTGTTTTTTTTTTTTTTAGTATGATTCAGAAGCAGCGTGGTGGCTCGCTTATAATCCCAGGAAATGCACTCCAGCCTGGACAACAGATGAAAATCCTATGAAATAAATAAAAATAAAATATGGTTCAGTCTTTGAAGTCTGAGTACTAGAGGAGACAGTCTTTTAAGTGTTTCCATTATCTCTAGAATCATTCGGATAAAATGTATTTTCAGGCAATTTTATTGAAAAGGATATTTTAGATAACTAGATACTCTTGAGTCACTTAGATCATTTAGATTCAGCTTACATTTATCTTTTATGGAACATACTCTTTTTTTTTTTTTTTGAGATGGAGTTTTGCTCCATCGCCCAGGCTGGAGTGCAGTGGCGCAATCTCAGCTCGCTGCAACCTCTGCTTCCCAGGTTCAAGCGATTCTCCAGCCTCAGCCTCCCGAGTAGCTGGGATTGCAGGCACACCCGGCTTTTTTTTTTTTTTTTTTTTTTTTTTAAAGTAGAGACAGGGTTTCACCATCTTGGCCAGACTGGTCTCGAACTCCTGACCTTAGGTGATCCACCTGCCTCGGCCTCCCAGAGTGCTGGGATTACAGGCATGAGCCACCCTGCCTGGCCGAATGGAATACAGTCTTATTTTAGACATTGGCTTACTAATTTTTAATTTATGAAAAATCTCTAATTAATAGAGTTCTAAGTAAGGTGCTTGATAATTATTTACATTTAAATAATCTGTCATGGGGCAGATGCATGTTCATGGGCACTGAGGGGGCAAAGAATAAAGTAGTTTTTTTTTTTTCTTTTTGAGATGGAGTCTTGCTCTTGTTGCCCAGGCTGGAGTGCAGTGGCGCAATCTCAGCTCCCTGCAACCTCCGCCTCCCAGGTTCAAGTGATTCTCCTGTCTCAGCCTCCCGAGTAGCTGGGATTACAGGCATGCGCCACCATGCCTGGCTAATTTTGTATTTTTAGTAGAGACGGGGTTTCTCCATGTCAGGCTGGTCTTGAACTCCTGACCTCAGGTGATCCGCCCTCCTGGGCTTCCCAAAGTGCTGGGATTACAGGCGTGAGCCATCGCGCCCAGCCATTCCTACTTTTGAGAAACAGTCTAGTGTTGGGTAAGGCTTATAGGCAATTGTACTATAGTGTGATAAGTGTTGTAATAGTTTAATTTATAAAGTGCTGTGTGAACACGGGAGAGAGTGATTATTTTTGCTAAGAGATTTCACAGACTTTTAAGCTGGATCAAAGTATGAGGAGAGTTTGCTGGGCGTTAAAGGTTTGTGGGCTGGAGGTTAAAAACACTGAACACTGAAAATTTTTTTTTTTCTTTGAGACAGAGCCTCGCTCTGTTGCCCAGGCTGGAGTGCAGTGGCGCGATCTTGGCTCATTGCAACCTCTGCCTCCCTGGTTCAAGCGAGTCTCTGGCCTCAGCCTCCTGAGTAGCTGGGATTACTGGCGCACACCACCCCATCTGGCTGATTTTTATAGTTTTAGTAGAGACAGGGTTTCACCATGTTGGTCAGGCTGGTCTCGAACTCCTGACCTGGTGATCTGCCTGCCTCTGCCTCCCAGAGTTCTGGGATTACAGGCGTGAGCCACTGTGCCCAGCCTGAACACTGAACTTTTGAAGTTCCCTGAATTTTGGCCCATTTTGGCTACTGAAGTGTCATGATAGTATGTAGTAATATTAATAGTTGTCATCTGTTTCTCAATTCCATACCTCTGCTTTGAATTGTTTATTGAATTAATGTCTCCCTTTTGTTTGGCTCAGTCATTGTCATCCTCCTCCCCTCAATAAAAAACAAATTGGGAATATAATTTAAATGCTGTCAGCGTACATGGCACTTAACTCCTACATCTTTTAAGGCACAGCAAGGAACATACTAAGGGTGGCAGACACTATCCAAACCTGGGACATACGTAGGAAATATTAAGGAAAGCTAAGAATAGAGAGTTTTTAAGTACAAAATCAAAAAATTCAGACTTAATTTTCTCTACCACTATCCTGGCTCAGAGCTTTGTTGCCTTATGTGTGCTAATTTGTGGGTCTCTGTCGATTATCTCTTTTTTTTTTTTTTTTCTGAGACGGAGTCTTGCTCTTGTTGCTCAGGCTGGAGTGCAATGGCCCGATCTCAGCTCACTGCAACCTTTGACACCTGGGTTCAAGCAGTTCTCCTGCCTCAGCCTCCCGAGTAGCTGGGATTACAGGTGCCTGCCACCACGTCTGGCTAATTTTTTGTATTTTTAGTAGAGATGGGGTTTTACCATGTTGGCCAGGCTAGTCTCAAACTGCAGACCTCAGGTGATTTGCCCGCCTCAGCCTCCCAAAGTGCTGAGATTACAGGCATGAGCCACCATGCCTGGCCTCTTCTTTTTCCCTCAGCGCCTTTATTAATGAAGTTACAGTCGGTTGTAGTGGCTCACGCTTGTAATCTCAGCACTTTGGGAGGCCCAGGTGGGCAGATCACAAGGTCGAGTTCGAGACCAGTCTGGCCAACATGGTGAAACCCCATCTTCACGAATAATAGAAAAATTAGCTGGGCATGGTGGCATGCGCCTGTAGTCCCAGCTACTGGGGAGGCTCAGGTGGGAGAATTGCTTGAACCTGTGAGGCGGAGGTTGTAGTGAGCCAAGATCCTGCCACTGCACTCCAGCCTGGGTGATGGGGTGAGACTCCATCTCAAAAAAAAAAAAAAAAAAAAAGAAGTTACAAGGCCCTGAAGGCTATGCAATGTTTTCTTCATACGAAAAGCATGGTACTTTTGACCTTGACTTCCCAACAATTAGTACTCAGTAGACGGTTAAGATTGACTCTTCCACTGATACTAAAATTTATATTTCTTATTTCAATTGAGATTTTACATTTAACATTACGTTTAGGTTACTATCCTATATGAAGTGGTTTGGTGAAGGGTCTTGCTTTTATTTGAATTTTTATGTTTAAGGTTTGTTCTCATTCTGTTCTTTGTTTCTGTGGTTATACTGTGAAAACTAGTTGCATTTATTCTTCTCACTTGTCAGAAGGCTTTTGTAATCAAAACTATTTTTGTGCTTTTTTATTTTATTTTTTGCAGCTGACAGTGAAGATAGTACTGTGTCCATCCAGATAAAATTAGAAAATGAAGGCAGTGATGAAGATATTGAAACTGATGTACTCTATAGTCCACAGATGGCTCTAAAGCTAGCATTAACAGAATGGTTGCAAGAGTTTGGTGTGCCTCATCAATACAGCAGTGAGTTTGGCCATTCTTTGTTAAGGGGGTTAGATCACATAGTTGAGTCACAAAGTAAAGAACACTGTCTCCCGGGTGTGGTGGCTCACACCTGTAATCTCAGCACTTTGGGAGGCCGAGGCAGGCGGATCACCTGAGGTCAGGAGTTCGAGACCAGCCTGGCCAACATAGTGAAACCTTGTCCCTACTAAAAATACAAAGATTAGCCGGGCGTGGTGGCATGCGCCTGTCGTCCCACCTACTTGGGAGGCTGAGGCAGGACAGTCGCCTCAACCTGGGAGGCAGAGGTTGCAGTGAGCCAAGATTGAGCCACTGTACTCCAGCCTGGGTGACAGAGCGAGACTCTGTCTCAAAAAAAAGAACACTGTCATGTGCCTTACCTTATGCCCACTAAGCAAAGTGAAATTAAATGAAATTGGGGGATCTAGAGAATAAGGATTTTTAAATCTTACTTTTGGTCTTAAATATTAGCTTTTATTTTGATGGAATGCTAATTTCTCTTAAAAACATATTTTTTGAAGTAATTTAAGGGTTTTTAGACACAAATTTTCAAAAGAGAATGTAATAGTAGATGTTGGCATGTTTACCTCCCAACGCCCTTCCATTCCTGCATCCCTAGTAGTATAGAGAAATCTCATTTTTCTTAGAGGTCAAATTAATTTGGATCTAAAATTGAGGTTCCACTTAACAAATATGATAAAGCATCTTTCTGAATCTAATGTGTTCTATCTCTAATTCTGATTATCTGTGTGACCATTTTATTTATACATTTATTTATTTTTGTAGGTAGGCAAGTTGCACACAGTGGAGCTAAAGCAAGTGTAGTTGATGGGACTCCTTTAGTTGCAGCACCCTCTTTAAATGCCACAACCGTAGTAACAACAGTTTATCAGGAGCCCATTATGAGCCAGGGAGCAGCCTTGAGTGGTGAGCCTACTACTCTGACCAAGGAAGAAGAAAAGAAACAGCCTGATGAAGAACCCATGGACATGGTGGTGGAAAAACAAGAAGAAACGGACCACAAGAATGACAATCAAATACTGAGTGAAATTGTTGAAGCGAAAATGGCAGAGGAATTGAAACCAATGGACACTGATAAAGAGAGCATAGCTGAATCAAAATCCCCAGAGATGTCCATGCAAGAAGATTGTATTAGTGACATTGCCCCCATGCAAACTGATGAACAGACAAACAAGGAGCAGTTTGTGCCAGGTCCAAATGAAAAGCCTTTGTACACTGCGGAACCAGTGACCCTGGAGGATTTGCAGTTACTTGCTGATCTATTCTACCTTCCTTACGAGCATGGACCCAAAGGAGCACAGATGTTACGGGAATTTCAATGGCTTCGAGCAAATAGTAGTGTTGTCAGTGTCAATTGCAAAGGAAAAGACTCTGAAAAAGTGAGTATGTTTAATGTACCTGCTGCTGAAGCCTGGGTGGTTCCCCATACTGGTAATGTGGAAAAGGTTCTTAAATGAGTACACTGTAACTGACAGAAAATTGACCATGTTTTAGAATATGTTCTTTAGGCCGGTTATGATGGCTCATGCCTGTAGTCCCAGAACTTTGGGAGGCAGAGGCGGGCAGATCACCTGAGGTCAGGAGTTTGAGATCAGCCTGGCCAACATGGTGAAACCCCATCTGTACTAAAAATACAAAAATTAGCCGGGCATGGTGACGGGCACCTGTAATCCCAGCTACTCAGGAGGCTGAGGCAGGAGAATCGCTTGAAGAACCCGGGAGGCGGAGTTTGCAGTGAGCTGAGATCGTGCCATTGTACTCCAGCCTGGGTGACGAGAGGGAAACTGTCTCAAAAAAAAAAAAAAAAAAAAAGTATGTTCTTTACAGTGGATGTGGACTCTACTAAATCTGGTACCTTCAGTTTCATAGTTTGCCCTTCTAGTTAAGAATGAGGAAAGGTCATTATTTTAGGAATATTTGTCAGTTTGGGGAGACACAAAATGATACTTTAATGGTTAAGATAAATTGCCAGTACCTGACAACATAAGCAGCTTAATGTGTAACTGTGTCTCAGATTATTTTGTTAAGCTTACAGTTTTTTGAGTCTTTTTATTGATCTTCAATAGATTGAAGAATGGCGGTCACGAGCAGCCAAGTTTGAAGAGATGTGTGGACTAGTGATGGGAATGTTCACTCGGCTCTCCAATTGTGCCAACAGGACAATTCTTTATGACATGTACTCCTATGTTTGGGATATCAAGAGTATAATGTCTATGGTGAAGTCTTTTGTACAGTGGTTAGGTAGGTGCACCAGGAATAATCTCTTCTCCTCAAATATATTGTCCCTTTAAAAAAAATTATCCCACAGGGAGAAAAACATTTAGGGAATTGGCACATTTCCAAGTCTCTTCAATTCGTTGCCTAGGTTTCTTTCAAAAATAGGCATTATTGAAGACTTGAGATGCAAGTCTTAGTAAATACATCAAGCACATTAATTTTTCTCCCTTGGGCTAATTCAGCATAAGTATCTTAAAAGTATGTTAGAAAGTACTGACTTTAACTTGCTCTGACTGAATGCTTTCTGGATGGAACCCTGTATACCACTTTTATCTGATTTGGAGATGAGACACTATGAAATGTGACTCCACAAGCTTTCTGCTGCTTGCTGTGTCTTGATAACATTAATGCTATGTTTAACAGAACAATTGCTGAAATGACCTAAAGGGCCTGGCAAGAGGAAGCCATCCTCCCAGCCCTGTGCGCATGCGAGCTTTAGTGTAAGGCTATTCTGGTGCTATTCAGTATTATTTCACGTGGCTTTTTCTTTATCCTTCTACCAAGTATTGGTTTTACCAGGGGATAGAAATTGTAATCCCCTAAACATCTCTGCTACATTAAATGGACTTTTGTATGTCTCCTTTGAACACTGATTTTTTTTTTTTAAATTGTCAAACTTGGTAAAAAGCACCAGCATGGCCAAGTTTCTCTAGGGACTTCATTTCATTTTCAGGTTTTCAATCCAGCTATAAGGAATATGTAATGGACTTATATACAGCACACAGCAGGCAGCAAGGCTGACTGACATGTCATAGTTTTCATAGTAGTCACAAATACTATGATGGGTTTCATGGTCTTGGTTGTGAAATAGATATCTGAAACACCGTGAGCTTAGAATAAAAAGTAGTAGTGAGATTTTCCACTTTCTGCCTGTATACCTTTGAGCTCTTAAATATTTAAAAAAAAAAAAAAAAAGTTTCCCTGTGATACAACTAATTAGCTACTAAAAGTAGAGTCTCAGATTGTTAATTTGAAAATAGATAACTTTTTTTGGATTGCTGTAATAACAGGTAGAAGAGAGTATTTTGACCTCATGTTAAAAGGCTCTGTATAGCTTCGGGCGCGGTTGCTCACCCCTGTAATCCCAGCGCTCTTGGTGGCTGAGGTGGGTGGATCACTTGAGATCAGGAGTTCGAGACCAGCCTGGTGAAAACCAGCATGAGACCAGCATGGTGAAACCCTATCTCTACTAAAAAAATACAAAAATTAGCCAGGCGTGGTGGCGCATGCCTGTAATCCCAGCTACTTGAGAGGCTGAGGCAGGAGAATTGCTTGAACTCAGGAGGCAGAGGTTGCAGTGAGCTGAGATCACACCATTGCACTCCAGCCTGGGCGATAGAGGGAGACTCCATCTCAAAATAAATAAATAAATAAAGGAAATACTGACCGTGCGCAGCGGCTCAAACCTGTAGTCCCAGCACTTAGGGAGGCCTAGGCGGGCAGACCACAAGGTCAGGAGTTTGAGACCAGCCTGGCCAATATGGTGAAACCCCATTTCTACTAAAAATACAAAAATTAGCTGGGCGTGGTGGCATGTGCTTGTAGTCCCAGCTGCTTGGGAGGCTGAGGCAGAAGAATCACTTGAACCCAGGAGGTGGAGGTTGCAGTGAGCCGAGATTGTGTCACTGCACTCCAGCCTGGGTGACAGAGCGAGACTTCATCTTGTGGGGCTGGGGGGAGGCTCTGTATAGCTCCTGTACATGGGAGACATCTACCCTTAGGCTCAAGAGACCTCAATATTGGTTGCTGGATGACAACATTTGCCTTCCAGGTTTCTGCTCAGGTTCTTATAATTCATTCTTATAGGGATTTAAACTTAAGTTTCTAAGGCCCTTAGGAATTTTGAACCTGAAATCTGGATTATTGAGCTTGAAATGTATTACAGAAAACATTTGATATTCAGTTTTTAATTTAAGAATTATTAAAAGTTAAATTCTTAATGATACACAGTATTGTTTCTTTCTCTTCTCAGGGTTTATCTCTGCACTGAGCATTTATGGTGGTAGCTTTCCAAAATTATATAGATACCTCTTACACAATCTCAAGCTCTTACAGCAAGCTTGTCCAGCCTGTGGCTCAACACAAGTTTGTAAACTTTCTTAAAACATTGTGAGTTTTTTTATTTTTTATTTTTTTTAAGCTCATCAACTATCATTAGTGTATTTTATGTGTGGCCCAAGACAGTTCTTCCAGTGTGGCCCAGGGAAGCCAAAAGATTGGACACCCCTTGTAACATCTTAGAAGTTTTAAATAATTATCTTCATATCCACATAGCTTTACAAAAGCTCACGACAGGGAGAGTATTTTCTTGGTTCTGTAGTAATTTCAGGGGGTTTACTGATTGGAACCCTTCCTTTTCCTCCTCTCTCCAGTCCAGCTGGCATTCAGTCCTTTAAACAATGTGGCTATGCAGTACTTTTGATTACTAATGACTTCTATTATCTTCTTCCCCATTGTGTACAGATGGGAGAATCCTCAGCACAAGTGTCTACTACTATTGGATGGACAGCGGCAGATGTTCACAGCGCGTCATGATTAATTAGTTTAAATTGCAAGGTTCTATCTGTGAGGTAGCTCAGGTAGATTTAAGGGCGGTAGACATGAACTGAAGTCACGTTTGCGCAGCGACTGAGGCATTAACCATGTTTTCATTTACACAGCTCTTCGTACATGCAGCTTTTTATTGTAATAGTTGGAAGTGCTAGTTATGTTGTAGTCTCAAAGTAGGGGGTAGGGGAAATTGGCTGATCTTAAAGTTTGAGAGGTATAGTTTTTTTCCTGCAGTGTAAATTACACTGAGTTACGGAATGGGACAGGTTCTCGTATAGTCTAAATTTTGACCCTGTTTCATATTTATTTTACAAATACTACATTTTATGTTTTTTAAAAGTACCCCTACCCTTGAAAAATGACAAACCAGATACAAACTCTTAATGGGCCTGAATTGTTAACAAAAAATTGGTTTGCTTTGGGACTGTCTGACTAGCACACTATATTTGTACTGATGAGACTGTTAACTTGAACAGGAGGTAGAATGCTGTCTTCCAATGGAAAAGAACTATATTGCGCTGCTTTATCTTGTCAGAAGACTAGGCAAGTGATTTTGATTTGGCCTCCAAACATTTGCCTTTATGTCTTACTGTTAGCTAGCGTTATTGCCTATTAAGTTAGTTAACTGGTGACCTTAAATAGAGACTTCTGTATTCCATGTGTATGTTCAGTGTATTGCAAAGATTATTATAATGGCTGGTCAGAGGAACCAGATACTGTCATACTTTTAAGAAAAGTATATTTAGCTCTGGGCAAAATAACATCAATTGGCTCTCCTTAGTTCTCAGAATCTGTCAGACTGGTATTATTAGCCAAGTCTGATTTTGAATTGTTTTTGTCCAAAAAAATTTTTCTCATTATGTTTCATTTTGTCAACTTAATTTCTTGTATTTTATTCTACTGACCTTAGTTTTCTGACAAGATTAATCCTTCTCCCCCGCCCTTTTCCCTTACCTGTACCCTTCCTCAAAATGTAAAATGTGACTTCAGACAGGTTGAATTCCTTCATGGGCTGTGATAATAAAGTGTCTAATTATCAGTCATTTTAGTTAATAGTTACTATAATTTTATGACAGAGCAAGCAGCTAGCTTGATTTGTATAATATCTAGGGAATATATAAAGTTGACTCAGACAAACTTGGGACTTACTTTCCTTCCAGTAATTAAAGAGTAGAACTGATAATACTGATTATTCATTAATTGGAGGAAGGAACATTAGTATTGAAATGCCGTTAACATTTTAAAAAATAATAATTATTATCATAGCCTTGCCCTGAAACCCTGATTATTGTTAGAGAGTTATTTCCACGAAGTGTTTGTCAGTTTGTTGGACATTTGAGACCCCAGGAAATCCCCTTTCTCGTAACGTTCTCCGCTTGGATCTGATCTCAACAGGGTGTCGTAGTCATTCTTCAGCACAATTCTTAATTGGAGACCAAGAACCCTGGGCCTTTAGAGGTGGTCTAGCAGGAGAGTTCCAGGTATCAATATGAATTCACAACTGAATTGACATTTTCTTTGTTTTATGAGAAACCTTATGTTGCGCATCAGATGGCTGGAAGGATTGGTCTGCCGAAGGCTTTCTAGTCCCAAATTCAATTTAGTTACATAGCTGGATTTTTAAATCAAATTTTCCTCCTCTTTCACAGTAATTTCTGAAGGAGATGCTGCCAATCCCCCCCGCGCCTGCGAAGCGCAGCGGCTCTAGGTATACACTTCACATTGTTTCTTTGCAGGTCGCACAGCATTTTAATCTGCGCCCGCAATGCACAATGCGCGCATGCTTGTCTGCCAGTGGAAGCTCCATGAACAAAAGATAGTAATTATGCCAATAAATGGTGAAAGAGCTTTTGGATATTTATCCAATTATTTTATAAATATAATGTGCTTGAAAGAATTGTCCATTGCTGAAAATATGAACAAAATAGGAAGTTTTTTTGCTGCTGGAATTTGTTCATGGACTTTCTAGGTGCTCTACTTTTCTCCCCCCAACAGGTGCTCTGCTGCGCACAGCAAACTGAAGCGCATTGCTTTGGGGATAAAGCGTCTCCTGGACAGATAACCCTCTTCAGACCAAACCTCTCCTCCTGACATTCTGTTCTGCCATCTTATCGTAGGGAGATGGTCTATCTAAGATAGGTTTTAAAAAAAAATAGATTTGTCATAATTGGAATAGGTTTGTTTTTGTTTTTGTTTTTGTTTTTACTGTAAATTTAAATCCCCATTAATATGCCACTAAAGCTGTAACTCAGAGTGGGTAATTTCTATTCAGAAGCACTCCCCTCCCCCAGCAAAGAGGTATTTCTATTAGTAAAGCATAGTACACCCCTCTTCTTTAGGTCTGCCTGCAGTAGCCAGTTAATATAAGTTGGTAATCTGCAGTGCACACCCATTTAAAAAAATGGATACCTTCCCCAAACTAATCCATCTCCTTTTTTTTCTTCCCACAGCGTTTGCTGCCAATTGATGGGGCAAATGATCTCTTTTTTCAGCCACCTCCACTGACTCCTACCTCCAAAGTTTATACTATCAGACCTTATTTTCCTAAGGATGAGGTAATTGTCTCTCTACCTACCAACTTGGTGTATGGGTATGGTGCACACTTAAAACTTAACCTTTTAACTCACTGGTTAAAGGAATCCTTCTGTCTTAAAACTGCAAACTTTAGATGGAGAAAGTTCATTAAAACATTCAGTGTATCTTGAGAAATTTAAGGAGTTTAGACTTTTAACATCTTGTGCCAAGTTCTTTAATTTCTCCCTTGAGAAAGTCAGATGAAATGTATTCAGAGTTGGAGTTACAAAATAGTTAATGTGTCTAAATGATGTGTTGTCCTTAGACTAATTATCTCTAATATATTGGTGTTCTGTAATTTTCTTTCAATTGTGAAGTATCTACAGGCTGTTGACAATCAGCTAAAGAAAAAAGCAAGACTGTTTAAAGACAGTAACAGGGCCAGGCGCGGTGGCTCACGTCTGTAATCCCAGTACTTTGGGAGGCCGAGGTGGGCAAATCACCTGAGGTCAGGAGTTCAAGACCAGCCTAGGCAACATGGTGAAACCCTTTCTCTATTAAAAATACAAATAGGCCGGGCTTGGTGGCTCATGCCTGTAATCCCAGCACTTTGGGAGGCCGAGACAGGCGGATCACGAGGTCAGGAGATCGAGACCATGGTGAAACCTTGTCTCTACTAAAAATACAAAAAAAATTAGCTGGGTGCGGTGGTGGGTGCCTATAGTCCCAGCTACTCGGGAGGCTGAGGCCGGACAATGGCTTGAACCCGGGAGGCAGAGCTTGCAGTAAGCCGAGATCATGCCACTGCACTCCAGCCTGGGGCGACAGAGCGAGACTCCGTCTCAAAAAAAAAAAAAAATAATAAATAATAAAAAATAATACTAAATTAGCTGGGCGTGGTGGCGGGTGCCTGTAATCCCAGCTACTCTGGAGGCTGAGGCCGGAGAATTACTTGAGCCTGAGAGGCGGAGGTTGCAGTGAGCCAAGATCGTGCCATTGCACTCCAGTCTAGGTGACAGAGACTCCGTCTCAAAAAAAAAAAAAAATTAGATGAGTATGGTGGCGTATGCCTGTAATCCCAGCGAATTGGGAGGCTGAGGCAGGAGAATCACTTGAACCCAGGAGGTGGAGGCTGCAGTGAGCCGAGATTGCACCACTGCACTCCAGCCTGGTGACAGCAAGACTTTGTCTCAAAAAACAAAAAAACCATCCTCTGCAAAAGCCAATTCTCAGTATTCCTAAAACCTTGCTGTTTTTTGCTGGTTTTACAAATCTGACTCAATGAATAAATCTTTATTTTACAAAGAAGAGGTGATATTTCTGATAGATGTTTCTGACAGGCCATTTTGTTACTCCCTCCCCAGACTGACTTGTGAGTTATATTGTTAGATTCTGCTGCCATTTTTCTTGATGTGTTGCTTAACTAGATTATATTTTCAGGCATCCGTGTACAAGATTTGCAGAGAAATGTATGACGATGGAGTGGGTTTACCCTTTCAAAGTCAGCCTGATCTTATTGGAGACAAGTATGTGATAAGTATTTGGATTTGAGAGTAGACCTTTCATAGTGAGGCTTATCAGGTTGAGGGGAGGTGATGACTGGAAATATATTTATTTATTTTAAATCCCACTTTGGCTTTAGTAAAATCTGAATATGTGTGCATTTCTAGTTTCTTACACCAAATGTAGGTTCCGTAAGTTCATGCAAGTACAGTGGGTCTTGGATCACTGAAGTCTGAATTTTATATTAGCAACTGAAAAGTTTACTGTGGCCTCTTTCCTTCTGAGCAGGTTAGTAGGAGGGCTGCTTTCCCTCAGCCTGGATTACTGCTTTGTCCTAGAAGATGAAGATGGCATATGTGGTTATGCCTTGGGCACTGTAGATGTGACCCCCTTTATTAAAAAATGTAAAATTTCCTGGATCCCCTTCATGCAGGAGAAGTATACCAAGCCAAATGGTGACAAGGAACTCTCTGAGGCTGAGGTAATACAAAGGTTAAGAATTATACTATGGTAATGGTCTTTTTTATTTATTTATTTTTATTTTTTATTAAAGTACTTACTAAAATGGAAAAGTACATAGATACATCATAAAATCTTAGTGCTTTCTAAATTAATTTTCTTGCAGAAAGAATTCTTATGGCTTATTCTTAGCATGACATTTTTCACTGTTTCCCCAATATTGGGACAGTTTTTTATTTGGGAGTACTATTGTAATATTTCCTCAGGTGAAAACACAATAAAGACAAAGAACATTTTTTTCCTCTGTTTTAAAGTTTCATACTTAAAGATGTTATGGTCTTGGTCAGGCACAGTGGCTCGTGCCTGTAATCCCAGCACTTTGGGAGGCCAAGGCGGGTGTATCACCTGAAGTCAGGAGTTCAAGACCAGCCCGGCCAACGTGGTGAAACTCCATCTCTACTAAAAATACAAAAAAAAATTAGCTGGGTGTGGTGGCGGGTGCCTGTAATGCCAGCTACTCAGGAGGCTGAGGCAGGAGAATTGCTTGAACCCAGGAGCGGGAGGTTGCAGTGAGCTGAGATGGCGCCACTGCACTCCAGCCGGGGCAGCAGAGTGAAACTCTGTCTCAAAAAAAAAAAAAAAAAAAAAAAAACAAGATATTATGGTCGTTTTGTTGAGTACTCAGGACAATTTAAGTAATTTAAATCTATTTGGTGGTTTCTCAGAAGGTTAATAACTTGCCTTCTGACTAATGCATTCTACATTGTGATTTAAAAATAAGAGCTCTTGAGAGTCTACTTTGTGATAGGAGCACTTCTTAATAAGTCTGTCCTGTCCCAACTTAAATACATTTTTCATCTCCAAAAAAGTTTTATGCCCCATGTTGGCCAACACATTACGTGATTATTTTGGTTTATACATCAGTATATGTTGTTGTTGTTTTGAGACAGTGTCTCACCTTGTCACCCAGGAATGCAATAGCACAAACATGGCTCACTGCAGCCTTGACCTCCCAGGCTCAAGTTATCCTCTTGCATCAGCCCTGCAAGTAGCTGGGACTACAGGTGCAAGCCACTACGCATCAGCTAACTTTTTTGTATTTTTTTTGTAGAGATGGGGTTTCGCCGTGTTGCCCAGGCTGGTCTCAAAGTCCTGAGCTCAAGCAGTCCGCCTGCCTCGGCCTCCCATACTGCTAGGATTACAAGCACGAGCCACTGTGCCTGGCCAGTATATGCATTTTTTAGATAGTTCCTTCTTGAGGATAGTTTTTATGCACAGTAAATAAGATATTTGGACCCCTACTTGTGATACTTTTTTCTTTTCTTCTATGTTGTTTCTCTTTTCCTTTTCTAAAATTCTCTACCCCTCTCCACCACACCAAAGTATTCATAGTCTTTTTATTTATTTATTTATTTTTTTGAGACAGAGTCTTGCTCTTGTTGCCCAGGCTGGAGTGCAGTGACGCAATCTTGGCTCACCGCAACCTCCACCTCTCAGGCTCAAGCAGTTCTCCTGCTTCAGCCTCTCGAGTAGTTGAGATGACAGGCATGTGCCACCACGCCCGGATAATTTTATATTTTTAATAGAGACGGGGTTTCTCCATGTTGGTCAGGCTGGTCTCAAACTCCCGACCTCAGGTGATCCGCCCTCCTCAGCCTCCCAAAGTGCTAGGATTATAGGCGTGAGCCACCGCGCCTGGCCTCATTTTCTTCATAGTTTATTTCTATATTTTACCTTCTGCCCTTAGTCACATGGCTGTGTAACAAGAGGCTGGTTTGGTGTTGCCTCGCTTACTTGGGATTACACTGACACTATGCTGGTGATTGAGCTGCTGATGTATTGCTGTTCCACATCTGACACTTTTCAGCATAAGAACTTTTTAAAAATTGTGGTAAAATATAAATAACATAAAATTTGCACATTTTCATGTAAGGAATACGTTAATTTAAAATATTTTATGTATTTTAAATGATTTTAGATTTACAGAAAAGTTGCAGAGTTAAAACAGAGTTTCTGTATACTCCTTATCCATTTTCTGTATTGGTGAAGTCTAAGTAACCAACATGGGTATATTATTAATCAGACACCAAACTTTATTCACCAGTTTTTTCTGCTAATGTCCTTTTCCTGTTCCAGGATCCAATACCACATAGCATTTAGACAAAATTTTTTTTTTTTTTTTTGAGACGGAGTTTCCCTCTGTCGCCTGGGGTGGAGTGCAATGGTGCGATCTCGGCTCACTGCAACCTCCGCCTCCCAGGTTCAAGTGATTCTCCTGCCTCAGCCTCCCGAGTAGTCGGGATTACAGGCGCCCACCACTAGGCCCAGCCAATTTTTGTATTTTTACTAGATACGGGGTTTCACGATGTTGGCCAGGCTGGTCTCAAACTCCTGACCTTGTGATTCACCTGTCTCGGCCTCCCAAAGTTCTGGGATTACAAGTGTGAGTGAGCCACCACGCCTGGCCAGAAAACTTTTTTTTTTTTTTTTTTTTTTCCCCGCCCAGGCTGGAGTGCGGTGGCAGGATCTCAGCCTACTGCAACCTCTGCCTCCCGGGTTCAAGCAATTCTCCTGCCTCAGCTTCCCGAGTTGCTGGGACTACAGGCGCACGCCGCCATGACTGGCTAATTTTTTATGTTTTTAGTAGAGACAGGGTTTTACTTTGTTGCCCAGGCTGGTCACAAACTCCTGAGCTCAGGCAGTCTGCCTGCCTCAGCCTCCTAAAGTGCTAGGATTACAGGCGTGAGCTACTAGACCCAACCCAAACTTTTTTTTTTTTTTTTTTTTAAGACAGAGTCTCGCTCTGTTGCCCAGGCTGGAGTGCAGTGGCGCCATCTCAGCTCACTGCAAGCTCCGCCTCCTGGGTTCACGCCATTCTCTTGCCTCAGCCTCCCGAGTAGCTGGGACTACAGGTGCCCGCCAACACGACCTAATTTTTTGTATTTTTTTTTAGTAGAGACAGGGTTTCACTGTGTCAGCCAGGATGGTCTTGATCTCTGGCCCAAGCTTTTAAAAGTGAAAACGGTGGCCAGGCACGGCAGCACACACTTGTAATTCTAGCACTTCAGGAGGCCGAGATAGAAGGATCACTCGAGCCCAGGAATTCGAGACCAGCCCTGACGATATAAATAGGGAAAGAGAGAGAGAGAGAGAGAGAGCGCGTGCACGCGAGGGAGAATGCCTGCCCCTCTCCAGCCTGGCCAACAGAAGGAGATCCTGTCTCAAAGAAAGTGAAAATGCTTCAGCTAGAATTATAGGATAATCCTGTGTGAGATAATTTACATAGTGACTGGAAGAGTTATTAAATATTGCTTTCTTGTTGCTAAGTTCTGTAGTTGGGTTAGATATCTAATGCGTAACTATTGTGAAAGTCAAGAGATTCTAATTTTTCCAGAAAATAATGTTGAGTTTCCATGAAGAACAGGAAGTACTGCCAGAAACTTTCCTTGCTAATTTCCCTTCTCTGATAAAGATGGACATTCACAAAAAAGTAACTGACCCAAGTGTGGCCAAAAGCATGATGGCTTGCCTCCTGTCTTCACTGAAGGCTAATGGTGAGTACATATTTGTGGAGTTGGTGGTATTTGGGCAAGATAGGGAAAGAACTATATATTTTTGGATATAAAAGGAAAGAAGTGAATTGTAAATTTATACTGCTTTTCCCACCTTTTATGATTTGGTTTCTGAATTAATTAGTGGTGAAGAATCGCATGTGTATTAATAATTGAGAAATGCTGGTTGGGCTTAGTGGCTCATGCTTGTAATCCTAGCACTTCGGGAGGCCGAAGTGGGAGGATCACTTGAGTCCAGGAGTTTGAGACCAGCCTGAGCAATATGGCTGAGACCCCATCTCTACCTAATTTAAAAAAAAAAAAAAAAAAGGCCGGGCACGGTGGCTCACGCAGCACTTTGGGAGGCCGAAGTGGGCGGATCATGAGGTCAAGAGATCGAGACCAGCCTGGCCAACATGGTGAAACCCTGTCTCTACTAAGAGTGGTGGCAGGCGCCTGTAATCCCAGCTACTCGGGAGGCTGAGGCAGGAGACTTGCTTGAAGCCGGGAGGCGGAGGTTGCAGTGAGCCGTGATCTTGCCACTGGACTCCAACAGAGCAAGATTCTGTCTCGGGTGCGGGGGAAGCTGGGTGCAGTGGCTCACGCCACTCATTATTGAATTTTTTGAATATGAATTTTTTTAATTGTGTGAAATGTAGGAGCTGGTGTAGACAGACAAGCCCTGTTTATATTAACCATCTCGAAGATTATAGTTTTATATCTATAATTATACTAATTAAGTGACTTATTTATGTTTTGAATATTTGTTTTATTTCTAGGCTCCCGGGGAGCTTTCTGTGAAGTGAGACCAGATGATAAAAGAATTCTGGAATTTTACAGCAAGTTAGGATGTTTTGAAATTGCAAAAATGGAAGGATTTCCAAAGGATGTGGTTATACTTGGTCGGAGCCTGTGACATTTGTTGACACTGTGAACTGTCCAAAAGTCTCTTAACTGCACCTTGTGAATGGTAGTTGAGGTCTTCATACAGTTCAGCCTCTAGAATGGTAACAAATCAGCCAATTGGATTCGAAACAAAGAAGACTATGTAAAACTCACCCATCACACTTTGAGACTACTCACTGGTTGGAAGAATATAGTATTGCAGCAAATCCTGTATGAAAGAGAGATGTGGGCTTCCTTTTTGAGTCTTGTGTTAGGTGCTGAGACCTTTTACATGGGCTTATACAGGGAGAGAGTCTTCAATAAATGTAGTCAGCACTATTTTCTGCATCCAGTGTGGTTGCGTTTCTCACCTGAGAGTAATCAAGATAACATCTGTCATCTTCCTTGGTTTATTGAGTGAAATGCCTCTCAGTCTTAGGGGACATGGCAGAGATGAAAGAAAGAAAGAGTGGGTTTCAGAAGTGTCAGGGTGGAGTGATTCCAAGTGGGATGGTTGTGGCATTAGTTTAAGCTGAATAAATAATTTCAATTTGGGGCAGTTATTCTGCTTTTTGTAAAGCCGTGGCCAATTGTCTCCTGTAATGACTGTTGGTTCAGGCATGTTGTACTTTGTAGGGACAAATGTGCATTTGTTTGTGGCAAAAGCCTACAATTGACAAACTTGTAAATTTCTTTGTATATAAACTAGCTGTAACCTGACTATCCTTTGTGTTTACTGTTTTTGTAAATTTTTTTCCTCTATAAATGAAAGGGTGTTGGTTCAGAATGGCACTTTGAATAATGTAAACCAGTGAAAAGTGGATTTTCTTTACTTTTGTCTTTGGGTTTGGGGTTGTTTTTGTTCTTTTTGAAGTTTTATTATTTTTAAAGTGCCTCCCACCTAGGCGTAGGCCATGACCATTTGGGGTACGAGAGCCTAATTTTGTAGGACTTAATCTGTTGAAAAGTGCAGTTACTTCTGGAAATTAACCTCAATATTAGGTCAGCATGTGAAATGTTGGATTTGACATGTCAGGTAGGGTTCAGGGACTGATTGGTCCCATTTGCCCTCAGGTCAGTTGTTTAATCTCAAGACCTGTTACTACTGATTTTATTAAATCAGAGTCTTTAATTCTTGCATGTTTGTATCTAATTTCTGAATGAATGAGCACACTTTAACCAGTTATTTACAGTTACCTTTTTCCTTTAACCGGATTGTGAAAGCTTCATGTATTTTAATTTAGATTCTGTGTTTTTAAGGGTTCTGAGCATGAAGCTGGCAGATAGTCGGCAGGACTCATTTTTTCATCATGGCTGGCTGATTTCTCCATAGATTGATAACAGTATTTTGTTATCTTGCTTCTCTGTAGTTTTGCATCAGCTGTTTAACTTTGAGCTGAGTGAGGGGAGAGGGGTAAAGAGAAAGAAACTTAAGTTTTCTTTCACAGAACTCCACCATTGTGGGCTTTGAGAGAGCCCTAAAGCATTGTACCTAGTGGTACCTAGTGACTTCCAACCAAAGCCTTTGAGTATGCACTAAATAGGTGAGAAGAAAGGAGAGAAGGTTTTTAGGTTAGAAACCTTTAACCGATAGAAGGATATGGTATGTTGTAAAGCTGGAACCAAGTTTGCATTTTTGAGGGCTTGAGATGAAGGGAAGACTCTTACCAGATAGTAAGACAGCTGAGTTTTCCTCAGTTTTCTCGTCTTAACACTAGTGGACAATTCTAGCATTTTGTTTGGAGGATTTCAGAGTTAACCTCATGGAATTCAGGATTTTTTAGCAAGTTTGCTTTTGGTTTTATCTTGGCTTTTAGTAATCATGTTGGCTGGTCTGGTCACAGGTGACTGTGAAACAGATGCCCTGGTCTTGCTTTCATCACTCTAGGATCATGAAGTGCTATGCTATTTCCTGGTTATGAATATTAAGGTTGGAATTACATTTTTATTGATTGTTTGGATCAGAGCTCAGTTCCTGTAGAAAACGAACTGTAAAAGACCATGCAAGAGGCAAAATAAAACTTGAAGTGAATGCTTGTCGTGTTGTATTGTGTGAATCTATTTCCTGTCTGCCCCCTCCCTTTTCTCCTCTTTCATGCCTCACCTACAAGCAGGTATTCTCTCCTCTCCACAGCTGTTCCAAGTTAGAGATTGGATCTTGAAGGCAGCCCTCCCCTACCTCCATCACCAGTAAGACTTCCAGATTTTCATTAAGACAAGAGCTAAGAAAAGTAGACTAGTTTTTAGCCAAGCCACCCCACCCTCTTGCCACAGTTATAACCTGGATGTGAAATAGGGCCTCTAGTTTGAGTTTTGCCATCTATTAGGATAGAAAGCACACAGTTTGCCTGATTCTTAAAAGGCGAAAGATGGCGCGAGTAGCATAAACTGACAAAATAATCCACGGCGCAAAGATACTCCTGGATGATTTGGAATTAAAAGCTCAAAAAGCGTGGGTGGGCCAGGAACAGCCAACACACATGAGCTAACTAGTCCTCTGCTAGCAAGTGCCAGCAGCTAAGTCTCAGTGAAGGCATAGCAAGTTGCGGGGTCTTTAGAGCAGGAAGAATTAAGAGAGGCTTAGCCGAGAGGACAGACAGGACAGACGTGTTGGGATGGAAATTCCTAAGGCTCCTCGGCTCTCTTGAGGCAAAGACAATCTGAGTGCATTTCCTTTGCTTGTAGCAGAAAAGCACTGCCCTGAACCCCACCTTTGCTGGGAGGAGTAAGAAGGGTTTACATTTTTATATCTATAACTCCTTTAACGAAAGCTTACCCTGGGTTGGAAGAGTGGGAGACACTCTTCCGACACAGAGCGAGGAGCTTGGGGAAGTGGACACCCTCATGGTCGTGGAAATGAGCAAGGATGTTAACATAAACCCCAAATCCATTCTTCTGTGATGTTACTTCCTTTCTCTTCGGTCTTGATAAAATATGAGCAGAAGCTGCGGGCTCCGGGTAGGGCTGCGGGGTCTCGGCGCCTTTTCTTTTCCAGGA
The DNA here is from genome assembly GCF_000001405.40 of Homo sapiens. Classification (NCBI taxonomy): domain Eukaryota; kingdom Metazoa; phylum Chordata; class Mammalia; order Primates; family Hominidae; genus Homo; species Homo sapiens. The sequence continues at coordinate 101,783,484 of NC_000010.11, read as the reverse complement.
CTGTGCGTCTCCTTTAATGGGCGGGGCCGGAACTGGCCGAGGGTCCCCGGCTTTGTGCGTGTCGGGGGCGGAGTTTGAAGAAGGCTCTTACAGCATGGCCGCCGGTACTGCAGCTGCCTTAGCGTTTTTGAGTCAGGAGAGCCGAACGCGGGCCGGGGGTGTCGGGGGCCTACGGGTCCCGGCCCCGGTCACTATGGACAGTTTTTTCTTCGGTATTAGTGAAGGGAGAGGCTGAGGGTGGTACTGGGGCGGTAAGAGGTAGGGATGTGAGGCGGGAATGCGGAGGGTTTCAAGGCGTGGGTGTGGGCGGAGGGCTGCTTCGCTGTTCCCGCAGGAGAGGGGGCCTCGCACGCACAGCCAAAGGGGGTGGCGAGATCCCTGCCCCAGATGTGTTGGGCGGGGCCCACGGCAGAGCGTCCCAGGTGTTCTGAGAGAAGAGACGGAGGTGGACGTGTAAATGACCCGTCCGCCCAAGGTTACACGTGACGGCGGGTTGGTGACATCCCCCGCTGCCCAGCCCCGTACACACGCTCAGGCATACTCACTGTTATTTCTACCAGGCTGTGAGCTCTCCGGCCACACCCGCTCCTTCACCTTTAAGGTAGAGGAAGAGGATGATGCGGAGCACGTGCTGGCACTAACCATGGTGAGGGGCAGGGGAGTGGGGTTTTAATGAATAAGCCCAGGCAGGCAATATAGGTCTCTACCCAACCTCCGGATCCCCTTTACTTGGAGACACATCCTCAGCCTAACCCCCCGGCATGGGCGGCTCCCCTGGCCAGGTGAACCGGGACCTCTGAGGCTGGGCAGGTGCTAGGGTAGATGCCTTTAGTTGTGGTGTCAACCCTCACTTGAGGAGACCCTGAGGCCCTGTGTACCGTTCCCAGCTCTGCCTCACCGAGGGAGCCAAAGACGAGTGTAATGTGGTAGAAGTTGTGGCCCGGAACCATGACCATCAGGAGATCGCAGTCCCTGTGGCCAACCTCAAGCTGTCCTGCCAACCCATGGTGAGTTCCCCAGCTCTGCCTTGGTGGTGGTGGTGGTGGTGGTGAGGGGATTGAGGACGTTAGCACTCATTACAGTGTGGGGTGGGCTAGGAGTGGGCCAGGCCTTCATCCTTGTCTTCCTCCCAGCTCAGTCTGGATGACTTCCAGCTCCAACCACCTGTAACCTTCCGCCTGAAGTCGGGCTCTGGCCCTGTGCGGATCACTGGGCGGCACCAGATTGGTGAGAAGAGGGGAGGGCCCTCTCCTTTGCTTCCAGTGGACTCTCCCATCAGGCTTCCCCCACTCCGCACTCCTGCCCCATCCCACCCTCATCTCCCAGTGCAGCCCTGTACAGGTCTGTGTGCCCTCCACGCTGTGCCCTGTGCATGACATGCCCTCTCCTTTCCGTCTACTCAAGCCTACCTCCTCCATGGAACATGGCCCAACTTCTCCAGCTCCAATAATGAAGACTCCTTTGGCTCTTTGTGACCCAGTTTAGGGTCTGAGGTTCTTCCCACCTAGCCCATAAGCACTGGGAGGTCATGGTCCCTGTAAGCCTAACACCACGGCGTGAAGAAATGGCATGCGGTGTGAAACGGTCTGGTCTTAACACCCCATCCTTCTACTGCTTGTGTGTCCACCAGTTACGATGAGCAATGATGTTTCTGAGGAGGAGAGCGAGGAAGAGGAAGAGGACAGTGATGAGGAAGAAGTTGAGCTGTGCCCCATCCTTCCTGCCAAAAAGCAGGGGGGCAGGCCCTAGCCCTCCTAGGTGAGTTGCGGGGAGAAGTGCCTAGCAGGCTCTGGGAAGGGGCAGGAGAAGCAGGTGAGGGCCTAAATGCTGATTCCTTGTTTCCTCTTTTCAGGTCAGCTCCATGTGCCATGCACCGCCATGCACCCTGTTCCCTGACAAGTTTCAACAATTGTAAATATTTCTTCCTTGAAGAGGAGAGCTTGGGTGGGGGTTGGGTGGGAGGGACTTGGGTCTTTGGTGCTAGGAGAGGGCCTGTGCTCCACACAGCCGTGGTTTTCTGATTTTCACCATGCCCGGGGCCTCCCTTCCCACCTGCCTGTGAGAATTGGAGGTTAGTGCCTGAAGCTCAGAGCTACACATTTTTAATAGTTTTTACATTTTTGGATAAAGGTTGAAATAAAGTGGTGTGGAGTTTTTGCAGCTCTTGTGTGGCTTCTTCCTGTGCTGGGTGATGTTTCCCTAGGGACCGCCAGGTGGCACTGTGGAAGCACCCAGCGTGGCCCTGGGCCTGGGGGAGGGTGGAGAACTGTGGGATCCTCTACCCTCATGGCCCTGGGCTAGGACCTGGGGCCTGGGCCCCAGTTGCCTTGCTGGAAGGGGACCTCCCAACACTCAGCCCATTCCCAGTCTCTGCAGGTGGGAGAGGGTCATCGCAGGAGGTTATCAGCATCCAAACAAGGGGTCTGGGCCTCTGTCAGCACTCGGCTGATGGGCAGGGGGGCAGATAAGCGAGCTTAGGCAGCCTGAGGAATGCGCGTCCCTAGCCCCACGAGGGTCTCTGGCCCAGAGAGGGCCTGTGAGGGCAGGGCGGGACCAGGCTTCGCTCCTCCTTTGAGCCTTGCAGGCTGTCTCTGAGCAGGGCTGGGCCCTTAGAGAAACCTGACTCCGGGGGCCAGATGGAGGGGACTGGCCAGATTGGGTGACAGGGAAACCAGAATCCGGGTGGCCTGGCATATGGGGGCAGAAAGGGGCCCCAGGGAATTTGCCTCCTGGACTAAGGGATTCTTGTCCCCCACACACCGTGGGGTCTGGGGGTCTTTGGTGCCTGGAATCAGGTAGTTCTGGCACTTGGCTGCCTTTGTGCCAGGAAGAACTGACACACCTGGTTTGAGGATGAGTGTATGTGACCAGCTCTGGGGTCAGCAGTTCAGCAGCTGTGTTGGTTGTGGGGGGAGGGTTGTCAATGCCCACAAACAAACAAACAAACAAAACATTGCCTCCCCAGACAACCTGGGGCCAGACAGGCTGAGGATAGACAGAGAACAGGGCCTGATGGGGGTCAGGCCAACTCCCACTCCCAGCCTCTAGTCAAGGGGGAGGGGCCCCGGGATATCGCGGGCTGGTGGTTCTGGGGCAGGTGAGGTCAGCTTTGAAGACCTTGCGTCCGCAGTACCGACCCGCACGCTCTTCAGCGCATCCCTAGTGAAGGAGGTTCTCCCCCAGCCCGTGGTGAGGAACTAGGGGTCCAGTTTCCAACCTCCCTCTTCCTCAAGTTGAGGACAAAGGGAGATGACGCCCGTCTGTGTTGCGGTGATCTGGGTCGCAGGCGCCTTTCTCCGATCCAGGAGGGCGCTGCTAAAAATGCTTCCCTGGGGAGCCCGGCGGAGGGGCGGCCTGGCTGGGAACCATGGGTCTCGCTGCGGAGCGCGGTCGGCAGGGAGAGGGAAGTCGGGGCTGGCGCCCTCTGGCGGGCGAGGTTGAAGCCGCTCGTGGTCGTACCGCTTCCCTGGCCTCTAGAGGCTCCGGGCGGGCGCCGTGGGGCCGGGGCCTCCGAGTCCCGCCACTGCTCTGGGCGGCCGAATCTTGGGCGGAAGGCGGGGGAATGCCACTGAGGCTTGCATGCATGCGTGCATACGTTCATTCATTCATTCGAACGACTTGAGTTGGAGTGGGGAAGTCTGGCTGTGGCCCTCACTCCTCTTTCCCTTCCTCTTCTTGGCCCCAGCCTCCAAAGTCCTCGGCACGTGCTTGGCAGGAGGAGCGGGAGACTGGCTGAGTCCTCTCTCCTGGGAGGCCTCCCTAGCTGACCCATCTACCCCCTGCGCGGCTCCGCCCCAATATTTACCCCACCCACCCCCCGCGATGCCACTGATCGCTCCTTGCATTTCTCGCCGGTTTTCCGGGTAGGTCTCCCGGTGGGCGCGGGCCTGCGCCGAGCACGCTCCTGCCCGCAGTGGGGGCCCAATCCACATCAGCCTCTCGGCCCAAGAGTTTCTCGGCCGGTTGGGGCGCCCCGCGGACACAGCTGGGCAAGGTTTATTCCTCTCTCCTCGCCCCAGCCTCTCCTCGAGCCCTCTTCTTTGCCCTTCAGCGCACAGTAGGAGCGCTGCCGGCTCACTGTGGCCTCAGACCCCTGGGGGATGAAGGCATACGCCGGGGTTTGCCGACTGCTGGAGGAAGGGCAGGCTTCTATTTGGGGGCCGAGGGAGACGACTCCCAGACAGTGGCCGAAGTGCTTAACGTAGTCTCGGCGATTTGCATTTGAACGGTCGGCAGTGAGTCCGCGGCGCTTTGAACGCCCGGCGCAGGAAGCGCGCGTCGGAGCGAGCTGCGGTCTCCGGCGGGTGTGGATTGGAGGGGCCGGGGGATGGGCTGGGATCGAGGGGTGCGTTTGGAAATAGGCTGAAGTAGTGTGTCTGGGTGCAGGCGAGGGCGTGTCTGCGGAGATGGGCCGTTTGTGTTGGCGAGGAGTGTGTGTTTGTGTTTGCAGGCGAGGGAGTTTGTGTCTGTGCGTGTGTGTGTTTGTGTTTGCGGAGTGTGGGGGCGGCCAGGAAAGGTGGCCGGGCTGTCACTCAGCGATCAGGTTGACAGGCGCTCCCTCATCTGGGCCAGGGAGCTCTGATTGCAGATTCGAGGAAACAAAATAGCAATTGTAATTACCGGGCTTTGATAAGATAAAGGAGGGAGGGAGCTGGCCGGGAGGCGGGCGAGCCAGCAAGGGAGGGAGCGGCCTGCGGGGGCCCGGCGGGACATTTGCATCTGTCAGTCACGGGGCGTGCCAGGGCAGAGCCAGGTGCTTGCTCCCGGGGTGTCCCCATCTGCTCCTCTCCCCCAGAGAAACGGACTTTTGGGGAGATGAGAATTTCAACGAACTAGGTGAGGGTCCGCTTCTCAGGAGGGTCTCCAAATCCAAATGTAAAGGAATCCTGGTCCAGCACAGGCTCCCTGGCAGAGGCTGGGACAGGACTGAAACTTGACCTCGGACCCTTCAGATCCCAGGACGCCCATCTTCTCTGGGGCAGAGGAAGAAGGGTGGCTGAAGACCATTGAGGGTCAACCCAGGGCCCTCAGAATCTTCTGGGGGTTCCACAGCTGGAGCTGAATGCTGGTCTCAGCCAGGGGCTCTGCCCCTACCCCCATTCCAGGGAGGGGCAGGTACCCAGAGTGGCTCTGGCTGTGACCCCAGGACCATGCAAACACTGTTGGATGGGCGGGTCACCCTCACCCCTGCCTGGGGCCTACTCCCTGCTCTGCTTATCTCACTGATGTTCAGAGAGTCCATGGTGGGAGAAAGCCCATTTCTTACAGGAAGTGCCTGCTCTCCATCTCTCCATTCAATCATTTGTTCATCGACATACGCAACTAAACATGCTTGAGGGCCTACTGTGTACAAGGATGAGGGTAAGACCACAAGCAAACAGACATAACCTTTGCCCACTTGAAGCAGTGCAGAGAGGGAAACAGACACTCAATGAATTGTGACTCAGGCCTTACACAGAACACAGGGAAGGCAAGGGCTGGCCTGGGCTGTGGCCACTTGTGTCCACCTGACTTGTCTCCGCCTGATGGACCCACCTCCCCATGGGCTTTAGAGGAGACAGTGCCTGCCAAGCCTGTGGCAGATACAAGTGCTCACTAACTGGTGGTGTTCCTGGTGATAATCTGTTGGGAGGAGGTGAAGGCAGGTCTTCCTGGGGAAGTTGCAAATAGGCTGAAGTCTACAGGCTCAGCCACTTCCCCCATCATTCATTCATTCATTCATTCAACGAACTCTTAATTGCAGAACAGCTCTGCCCAGCCTTGTGCCACGAGCTGTGATTTCTGAGCTCATAAGACATGGTCCTTGTGGGCAAGGTCTGTGTGGGCAAGAGCCCACTGAACAGACTCCTGGAGGAGGATGGCAAGTGTGCTCTGGAAGTCTACTTCTCTGAGGAGGGATAAGATCTTGGAACGCACCCTCTAACTGTTTTCCCATCTCTCCATTGCTCAGTGTTTGCATTTATGGCTGGGAGTTGGAAAGATGGGGCACAGGGAAAGGTGGGACACAGAGCAGGGAGGGAGGCAGGGCCTGGCTGTGCTGCTGGACTAGGGCTGCCGCTAATTTTGGCCTAATGGCTTCCTGGGACCACACCAAACCCTCCAGCCCTACCCCCAGGGGAATGGAGGGTCACTGGGGAAGGGGAGGTTGTAAGTGAAGACAGCAGTCTGGTAGGGCATCACCTGCTCCTCACAAGGCACCTGTCCCAGAGCATCTCTGTCCACCCAGGCTGCTCCCACAGAAGCAGCATGGGGGCTCAGGGTTTCCAGAAACCTCAGGGGGGAAGCCACAAGGTGGGGGGCTAGGAAAGGCTTAGACAAGTGCCTACCTTCTCCTATGCCCCAAGCCCAGCTGACCAGCCCCTGCCTAGAATACAGTAGGTGTGTAAATACCTGTGAAATGAAAAACGAGTGGGGCTTTGAGGGGGAAAGGGCTGGGTGGCCTGGATGGAAGTCCCTTCCCCCAGTAAAAGCTACTGAGAGTTTTTTTGCCCCTGCTGCCTGCTGAGGTACGGGGACAGTGGGTCCTGCCAGGGACCTCCGGACTCTCTCTTCCACACAGGTGGCTCGGGGTGCTCCTCAAGCTTCAGGCTAGTGTGTGTGTGTGTGTGTGTGTGTGTGTGTGTGTGTGTGGTGAGGGGCACAGGGGAAGGGGTGATAGTGATAATGGGATGGGGGGAGGGGGAGGCATTTCTGGCTCCCAGGGCCTCCTCGGGAGAGTGAAGGAGACTGGAGAGACCGACAGGACGGGGCACGCGGCCGAAACAGGGGAGCGGGGTCCGGGTGGCACCGGCACGCACTGCGCGAGGGCCGGGTGCGCAGCCATTCGCTGCATGGTTAGCGGCCGCTCCCAGGGGCCCGGCGGGACACACAGTAGGTGGCTCGGAGACCACTGCGTAGCCGGCGGCGGAAGCGGCTGGGCCCGGAGGCGGAGACCCAGACCCGCCAGACTCGGGCGCTCCAGGCGGTCGGGGAAGCCCAGGCTCGGGGTCTCCCGGCCCGCAGAGTTTGCAGCCCTAGGCGCCCCCATCCCCGCGCGTCCGGGACCGGGGAGCGCGCGAGGGGACAGGCCGGGGATAGGGGGAGGCGCCCAGACCGGCCGCCCCCGCCCCTCCCGCGGGTCCCCAGACCCCTCCCCTAGCCCAGACCCTCAATCCCGAACCCGTCGGCCGCCCCTCCCCGGCCGCCCCGCCCCCGCCCCGGGCTGCATCCAGGCCCCAGTTCCCAGCCGGGGGCTGCGGGCTCCCGCCGCCCGCCCCGCGCTCCCCCCTCGCGCCCGGTGCGGCGCCCCCCGCCCCCACCCCTCCCCGCCCTCCCACCTCCCCACCCACCCCGCCAGCCCGTGACCCTCCCGCCCGCTCCGGCTCCCGAGCAGCCAGCGGCCACCGGCTCCGGCAGCGGCGCACAGCGATTCGGTGCGGCGCGGCGAGCACGACGTTCCACGGGACCCGCGGAGCCGCGTCGTGATCGCCGCCGGCCTCCCGCACCCGCACCCTCTCCGCTCGCGCCCTGCTCAGCGCGTCCTCCCGCGGCGGCCCGCGGGACGGCGTGACCCGCCGGGCTCTCGGTGCCCCGGGGCCGCGCGCCATGGGCAGCCCCCGCTCCGCGCTGAGCTGCCTGTGAGTACCGCGCCGCCCTGCCCCGCCACCCGCCCCCCGCGCCCCTCGCCTCACCCGCGCCTCTCTCTCCCGCCCGCTTTTGTCTCCCACAGGCTGTTGCACTTGCTGGTCCTCTGCCTCCAAGCCCAGGTGAGGAGGGGTGCGCGGAGGCGGGGGCCGGGCGCGCCGGTGTGAGACCCGGGTGGGCAGCGCCGGTCGGGGGCACCGGGACTGACTCTGCGGCCGGCGCGGGAGGGCTGAGGGCACCTTAGAAACCCAGCCCCGAGCCACCCCGAGGAGGGAGCTGAGGCACAGAGAGGTAGCACCCCTCCTGAGGTCACACAGCGAGTGAGTGGCCAGGATAGAAACGAAGGTCTCGGAGCCCAGCACTGTCCCCCATGCATCCTCGCCGGCTGGGGGCATAGGGAACACCCAGCCGCCGAGGAAGGGGGCAGCCGCGGCCAGGGGATGGATGTTCGATGCCAGGGGAAGCCGGGTGACTGCAGCAGAGACCCTCTCAGCGCCCCTCGGGGGAGGCTTGTGGCCGATTTGGCCCAATGATCGGGTGCCCAGGTTCCCTGCACTCTCAACATTTGCTCCGTAAATTTGTCTTTATAAATGTCAGGGGTCGGGGAGGGCTGCCTCCCTACTTAAAAGCGCCCTGCTCCTCTAGGAAGGCCCGGGCAGGGGCCCTGCGCTGGGCAGGGAGCTCGCTTCCCTGTTCCGGGCTGGCCGGGAGCCCCAGGGTGTCTCCCAACAGGTGGGTCCAGCTTCTCCCTGGGGCTCGTTCATCCTGGGCTGGGTCTGCCCGACTTGCGTGGGTGGGGGATGGTGGCCTGGGCTGGCATGTTGGGGGAACCCCCAGCACCTGCTGGCGGCTTGGGGCAGTGAGGGGGACGCAGGGTGATGGGGCCACTCGGGCCCCTGGGCGGAGTAGCATTATAATGGTGTATTGTGTATTTTTCAATTTCCTAAAGGTAACTGTTCAGTCCTCACCTAATTTTACACAGCATGTGAGGGAGCAGAGCCTGGTGACGGATCAGCTCAGCCGCCGCCTCATCCGGACCTACCAACTCTACAGCCGCACCAGCGGGAAGCACGTGCAGGTCCTGGCCAACAAGCGCATCAACGCCATGGCAGAGGACGGCGACCCCTTCGGTAAGGCGCGCTGAAGGTAGCTTGTGGGATGCGCGGCGCCTGGACCACCAGTCCCAACTGCACTGGCCGGGGGCCTGCAGGGTCCCCAGCTCAGAAGGGAAGGAGTTAAGGCAGAAAGGTGTCTTGAGGGTCAGCTGGGGAAGAGAGGGCTAGGGAAGGGGCCTCGGGGAGTACTTGGCCACAGGTGCCCCCTTCCCTGCCCAGCAAATGAATGAATCTAGGAATCTCCCTTTACACCTCCCCCCTTCATACACTCCTCCCCAGCTGCAGGTGGAGGCAGGGGGTTCAGGGGGAGGGGGCCTAGGTTTAAGGCAAGCGCTTGAAAGAGGATATGTCGCCAGGGCCCACAAAAGGAGAGTGGGAAAGAGAAGGGAGAGAAATCCCCTCAACTCTCCCAGTTGGAAAAGGAGGTTGCTGGGAACCCTTAAATACTTTAATCGGATGGGTCAATTTACACGTGGAAACTGGGCTTGGAAGGGGGCTCTCCCTGCTCCATTCCCTGGGGAACCCAGGCGGCTGGGGCAGGGCTCCCGGCTCCCTGTGGGGTGGCAAGTGCGGAGAGCTACTGCCGGCAGAGAGGCTGAGGACTGATTGATTTCTAAAACATTCAATATTCCTGCCTTGAAACGGGGCCAATTTCCAGAGTCCTGGATGTACCAAGAGAAAAGCAAGCCCTCTGGGCGGCTGGTGTTGTTTTTAGAGAGCGATTATTGTGAGTTTAAAAACCTTTAAATAATGACCACGTTAAACAAGCATGAAAGGAGAGGGGAAGACTCTATTAAAATGTAATAAAAAGGTGAGGCATTTTAAGAGCTAAGAAGAAAAATGAAGAATGATATAAAACAGAAAAAGAACGAGCTTTTTTTCAGATGTGGAGTTTGAAAGGAGTTGCAAGTCTGTAAATGTTAAAAAAGAGGTTCAAGATTGTTCTCTCTGAATCTCTGGAGAGACCCCTGCGTCTGGCAGAGCGATTAAAACTCTTCTTACTTTCACCTTTTTTAACATTTCCTGAATACTTTCTCCTCTTCTTGAGCCAGTTTGGGGGATCGAGTATGTCTCGCTGCATTTTTTCTGCATCGACGTAGCTGACTTCCCTTCAAAGCTGGAGGAGACATAATTTTCCTGGGATAAATCTGTCACTGGGGTGGAAGAATAGGTTTGAAAATGTTAAGCTTTCCAAAAGCCCGGTCGGGAGAGCTGCCGTAAACTGCGGCCCCAGCTCCCCAGATCGGAGCAGATTCAACCGACATGGGAGAGAGCGGGCTTTCTGGGGTGGGGGTGGGGGCGGCCTGCCTGGTGGCCGAGCTCCCCTACTGGGCTGGCAGAGCAGGCCTACCATCCCTTTGTCCCTCCAAATTAGCTGCTTGCTGCCCTTCTCAGCTTCTAAGGAGAGGAGACGAATGCCTGGCTCTTCCAGGGTTTGCTCTGTCAGAGCAAATGGCCCAGCATCCTTGGATTTCGGGGAGGGAAGCAGAAGTCAAGCTGGTGTGGGGGAATTCATCTTCAGACATCAGAGGAAGCCTGATGTCCACTTCTCTCCGTGGCCATATAAGAGGTTTCCCGCCTTCCCTAGTCCCTGCCCCACAGCAGGATAGGAGCTGGAGGCCCTAAGAACAGAGGCTCAGGGTGTTCAGCCAGGACAGGAGTAGTCCGGGGAGAATAGCAGAGAGGTCTCAATGGCTTCTTTACCGGCCCCAGGAAGATGCAGAGGCACCTACTTCATCCCTGCCTGCCGCATCTGGCCAGAATCCCCAGAGTGGCATCCTCTCACTCCTCCAGTCAGCATCCTTCCTGGCCCTTAAAAATAGCTGCCTCTTGCTGTGGAAGGCAGAGCGGGAGAGGGATGAGCAGACTGGCTAGGTCCAGGAGGAGGTGGGCAGGCAGGGAGGTGACAGCTGCATTTCCCTGCTGACTTGGGGCCAAACCGGGGGCTTGGCCACTGGTCCCAGCACTGAGCCTGTGTGAAGCGGGGAACATTACAAGCTGAGCAGTGATGACTGACTTGCTGACCTCGATGCCCCAAACCCCTGCCATGGGTTTCAGGGACAGAGGAGGTGCCATATGTCAATGCAGGCTAAGTCCAAGAACTGCTTTCTCAGGGAGGGGAGAGGCTGGGCTCTGCGGCAGGGACGGCAGGAGAGCCAGCGCCTTCTGTCCCTTCCTAAACAGTGAAGTCACCCTCACTACTTTCTTGAGGACAGCCTATAAGAGATGATTGCACAGAGAGGTGAACAGGACAGGCTTCTGTGGCAAGTTGGCTGTCTAAGGGGAGGGGAATGGGAAAGGAGGCATAGAATTCAGCCCTGCCTCCTGGCCTCCAGTCTAAGAGGCCAGCAGGCAGGATTCTCCCTCCTCCTCACCCACAGAAGCTATTTGGTCACTGGGCTGAGAAGCCCAGCTGTGATGAGGCTGAAAGAGAAAAGACAATTGAGTTGTTGATTTCTAGACACTGGGCTGGGGACCCTGGTGACTGGGAAGCCACAGGGAAGAGGCAGGATCCTCCTGGCAGGTGTCTGAGGTTCTGGGAAAGCAGCCTGCTTTGGGCTGTGTGTTTAGGGAGAGCTGTCCCCATCCCTAGCACCTTCTCAGCAGAGCAGAGCCTGGTGATGTTGAGGGGCTGGGGGTGGCCAAAGCTGTGAGTTAGAACCCAAAGTGGCAGAAACAGGAGACAATGCTTTCATCTTTGGCCTTGGGACTGGAGGTCACCCCTTCACCCAAGTGTTTGTAATGACCTGTGAGACACGCACACATAATATTTGGAGTTGGAAGGATCCTCGGAGATCTTTTGATTAGCTATGGAACTCTGATTCAATTAAATTTTACTTAGATCCTCAATCTAAGAGACATCACTGTCTGGTTTAAAAAGAGGGTGGAAGGAATGGCACTTCAGCCTTTTCAATTTGATAGTCCCAAGACCTCTCTTGAGAACCCAGTTTGAAAACCATAATCCCGTCCACTGCCCTCTGTAAACCCAGGGGTGGGGCCCGAGGTCCAGAAAAGCCCTTTCTCTGGGTTGCACAGCATGTTAGTAGCTGGGCTGGAGCTGGAGTCCATGTTTTGGGTTCCTGGTCTTTGGAGCAGTTGCTGCTGGGCTGTGACAAGTGTGTGGGCCAGCTGGGGTCAGGGATCTGCCAATAGCCATCCTGCTACCTTCTCTGACAGCAAAGCTCATCGTGGAGACGGACACCTTTGGAAGCAGAGTTCGAGTCCGAGGAGCCGAGACGGGCCTCTACATCTGCATGAACAAGAAGGGGAAGCTGATCGCCAAGGTGAGGCCCCAGCAGGCAGGTGGGGTCCGCGGGACCTAGGGAGTGGCTTGGGCTGGCTGGACTCCTCCAAGACAGTCCTGGGCTCTGATCCCAACAAGGTAGGCAGAAGGCCACAGGGCCATCTTGGGGTTACCTCACGATTGGGTGCAGGAGTGAGGGAGAAGGAAGCTGTTTGAGAGATGAAAACTATAAAAGGCGAAGGAGGAAGAATGAAGGCTAGGGAAGGGGCTGGGGGGTGGTGGTTGGTAAATTCCATATATCTTTTTAACAAATCGCCAAATTGCTTTGCTATTATGTCCAATTACATGGTACCAGCATTTGGAATGTTCAGTAAGCCGCAGGCCCAGCCCCTCGGCCGAGCTCTGAAATGGCTCCATTAGTCACGGCTCCTCTCCAGCCTCGAGCTCCCCACTTCCTGGGCTTCTGGGGCTGGGGTCTTAGCATCTTCTCCCAGGCCTCCCCTCCCCCATAGGGTGGCTGCCCTGGGGCCAGGGAACCGAAGTCCTGGGGGGGTGAGAGGGGCAGGTGGGGAGACGGGTGGCCAGACTGGTGGGCAGGAGGCCAGAGCAGGCCAGGCTCTGGGCCCCTCTCTCTGTCTTTCTGCGTTGGGGCCCAGCCCCTCCGTAGACAACCATGTGTCACTGCTGCCTGGGAGGACAGGAAGTTGCCGGGTGGGCTGCGAGTTGTGAGGGATTAGAGAGCGGGTGCCCAGGCAGGGGGTGGGGCTGCGGCTCCTGCCCACCTCGCCATCTGCTGGGGTGCCCACCTGCTGTCTGGGGCCGCTCGCCCTCTGCCTCTGCTGGGGGGGCTCTGTAACGTGGTGTCTGGCTCCCCTACCTGCAGAGCAACGGCAAAGGCAAGGACTGCGTCTTCACGGAGATTGTGCTGGAGAACAACTACACAGCGCTGCAGAATGCCAAGTACGAGGGCTGGTACATGGCCTTCACCCGCAAGGGCCGGCCCCGCAAGGGCTCCAAGACGCGGCAGCACCAGCGTGAGGTCCACTTCATGAAGCGGCTGCCCCGGGGCCACCACACCACCGAGCAGAGCCTGCGCTTCGAGTTCCTCAACTACCCGCCCTTCACGCGCAGCCTGCGCGGCAGCCAGAGGACTTGGGCCCCCGAGCCCCGATAGGTGCTGCCTGGCCCTCCCCACAATGCCAGACCGCAGAGAGGCTCATCCTGTAGGGCACCCAAAACTCAAGCAAGATGAGCTGTGCGCTGCTCTGCAGGCTGGGGAGGTGCTGGGGGAGCCCTGGGTTCCGGTTGTTGATATTGTTTGCTGTTGGGTTTTTGCTGTTTTTTTTTTTTTTTTTTTTTTTAAAACAAAAGAGAGGCTCTATTTTTGTATTCCACTTGGCTGTGGTGTCTGTCTTCTTAACTCTCAGAAAGCTCCATTAGTGGCCTAGACTGGGATTCCGGCTGGGGGTTTGCGGGGGTGGGGGGCTTTCTCTAGCCTGTGCTGCTGAGGCCCCAGTACCTCCAGGGCCAGTTGGCTGGGCAGCCAGGGACTCCACTGCACCCCCAGGTGGGGCAGGGAGGAAAGGACTGTGACATAGGGCAGTCCTCTTAGAAGTGGGTATCAGACTGGTGGCTATTAAATGATTGAAATATTTATTTAACTTGCATATTAAAAATGTGTGCTGGAGAGTGAGTCCTGCCGGGGTCAGCCCCTCCCTCCAACCTTGCCCCAGCTGGTGGGCGGCTGGGAGACGCAGATGACCAGGTGCCAGCTCTGACCACAGCCTCCCTCCAGCCTAAAGACACCTGCCTGTCAACCATCCCCATCACTGTCACTTGAGGGGTTTTCCTGCAAGGACAGAAGCAGGGAAAGGGGCAAGAAGAGGCTCTTAGCTAGTCCTTGGAGCTCTCAGATGTGTACCTCCTAGCACTTTACAGAGGTCATTGCTAACACTTCCCCAGGCCACCTCAGGGCCAGAAATAATGGATGTGCTAGGGCTAGAGCTGTAATCATGGATTTAATCCTCTTAAAAAGTGCTTCTCTGAGTGCCTAGGTCCATGTGGGAGACAGGTTGGAGATTCCAGAACTTGCTCTTTCTGAGACTCAGGCTCCAGAAAATGAAAGAAAAGAGCAGCTGCCAGGGTCCAAGGTGGGGGCATATTGGAGGGGGACCACCAAGACTGGTGTTGACAATGGTGATGTGGGACAAGTGTTAACCTTGGGTGATATGGTGAGATAGCTGTGGGCAGAAAGCACTGAGCTGAGGTGCGGTGAGGAGCCTGGGGAACTGTCTTCCAGGAAGAGGCTGCCCACCTCGGAGGATGGGCCTGGCGGGAGAGGAGCTGGGCACCGGATGGCACCAGAAGGGAAGCTCATAGGCCTAGCGCAGAACTAAAGGCAGTCATAGCCTTGGGGAGAAGCAGGAGGCCGTATGTGGAGGGAGGGAGGGCTGCTGTGGGAGTGGTGGAGCAGGTCATGGTGTGGGCAGAGAAGGGAATGGGCAAGGGTGCAGGTGTGTGTTTGCGTGTGGACTGGTGAGACTGGTGTCCTGCCACACCGAGGGAGAGCCCAGGCCCCACGGCAGTTTCCTGAGTGCAGAGCTGGCCCAGGCTTCATCGCTGAGGCCTCCCATTAGGGCTGCTCCTGCTTCCTTCCTTGTGGATGCCCTGGGCTGGTCCCACAGCCCAGCTACTGAGCCAGTCTAGAAACCTCGCTCCTCTAGGACTCTGTCCATTGGCATCTCCTGGGGTAGGGAGCAACCCAAGGCTTCCTCCCACAGTTTCAGGCCCAAGTCCCAGGTTTAGCCCACCCCGGCAGATCAGGAATTTCGAGGCTTAGTGGGAAGCCCGGCAGTAAAGGCTGGCCTGTCCAGCCACCTCTCGTGGCCTGCCACAGGCGGTGAGGGGCTCTGGAGAGAGTGGGTTTCTGCTGGTGCGTAGACACTGGATGTAGCGAAGGGGCCCTAGATGTCTCTCTTCCAGTTCCCCCAGCTCTTAGCGCCTCCTCCTCTGCTCCCTTCCCCCTTTAATTAATTCTGGGTAAGCAGCCTGGCTTTATTGTGCAAGGAGCTGGGGTCTCACTGTGGGAAAAGTCACACCTTCTGAGCAGCTTCTGATGCCATGCAAATGAAGGGACCGTCCAGGAAACGCTTTCATCTGCACGGTCTCCTGTCCAGCCCCTAGCCCAGTAATTACCCACATTTCATTTGTTTGAGAGCAATTCCTGGGGGAAGGCACTGAGTAGGAGGGAGTCTGGGGCAGGGGGTGGAATGTCAGGCTCTCTGCCTGTGATCCTGGCCACAACGTGGGGCCAGGCTGGGCCGAGGCTGGTCACTGGCTAAAGCTAATCCTCATGCCCCCAGGTTGGGGAGGCCTGAGTCCTCCAGGGTGGTGGCAATGGGATTGTGCCATGTTTACATCTTGGAAGAAGAAGGGAGCTCTCCAGAGAGCCAGACCTGCCTTCTAGAAAGAGACACCTGAATAGGGAAAGGTGAGGTGGAGGGGGACAGAAGGGTGGGACCTGGTCCTTGAGGTTGCCTGCAGCTTTGGGAAGAGGTTGACTCCCAGTAGGACCCCAGGCCAGGGACCCATGGGAGCTGCGCCCAGAGCACTGGGGCTAGGCCAGGCTAGAGCACCCATCAACTTGTTTATCTTTGAGCCGCTGCCTCCACAGAGCCCTCACTAACGGGGTTTTACAGCCCACTCAAGCTGCAACTGGCCAAGAATCAATCATTACCGGCACTTAGTGGTTTGATAGTTAACAGCCTGAACTGAAGCCAAACTGGTTGTTAACTGTGATAACAACTGATTTCAAGGGGTTATTGCCGGCCCAATATGCTCAGCCCATTTATTTCGGGGAAAACAAGCAGGGAGCTGTTGCAAGGCCCAGAAAATGGAGGAGGACTGGGCTTCTCTCAGCCAAAAGGCCCCCTGCCACTCCGTCCCAGAGTTGGTGCTGGCTGCGAGGGCCTAGGGGCGGGCTGAGGGCTGCTTCAAGGCTTGACCGTGCACACCCACTGAGGGCCTGCGTGTGAGCCCAGCCGACCCACACACTAGGCCCTCTCCAGCCTTCCCTCTCCCCAGTCCTCACTTCAATTCTCCTCCTGCCTCCTCCCCATGACGCCCCAGAAGGACGGTCTCCATGAGGAGGAACCCAGGCCCAGTGGCCAGGCGTCTACTTGTGCCCACTCAGCAGCTGGGGCTGCACCCTCTGGCTCATTCCTTCCTCACCTAGGGCTCTCAGAGTCCTGCCAAGTACAAACCAGAAATGCCTTTCCTTTCAAAGCCAGCAAAGAGTCCACTTGGGTCTTGACTAGAAAGAATGAGCAAGAGTTCTCTCTTTCCACAGCACCAGGTCCCGCCTCTACCCCTCCCTTCCTCCCTCAGCCAAATGGAAGCAGGTGAGGCCAGGGTCAAGCATCATTCTAGAATGTTGCTGCTACAAAGGGCCTCAGGAGTTCCCCACCCTCCACAGATGACAACTGCAGCCCAGACGACCCATGGCTAGGGTAAAGCTGGTGCTGTCCTAGAAATTGGGTCTCCCCTCCCAGATCCAGGCTGCCTCCTGCAGGCTGCAGGTCTTTCCCTAATTCCATTCATTCATTCAGTAAATGTTGACTGAGTGCCTATGATGTGCCAGGCTCTGTCCTGGGTGAGGGGACAGAGCAGAAAATAAGACACAAAAATGCCTGTTACTCTGGAGCCCATATTCTAGTGGGGGAGGACACATCAGTCAGTGACAACCGCCACATAGACCAACCCAGATTCAAAAAACACCTTCTTGGATTCTTCCGTTTCTAGACTCTGACATCCAGCCATCTCAATATTCCAGAGAAGAGGATGAGTGTGAAGGGTGGTGGCGATTTTAAACAAGGTGATCAGGAAGACCTTGTGGATAACTTCGGGTCTGAGCACACTCCATCAGGGTAAGACATTCCCATACCTGGGGGAGGACGATCCAGGTGGAGGGAGCAGCCACTGCAAAGGCACACTGCATTAGGGGGACAGGAAGGAGGCCACCACGGCCGCGGCACAGCTAAGGGAGGATCTAGGGGGTGTGCAGTTGGGGGTTGGGGGTAGTAGAGAATGACAGAAACTGAGGTGAGGTCACAGAGACAGAAGGGGTGCAGAGACCTTTTGGCAAAGGGCAGATCCTGTGGGGCCATTGAAAAGACTTAAGCTTGACTCTGGATGAGACCGCAAACCACTGAGGAATTTTTTTTTTTTTTTTAAACAGAGTCCCCCTCTGTCACCCGGGCTGGAGTGGAATGGTGCGATCTCGGCTCACTGCAACCTCTGCCTCCTGGGTTCACGCGATTCTCTTGCCTCAGCCTCCCAAGTAGCTGGGATTACAGGCATGGGATTACACACATAGCTAATTTCACTGAGGGTTTTCAACAGTAGAGTGACATGATCTGAATTAAGTTTTCCCAAGGTTGCTTTGGCTGCTGTGTTGAGACTAGAAGGTAGCAGGGCAAGGGAGACCAGTTATGAGGTTACCGCAATAATCAGGTGAGAGATAGTAGTGAATGGAAGATGGTCAGGAGAGAGTGGGGTTTTGGACATTTTTCGCAAGTAGAGATGGCAGGATTTGCTGATGGATTTGGATGTGGCTTGTGCGGAAAGAGAGGAGTCTAGGAGTTTCCATGGTTTCCGGCTTGAGCAACGAAAAAGATGGAGGTGTCATTCACTGAGATGGGGGAGATTCCAGGATGGGCAGATTTGGAGGGGAAGGGTAGGAGTTTGGTTTTGCACATGTTACATCTGAGCTGACTACATACGTATTCAAGAGGAGATGAGTAGGCAGTTGTGTGTGAGTCTGGAATTCAGGGGAGAAGTCTAGTGTGAAGATAGCAATCCGGGAGTGTTCAGCACACAGATGATTTTCAAAGCCAGGAGACAGGATGGATTCCTTAGGGAGTGAGCAGAGATGGAGAAGAGGAGCCGGCCAAGCCTCAGTGTGCTCCAAAAATTTAGAGGACAGGTGAAGAGGGAGAACTGGTAAAGAAGACTGAGACTGTGTGGCCCACGAGGTAGGCAGGGGGAAAAGCAGAGAGTGCTGTGGCCTGATGACCTAGGGGAAGGACAGAAGGATTCTGAGTCCGGAGCTTTACCTGGGGCTAGGGAAAAGTTTCATGTCATCCTGCCTCCCTACTCCTTACCCCCCACTCAACCCCAGGGCTGAGAGGAGGTGGCCAAAAAACGGGGCTGGTTTAACCTGGGAGCATCACCCTTGCCTCTCATCAGCAGTTCCTGCTGGCTTGCCCTCCAGAACATCTCTCCAGTCCAATCCATCCACCACCCACCCTATCTACCTATCTACTGCTACCACCCTGCTCCAAGCCATCATCAGTTCTTGTCTGGTTTATGGCAGTACCCACCCCCAACCTCAATTGCTCTTCCTGGTTCCTGTCTTATCCCCCTACAATCCATTCTGCACTCAGAAGCCAGAATTTTCAAGACGCAAATCTGATTGTGTTACTCCCACCATACCTACACTTGAATTCAAACTCATTTTCAGGCCAGCACAAGCCTCTGCATGCTCTGCCTGTGGAACTCCACTCCTTCCCGCCCTCCCTCTTGCCTGCTGCTCCCTGGACACACTTCCTCCAGCTTCTCTAACAAGCCCAGGGAGCCTCAGAGCCTTTGCACTTGCTGTTCTTGCCACTTGGAATGTCTTTCCTCCAAATCACTGGCTGGCCGACTGCGTGATGTGGGTCTCTCCGCTCTCACTGTCTGCCTTTTTTTGAGGGGCGGGGGGATGGAATCTTGCTTTGTCGCCCAGGTTGGAGTGCAGTGACATGATCTTGGCTCACTGCAACCTCCGCCTCCCGGGTTCAAGCGTTTCTCGTGCCTCAGCCTCCTGAGTAGCTAGGACTACAGGCAGGCGCCACCCCACCCGGCTAATTTTTTTTTGTACTTTTATTAGAGACAGAAGTTCACCATGTTGGTCAGGCTGGTCTCAAATTCCAGACTTCAAATGATCTGCCCGCCTCAGCCTCCCAAAGTGCTGGGACTACAGGCAGGCGCCACCATACCCGGCTAATTTTTTGGGTTTTTTTTGTACTTTTATTAGAGACAGAATCTCACCATGTTGGTCAGGCTGGTCTCGAATTCCAGATCGCAAATGATCCGCCCGCCTCAGCCTCCCAAAGTGCTGGGACTACAGGCAGGTGCCACCACGTTTGGCTAATTTTTTTTTTTTTTGTATTTTTAGTAGAGATGAGGTTTCACCATATTGGCCAGGCTGGTCTCAAACTCCTGACCTCAGGTGATCCACCTGCCTCGGCCTCCCAAAGTGCTGGGATTACAGGCGTGAGCCACTGTGCCCGGCCTGTGCTTTATTTTCTACGTTACACTTATCACTGTCTGATCTTATCCTGTTTTTTTATTTACTTGCTTTTGGTCTACTCTACCCTTACCTCCCAGGAGAGCAGGAACTTTGTTTGAATCGCTCATTGATGAAAGCCCAGTGCCTATAATGGTGCCCAGCACATGGTGGGTGTTCAGCAAGCATTTGTGCAAGCAATCCACATAGAGCAGGTTCTGAGGCAGCTGCGGAGAAGGCAGGCTGGGAGTCCTCTGTATCCAGGCCATGGGTCAGGCGTTAGGAAATGTCTGAAGGGCAGGGAGACCTGAGGATGGTCCTGGGATGGGTGACTTCTCTTCGCCCATCCGACATGCACTGCTTACTGAAAAAGGTCCAAGGCTGTCTGGCACAGGCCCCCCATCATTTTCTCAAGCTGCAACAAATGTCTCCAAAACCTGGACAGGCAGACATCTAGGCAGGGCCTATTGGTCTGGACATCTCAGAACCTCCCCAAATTCTGCTTTCTTCATCGCCATCAGGTTTCCGTAGCAACCAGAGGACTTCACAGGAGAGAGTGAAGGGGAATTAAGAGCCAGAGAGAGCAGAGGAGAGAGGAGGAGTAAGTGGTAGCAAGACAGATGGGGAGCTGGCAGGAACTCCAGGGGGATCCCCAAGTCCCATGTTGCCGTGGAGGGTTGTGCCAATAGGTCCCTTTGGTTGCCCCCTTCCCCATCTGGATCTCTTGCTGACCCTCAAGAAGTAACTGTCCATCTGGGCAGGCCCCAGAGCTGACCCCTCATGCAAAACCCACCCCCTCCCTGCTGGCAGGCCCTGAGCGAGGCTCCGGCTCCCTCTGCGGTCTAGCTCCCTCCCTAGCCCCTCTCTTGGCAATAGTGGAACTGGCTGCAGCCCCTGGGTGGGTTTGGGGAGCGTTTCCTGCCATTCCTTCCCTGGCCGTGTATGGAGCAGTGGGTACTGGGGGAGGACAGTCAGCATTCTGCCCTGCTGACCAAGGTCCCCACCATTGGCATTTGGAGATATGGCCAGGTCCCCCAGTCATGAAGACTCAGATGGGCTGTAGGTAAGGGCCTGGCTGGAGGTGCTCAGAACAAGGGCCCAGGCCTGGGCATGGCATTCAGGGAGCACAGAGAAGCCTGAATAGAGCTCTGGCCAGTGTGCTGCCTCGCATTCCCTTGACCCCATAGGTCCGGAAGATGCCTGGCTTGGGACCCGAGAGTGGCAGAATAGCAAAGCCTGCAGCAGCCACAGCACTGTGGTCCTGAGACCCAGGCCAACTTCCTAGAGGACTGGTCGGTGACTTCAGAGGGTAGGGGTGGCCTGGGCCAACACCCAATTCCAGCTGTCCCTCTGCCCCCATACATGCAGCCCCCCGAAAACCCAGATTCCAAAACCACCTTCTTGGACTCTTCCCTGTTTCTAGCTTCTGACATTCAATCATCTCAATATGACAAATATCACCAAGTCCTGCAGAATATTTCTTCACAAAGAACTGCCCCCTGTCCCATCATAAAGACACCTGGGCCACCCCATGCTCTTCCAACCCATCTCCCTGCCCAGTCTCTCCCTGGGCTTTTTCTATACCCTCCCCCTCCCGCCCTCTGCAAGGAGCCCTTGGTAATGAAGAGCAAACTCATAAAACATTCATCCTGGGTAATACACCATGTAGGAGCTGCCTGATCTCAGTTCTGATAGAACAGGCCAGGTCAGCAGGACGCTGGGGCTTAGGCTTCTGAGGGTTTGGGCTGACTTCTCTACCTTGGGCTCAAGTTCCAGCCACTTCCCTTAAGGCAGGTCTTATCTTCCCTGGGGTGCTGGGGGTGGGGGCTCCTGAGCTGAGTGGCAGAGGGGGTTCCTGAGAAGGGATGAGAGCAGCCCAGGGAGGGAGGGTGGCTGCTAGGGGTGTCCTTAAATGAGGTGTGATGGGTAGATGGGGCTCTGGGAAAAAGAGCTTGACGACAAGGTGAGCCGAGTGACCAAATGGCTAAAGCCACAGCTTTGTGCTGAGTGTGGGGGGCGGTCAGAGCCTAAGCAGGTGGTGTTTAAAGTTGCTATTTTGGCCTGGGCAACCCTGGTATGAGTGTGTACGAGTGTGTGAGGGATGAGAGAGTCTGGTATCGGTGGCAGGCCCTGTGCAAGAACCCGGCCCCAGGAAGCAGGCCCCCATCTGGGCACTTTCATCAGACCAGCGGGGTAGGTAGACAGAGGGAATGGAAAGCAAAGGGGATTTTCCTTGTTTTCACTCCCCCCCACCCCTGGCATTTGCTCTGACACTGCTGTGGCATCCTCCAGGCCTCAGCAGAGTCAGAGAAGGAAGTCAGAGGAATGGCCACAGGGACAGCCAGAAATCAGAAGTGGCTTGGTGTGAGGGTGAGGGGCAAGGGCTTTGGAGTCCAGCAGCCCTGAGCTTGAACCCTGGCTCTGTCACTGCCTGGTCATTTAATCGGGGCAAGTCAGCTCACCTCTCCCAGCCCCCACTTCCTCACCTGCACAACAGGGAATCACTCCACCATAGGAGTTGCCAGGACTGAGTTAAAATGAGTGTGTCGAGTGTCCAGCGGGTACCTTAACAATGCTTCCTAACAGTGATGGTGGCTACTGCCGGGAAGGAATCTGGGAGACGGGGTGGGCCACCTGAGCCAAGTCCCTGGGAGCCCAGGTTTGCACAGTGGCATCATCAGAGAGCCACCGAGGAGCAGAGTCTGTAAGGAGGCTGCTTCCCTGGGGAAACAGCTCTGGCAGCCGAGGGCCTAAGGCAGCCAGGAGGCTGGGAAAGAGGCTGGGCAAGGTCCCTCATGCACACCGAGACTGGCTGGCCTCTCCCCATCCCTTCCACTCATCCAAGCAGGTGTGGCTGCCAAAGGCCCCGGCCCCTGAAGGCCTGGGAGAACTGAGATGGACGGATGATGTGGTGGCTGCAAGGGGATGGTTTCCCTGCTTATCCCGGGGGCCAGTGTGCACGTTCTTGCCTCTCTGTCCCTCAGGCCTGGCTTTGCCTCCCACCCCTCTCACTCCAAATAAGCCCAGGCAAATTGGCGAAAAGTCAAGCCTGAGTTGCTGGAGTTGGGAAAAACAGAACAAGAGAGAAGCACTGAGAACACAGCTGACATTCAAGGCTCTGACCTTTCCTCTAGCCAAATGCGAAGGCTTTCCTTTCCCTAGTGCCTTGCGTTGATTCACGAAGGGTTTACTGAGCACTTCCTACATGCCAGGCAGTAGAGTGTTGGGAAGCAATGGTGCACAGGTTGGATAGATCCCTGACTCCTAAGGCCTCCCATGTAGCAGATGGCCATGGTTAGACAGGCCTTCCTGATGAGGAGTGGGGAAGGCTGAGACAGGAAGAGCAGGGTTTGTGTGAAGACGCTGGGGTTTAGGGGATGGGGGCAGGAATGCTGAGTGTGCTGGCCATGGCTGGTTTTTAGGCAGCTGAAAACTGGTGGAAGACAGGACCCTGGGCTGGTTCTGCTGGAGTTCAGCTCCACTTGGCTCAGTCCCAGTTGAATTCCATGCACACTGAGTATTGAATTACTGGAGAGAGCAGGGTGGATGTGGCAAGGTCCCTGCCTTCAGGCTGGCCCATGTATTGGGCTTCCCAGAGTAGTGAACCTGAGTCTACTACACAACATGGCGCAGGTAACACGTGGGTTAGCACCAGGCACTGTGCTTGCGTGGCTCACAAGCGCCTTCACAGAGAAGACAGACGAGAATGGAATTGCTGTAGGATCCTCCGGGAAACTTGTCTTTTCTGAACCTTAATTTCCTCATCTGGAAAGTAAAAGGTTTGAATTAGATTATTTGCTTAAAAATTTTTTTTAGCAACAGAAACTTTTTTCCTGAGCAAAACCTGTATGGAAGCCTGTTTTATAAAATAGACTTAAACAATATTTGCTTTGGATGCCTCAGGGATTGGGGTCCCTTCAGCTTCTTGTGCCTGGTATCTCAACTGCAGCAGGTGGTAAAGGAGATGAAGGGTCTGAACCCTTCAGAACTCTCTTGGGCATCCAGGAGAGGATGATAGCCAGGACCTACCAGAGAAGAGATGGGTGGGCTCCAGGCCGGCTGCCCAGGGTCAGCCCCTGGGCCTCGATGGGAAGGTGCTTCCAGGACAAGGAGCCCAGCTCTGCTCCCTCTCAGAGCACCTGGACTAGTGGGGTTGTTCCCACTGCCTCCCAGAGAGGCTCCTGACTCTTCCTGCACTGACCACTCACACCCAGGGATTATCCCAACCAGAAACTTCCATTTGGAACAAAGCTCCCAGGAATGAAACCCGAGCTGCCACTAAGAGGCTCCCAGGCTAACTGGGAAGTGGCTGGGAAAGGGAGGGAAAACTTGCAAAGCACTGGGAGCCTCAGGGAGGCTGTGAAACCTGAAGACAAACGACCAGCCAGCGGACTGGTGCTGCGGAGCTGCCACCGCCTTCTGCAGAAAGGTCAGGGCTGAGCAGAGTGGGAAAACGGGGGTGGGGGAGAAGTGAACCCCAGGCTTTCTTTGAGGGGAGAGTAATTGGTGCACCTGTGGCTAGGGCCTATATCCCCTGTGAGGCCCTCAGGGCTGCAGTCACTCAAGCTCTCAAGCTGTCCCCTCCCTTCCCCTCTTCCCCCGACCCCTCTCCCAGCTGCTTCCACTTACTCCAATGGGCTGCTGGAGCAGTCAGTCATGGGGCCGCCAGCAGCAATGGGGGCCTGCACCCGCTCAGCCAAGGGAGGGCAGAGGAGAGGAATAGCCATGGTGACCATGTACTGAGCACCCACCAGCTGCCAGGCATGCTGAGTGTGTTATTCTGATCCTCACAATAGCCCTGCAAGGTCAGAACTACTAGCCCCATTTGACTGAAGCACTTTGCCTGAAGCGCTAGAGCTAGGCAGTGGCTGACTTTGGACCTGAACCCAGGGCTTTTGCACTCTGAAGTACTCATGCACCTTCTGCCAGGCCGCATTCTGCACACTTGAAATCCTGCAGAAGAGCCCAAGAACCGTGGTTAATTTCAAAATAAATTCTTTCTTCCCCTTCAAGCCATTATGTGAGACAAAGGCTAGGAGTGGTCATTTGTCTAGCTGGGATCCTTGTGACCTTGGGAAAGTTTTTTCACCTCTCTAGGACTCAGTCTCCTCATGTGTAAAATGGGATTCACAATAGTGCCTACTTATAGGTGGAAGGCCAACAAGAAAGCACACCCAGTAGTCAAAACAGTGCTGGGCACAGCATCCACTCAGTACTTGCTATGAGGGTTGTTGTTTGAAGAATTCCTTTTCCCCTTTTCCCCTTTTCCTAGGCAGCCCAGAGCCCTCAGAGGAAGCCCTCAGCAGGCTGAGTAGATTATCTTAAGCTCAACCCCTTCCCTGCCTGCCTCCAAGGATACAGATGCAGGTTAGAAGGTGTCTCAGAGGGGGTATGGCCTTTGAGGTTTCCAGGGATCTAACAGGGAAACTTCTGCTGCAGAGCAGCTCCAGGCCCTCCAGCGCTGACCCACCAAATTTTGCTGCATCAATGTGCTTCGCTGAGCTGTTATGTGGCCCTGGCGTGGCTCTGAAGGCCGACTGAGAATCCCAATCCATCTAGGAGGATCCTTGGAATTAAGCCAACTGGGGATGAGGGCAAAGAGAGGTGGTTGGGATGGGTCCCAGGGGCAGAGGCCTCCCTGTGCTACTGCTGAGTGGGCAGCAGCTTTGGATTCTGAGAAGGGGTCATTTTGCTGGTGCTAAGGCCGGGAGCTTATTCTGATGCTGCGGGCTCTCTGACTGGCCTTTCACCTGCAGCCCCCAAGCTCAGGCTTCCCAGAATGACCATCCTCCGGGGCTGGCACCAAGAACTGGCTCTGTGCCGCAGTTAGAGAGAGACCCTGCTGGTCCCTGCTCACTTCCTCAACATCTCAGCAGCTCAAGGCCAGGCCTCTGGCTGCCATTCGTGACTGGGGCCTGGGTTAAGAAGCTTAGGACACTATCTTCAAGACAAATGTGAAGTAAACTTGGGTGGTGATTACACTTGACCTGTGTAAAGTCAGCGAAAGTAGCAACTGAAAGGGGATAGTGGGCTTGGCTGGAGGCAGCTCCCAGCTTGGGGACTGCTCCAAGTAGAATGTGGGGCTTGTGAATGATTCTTTCCACTCACATACACAGAGCCCTAGGCTCCATTCCACTTCTCTCTACAGAGAAACCAATGATTCGTTCTTGTTCCCAGGGAGCTTGCAGTCTAGTAAGAGAAACTACATACATAAGTTATGGTTGAATGTCGAAGAGGCAATTACAAATGGGCATATTTTTCAGTTTTATTCCAGCTATTCAGTGCAGTAAGTCAGATAGTATCACTACCCTAAAGATAAGAAAACCAAGGCATAAATGCAGTATCAATACTGACACTAAGTCCACACTATATAAATGTTTTAAGCTAAGTGCTTAGGTACCAAGACTACTACTGTATGTGTGTGTGGTGAGAGGTCTATATTATGTTCACACAAATATTTTTTAGTGAGTGCCTTGGGTTTCAGGCACTGTTTATGTACTTTACTTATTTAATTTAATTTTTTTGAGACAGAGTCTCACTCTGTCTCCCAGGATGGAGTGCAGTGGCGCAATCTCGGCTCACTGAAAACTCTGCCTCCCGGGTTCAAGTGATTCTCCTGCCTCAGCCTCCCGAGTAGCTGGGATTACAGGCGGTCACCACCACGCCCAGCTAATTTTTGTATTTTTAGTAGAGACGGGGTTTCACCAGGTTGGCCAGGCTGGTCTCGAACTCCTGACTTCAGGTGATCCACCCGCCTCAGCCTCCCAAAGTGCTGGGATTACAGGAACGAGCCACCACGCCCAGCCTATACTTTCTTTATTTTTATTTTTATTTTTATTTTTTTTGAGACAGAGTCTTGCTCAGTCAGGCTGGAGTGCAGTGGTGCAATCACGGCTCTCTGCAGTTTCCACCTCCCAGGCTCAATCGATCCTCCCACCTCAGCCTCCCGAGTAGCTGAGACTACAGGTGCATGCCACCATGCCCAGCTAATTTTTGTATTTTTTGTGGAGACAGTTTCACCACATTGTCCAGGCTGGTCTTGAACTCCTGGACTCAAGTGATCTGCCTACGTCGGCCCCCTAAAGTACTAGGGTTACAGGTGTGAGCCACTGCACCCAGCCACTTTATTTCTTTTTTCTTTTCTTTTCTTTTTTGAGACAGTCTCATGCTTTCACCCAGGCTGGAGTGCAGTGGCAGGATCACGGCTCACTGCAGCCTTGATCTCTTGGGCTGAAGTAATCCTTCCACCTCAGCCTCTTGAGTAGCTGGGACTGCAGGCATGCACCACCACCTTCGGCTCATTTTTTATTTTTATTTTGTAGAGATGGAGGCTTGCTTTGTTGCCGATGCTGGTCTCAAACTCCTGGCCTCAAGTGATCCTCCTGGCTCCTAAAGTGCTAGGGTTGTAGGCATGAGCCACTGGGCCCAGCCATACTTTATTTCAATTATTCCTTCTATTGACCTTCTAATGACCCAGTGTGTTAGGTATAAATATTCCAGACTTACAGAAGAGGAAATGAGAGTTCAGATAATTAGATAACTTCTCCAAGCCATACAGTTGGTAAGTGACCAAGCCAGGATTTAAAGCTAGATTTGTTGATGCCAGTCTCTTTCCACTCTGCAAAGCACAACAATAACTAATAATGCCAAGCAGAATGTAATGACAAAAGTGACCCCAGACAGGTGCCAAACGGTGCTAGGGAATTTCTGTCAGGGGAGAGTTCCCACCTGATGAAAGGAAGTGGCACTGAGGAACAGAGATTTACTTGCCCAAGCTCATACAGCCAATTAATTAGGAGTTAGAAGGTTGGGCGCAGTGGCTCACACCTGTAATCCCAGCACTTTGGGAGGCTGAGGCAGGCAGATCACTTGAGGCCAGGAGTTCGAGACCAGCCTGGCCAACATGGTGAAACCCTGTCTCTACTAAAGACAATACAAATATTACCCGGGAGTGGTGGCATGTGCCTGTAATCCCAGTCATTTGGGTGGCTGAGGCACAAGAATTGCTTGAACCCAGGAGGCGGAGGTTGCAGTGAGCTGAGATTACACCACTGCACTCCAGCTTGGGTGACAGAATGAGACTCTGTCTCAAAAACAAACAAACAAACAAACAAACAAAACCCATAATGACATAAGTAGGCTGAAAGTAAAAGGATAAAAAGTAATACAACATGCAAACACTAAGATCCGGGTGTGGGCTCACATATGTAATCCCAGCACTTTGGGAGGCTGAGGCAGGCAGATCACGAGGTCAGGAGATCAAGACCATCCTGGCTAACATGGTGAAACCCCGTCTCTACTAAAAATACAAAAAAAAAAAAAAATTAGCTGGGTGTGGTGGTGGGCGCCTGTGGTCCCAGCTACTCAGGAGGCTGAGGCAGAAGAATGGCGTGAACTCGGGAGGCGGAGTTTGCAGTGAGCCAAGATTGTGCCACTGCACTCTAGCCTGGGTGACAGAGCGAGATTCTGTCTGAAAAAAAAAAAAAATATATATATATATATATATATATATATATATATATATATATTTTAAAGTTAAAAACCACAGAGAAAGAAGTTAGAGACACAGAGAAAGAAGTTAGAGATAAAATTCAGATTTCCTGACCCCAAGATCAATACCAGTTTTTTGTAGGGCCAAGAAGAACTTTGAGAGGATGCCACCTCAGCTCTGTTTTGTGAAAGCAAAAATTCTGAAGTCTTTGAAAGTCTCTCAGAACCTTTGTGAAATTTAGATAAACTAAGAGCACATACAAAAAGTGGAGAGGAAACTGACTTCTCCCTTTGGGAAACCAGAGCAGCAGCAGCACTTTCTCGCCTTTCTAGTGGGGCAGCATCCCCTTCCCTGTCCCAAAACTTTGGGGGCTCCTTCTGCCATCATTCCACTACAAAGCATCCAGAAGAAAAATCTCTAAACAAAACCAAGGAGCATATCAAGTCACCCGCAGGCTCAAAAATCTCGTTTCCCTCTGCCCACAAGGTAAAGTTCAAATTCCTGAGCTGGGCATAGGGAGTCCTCCACAATCTGACCACAACTTCTCAGACTTACCTCCATCCGCATTTTTTTTTTTTTTTTTTCAGAGACGGAGTCTTGCTCTGTTGCCCAGGCTGGAGTGCGGCGGTGGCGGTGCGATTTCGGCTCACTGGAACATCCGCCTCCCGGGTTCAAGCAATTCTCCTGCCTCAGCCTCCCAAGTAGCTGAGATTACAGGCATCCACCACCACACTCAGCTAATTTTTGTATTTTTAGTAGAGACGGGGTTTCACTATGTTGGCGAGGCTGCTCCTGAACTCCTGACTTCGTGATCCGCCTGTCTCAGCCTCCCAAAGTGCTGGGATTACAGGCCTGAGCCACCATGCCCGACACCACTTTTTTTTTTTTTTTTTTTTTTTCTGAGACAGAGGCAGCTATATTGCAGGAGCCCAGAACTCCTGGACTCCAGTGATGCTCCCGTCTGATCTCTCAACTAGCTGGAATTACAGGTGTGAGCCACAGTGCTTGGCTTCCTTCCTCTTTTGTGGAAGGTTCTAGTGATGCAGAACTTTTTAACATTTCCCAAATGCTACATGCTTTTCCATGCATTTGTTTTTTCATGTGCTGCTCCCTCTGCCTAGTGAACTCCTACATACCCTTCGAGACCTAAACTTTTCTACCCTCTATTATGTCTCCCAGGCAATCCTCTGGGCTTATACATTATTCTATTTACAACAGTGAGTTGTAACTTCTTATTTGTAACTATAATGTTTCAAGTAGCCTTGGAATATAGTAGGTGCTTTATAAATTTTGGTAAATTAATGAATGAAGTTGCCATTATGGGGCAAATAAGAGGGCTGCAAACATTATCTGGGGAAACTTGGCCAACCAGTCCCCAGAGTTCTGGACCCTTCTAAGATTAGAGATAGTTTGAGAAAAGATAACAACAACAAAAGCTACATACCATTTATTAAGTGCTTACTGTCTACTAGAGTTGTTCTAAGCCTTGGTACACTTCATCTCATCTCATCCTCATAATAGTACTATGAGGTAGTTATTACCTTCATGAGGGTTTTTTCCCCTGAATACATTATCTTCATTTTACATTGGGGAGACTGAGGTTCAGAAAAGCAAAGGAATTTCTTCCTTCCAAAGTTTTACAGCTAGGATTTAAATCCAGATCTGGGCCAGGCACAGTGGCTCACACTTGCAGTCCCAGCATTTTGGGAGGCCAAGGTGGGAGAATCACTTGAGGCCAGGAGTTCAAGACCACTCTGGGCAACAAAGTGAGACCCCGTCTCTACAAAAAATAAAAAATTACCTGGGAGAGGTGGTGTGCACCTGTAGTCCCAGCTACTTGGGAGACTCAGGTGAGAGGATCACTTGAGTCCACTGGATGACAGAGCGAGACCTTGTCTCTAAATAAATAAATCCAGATCTGTTGGCCTTTCAAATCCAGGTTTTTAACCCCTAAGCTTTTCTGACTCTGAATTATCGAAGTGTGAACTTTTTCTTCTATATCATGGGAGAACCAAATCCCATTGCTCCTTCTGCCCAGTCTTGGAAACTCCATTGTCAGATGGGTCCCAAACTGTATGGCAGGGGGACTGGGATTACCCAGACAGGCTGGGAGAGATCAGAAGTTCCAACCTGATCTTTGTGCTGAGATCTTGACCTGCACCCTTGGTGGGGTGGGGGGGTTACTAATCATTTACTTACTGCTTATGAACTCTGCCACCCCTGGAATGGCCAAGGTGCAGCTAAATTAGCAAAAAAAAAAAAAAAAAGTGGGTCTGAGATTGGCTGGGGTTCACCTCTTCAGGTTACAAGGCAGTTTGTTAGGAAAATAAAACCCTTCATTGGAAGCTCAGAAGGACTTCACTTTGAGGGTTGAACCCAGGTTCTAGCCTGGCTTTTGTTACTAACCAGCTGTGACCTTGGGCAAAGGGCTTAACCGTATAAGCCTTTGTAAGTGGGCAGGAAAATGGGCAAGAACACAATGCACTTAGGAAGAAAAGGGCCAGACAACACCCAGAGGATGGGAATCTGAGCCTCCAGGAAAGAGGCTCCAGAGATGCCAGTCAGTGGCAGCGTCCCAGTGTGCTGGGGGGAGTGAGAGGCCACTTAAGAGCAGCCACCAAATGGGAGAGGAGCATGGGAATGGGAGAGGCAACCAAAGACAGAGAAAGCATTCTCCTCTCCTCTTGTGGGATGCCAAATTAGGTCCTATCAATCTCTCTGGAATGTCCAGAGGTGGGCATGGGGAAAGTCCCACCTTCAGGAAAAGCCGACCTCCCCCTTTTTTGGGCCTTCTTGTACCCAATACATACTTCTAGCTCGGAAGTGTCTTCACTGCCTTCTATTTAAAATGTCGATCTTCTTAATAGAAAGTGAATTTCTTGAGGGAAGAAAACGTAACTTATCCATCTGTATTCCTCAGCTGCTACACTGCCCGACTGCCTGGTACCAGTAGAGACTACATAATTGACTGATGGAAGAATGAAAGAATGAAGGAAGGAAGGAAGGAAGGAAGGAATGGAAATCCGATGATTAGGCAGAGGTCCAATGTATGTCAGAGTAGAGTAAATCTTTAAAGCTCATTACAAAAAAGGAGGTCCTATTTGGGAAGTAGAATCCCAAATGACATAGGGAATTTGGGAGCAGAAGAGCCAAGGAGAGCTGAGAGTACCAATACACGTGGTCCCTAGGGCCACCAGTGGCCACAGAATTCTTGGCTGGGTAGGCTATTGCTTAAGCTCCTTAGAGAAGATGTAAAGACAGGTGGCACACAGAGATTGCACACAGAGCTCTCATTCATTGTCCTTAGCTAGAGTCACCATATGGTTTATACATATTTTCCCAGGGTGATTATTAATACTTCAAAAGTGTCAAAGTGGGAGGACTGCCTGAGTCTCAGAGGTCGAGGCTGCAGTGCGCCATGTTTGGGTCACTGTACTCCAGCCTAGGGAGCAGAGTGAGACCCTGTCTCAAAAAAAAACAGTGCCTCAGTCCTGGTTTGGATGACAAACTTTTTTTTAGGTGGTATTTTTTTCCTCCATCTTTTCCATTTTTGTTGTTGAGATATAATTCACATACCACAAAATTTACCCCTTTAAAGTACATAATTCATACTTTTAGTATACTGAGAAACTTTTACAATCAACAGTATTATTTAATTCCAGAACATTTTCATTTATTTATTTATTTATTTATTTATTTATTTATTTATTTTTGAGACGGGGTTACTCTGTTGCCCAGGTGAGAGTACAGTGGCGTGATCATGGCTCACTGCAGTCTCTACCTCCCAGGCTCAAATGATCCTCCCGCCTTGGCCTCCTGAGTAGCTGGGACTACAGGCGCAAGCCACCATGCCCAGCTAATTTTTTTTTTTTTTTAAATTTTTAGGAGAGTCGAGGTCTCACTATGTTGTCCAGGTTGATCTTGAACTCCTGAGCTCAAGCGATCCTCTCATCTCAGCCTCCCAAGGTGCTAGGATGACAGGCGTGAGCCGCCACGCCGGGCCAGAACATTTTCTTTACCCTACAAGAAACCCTGTATCCATTAGTAGTCACTCCCTATTCCCTGGCTCCCCAGCCCCTGGCAACTGCTATTTTCTGTCTTTATGGATTTACTTATTCTAGACATACAAATAAAATTATACAACATGCAGCCTTTTGAGTCAGGCTTCTTTCACTCAGCATAATGTTTTCAAGGTTCATCCATGTTGTAGCATGAATCAGTACACAGGACAATAAATTTTTCAGCCACTCTGTGTATAGACCTTAATATTTTATCTGTTATATTGTGGGTGTTTCCCTGGAGCCAAGGAGGAATTGAGATAGGGAAGCCAGGCTGAGATTCTCTTACTGGAGAGGCCATTCTGTTGACTCAAGGCACAGAAACACTGGTGTGGGGATGAGGCCAAGGAGCCTGATTTAGGATTCTAGACTCTTGTGTTGGAATTTTGTATTAGCTTTGAGGTCTTGTCTTCCTGATAGTAGTTACAGACAAATGACAACAGTCTAATCTACTGCCAGCTTCTTGGAGCAAAGGAGCAGTCAATGAATTAATAGAATGAACCAGGAGAAAAATGAATCAGAGACTCTACATTTGAGCCTTTGCTCAGCTACTGGCTTTGAGTGATTTAGGTCCCTTTACTTTTTCTAGTCTCTGTAAAATGAACACAGGAGGCTGGGTGTGGTGGCTCACGCTTGTAATCCTAGCACTTTGGGAGGCCAAGGTGGGTGGATCACCTGAAGTCGGGAGTTCGAGACCAGCCTGACCAACATGGAGAAACCCTGTCTCTACTAAAAATGCAAAAAAATTAGCTGGGCGTGGTGGTGCATGCCTGTAAGCCCAGCTACTCGGGAGGCTGAGGTAGGAGAATCGCTTGAACCCAGGAGGCGGAGGTTGCAGTGAGCCAAGATCGCGCCATTGCACTCTAGCCTGGGCAACAAGAGCGAAACTCCATCTCAAAAAAAAAAAAAAAAAAAAAAGAACACAGGGACAAAGAGAAAAATCCCAATGCCATCATTAGGTGTTAAGACACTTCAAAGAATCACTCAGTATTAAAATGTTATGGATGTTTCTACAGATTCATGTCTACTTGTTTCATTTCTTTTTTTTGTTTGTTTTTGAGACGGAGTCTCGCTCTGTCGCCCAGGCTGGAGTGCAGTGGCGCGATCTCGGCTCACTGCAAGCTCCGCCTCCCGGGTTCAAGCCATTCTCCTGCCTCAGCCTCCCGAGTAGCTGCGACTACAGGCGCCCGCCACCACGCCCAGCTAATTTTTTGTATTTTTAGTAGAGGCGGGGTTTCACTGTGTTAGCCAGGGTGGTCTCGATCTCCTGACCTCATGATCCGCCCGCCTCTGCCTCCCAAAGTGCTGGGATTACAGGCGTGAGCCACCATGCCCGGCCTACTTGTTTCATTTCTTCTAATGGATGGAGTTCCTAGGGCCAAGGGCCAATTTTTATACAATTCTGTCTGTCCTACAATACCTGACACAAGGCCTTACACATATAGGGGCCCAGTGTGTATTGCAAAAAAGAAAGAAGCCTGACTAAGTAACATTCATTAGTGTGTGGAAGTATTTCCTCATTTCCAGAACGATCTGGCAAGGACTCTGAGGCTAGGGTGAGGGGCCTCACACTTCTACCTCAGGCAATCAGAAATGGTTTTGAGGTGCCACTAGATTCCATACCAGGAGGGAGGCCACCGAGCAGCAGGGCCTGGGAGTTGGCAGTGCTGGAAGGCTGTCCTCAGGGGAAAACCGAGGAGGACAGGCGTGCTAGCCAGGCCTGCTGCGCTGAAAGCAGCAGACGGGTAATTTCCAAATGACCATTTCAAAGGAAGGTTGAATTTCTCCAAGATAAGAGGGAGAGCAGAGAGCATGCCTGTATCTCTAACCCCCTGAGCTCATGGCCGTGATAACAGCTGTGGGGTTGGAAACTTAATGCTGATGAAAGAGTTAAAGGGTGGCTTCGGGCAGCTATCGGTGACACTGCTAGGAATTGAGCATGCTCCTGGAGCGCGGCTGGGGACTGGTGTTACTCCATGAATAGAGGCCACTCTCAGGGAGTTTTTCCAGGAACAGAATGGGGTCAGGGAGCCGCTTGGGGAACAATGGTTGCCACCGACTAGCTGAATTTCTTACAATCACACACCATACCCCCTGATCAAATAGCTCCTTTGTCCGGCTGATATAAAAACATGTCATACAATGATGATTTGGAAGAATGACACGGGTTTGCCTTTCACAGAGATCAGAAGGGCTTGTTGTGCAGCAGGGGGAAAAACATCAGAGTCAAGGAAAACCTGGAGAATAAAAGGAACAAATGGAAACAGACAGCAACAATAAGAAAAGGGCTGGGTTGCTGGAAAGACAGACAAGGGCTTGGTTACCAGCAGGGAAACCAAGCAGCCAGGCAGCTCCAAGGAAAGGCCTGCTGGCTGCCCAGTAACCAGTTTCACAGCGCCCCCTTGAAACTCCTGAGAAACTCAAGGAGGTAAAGAAATAACAAGAAGAATGGCCTCAATTGGCTAGTGAACGCAGGGCGGTATACACAGCCCATAGGAAACGTAAAGGGACCTGAGAGATCATCCTGTCCAAACCATTATTTTATAGATGGGGACACTGAGGCCTGGGGAAGGACGGTGGCTTTGTCATCTACCCAGATTGTCTAGGTTCAGGTCTTGTTTTACAACTGCTTCTTCTATTTCTTGACTTTGAAGATGGAAATGCTGGAACTTCTCAAGCACTCTCTGTTCAGAGAATAGAAGAGATGAACATTAGGGGTTGAAATGAGACTCCTGCCTGAACCAGGGATTCCAACAAGGAACTCAAGCAAAGTACTGCACTTCTGTGTGCCTCTGTTTCCCCATCTATAAAGCGGGGCCACTCCTGAAAGCAGGCAGGTAGCCAGCCACAGGCTCAGTCATCATTTATTAAATGCCTTCTGTGCATCCCACCCTGGAAGAGGGCACTGGAGAGAGGAAGCAGGGAGCCTCGCTGAAAGATAAGACACAGTCACTGGACCCAGCCAGCCAGGCAATCTAGAGAGACTGTGTGGACACCAAACCCTGATTCTCAGCTGAGGCCTGTAATTGAGGTGGGCAGCTTTCTTGTCTGTTTCAGGACGGTCAGACTGACACTTTGTTGTTCAAAGACAGAAGGCTCATATAGCAAGATTCCTGCAGCTTCCAGTCACCAAGTAGGTTTACAGAGAAAATGACGATTGTCAATGTCACTAATTAACATTCACCTCTAGTACAGCAACTGTAAGTGGATCCCAAGCCTTTATATTAGATTTCCTTAGAACTATGTGGGGTTAAAAAGCAAGAGTATTTTGTGTTAATATATTCCCTTTTATTCACAGATCCGGAAATCCTTTACCAGCAGATAGCCAGTTCTCAATGCTACCCCTGTGGGGAATGTGGCAAATGCCACTCTCCTCGTTTTCCAGCTGGGAGGCCTGGGTCACAGAAAGGTTCTAAGTCCTGCAGTGGGGGAGGGAATGCAAGTCTGTCACCCTTTCCTTCACCACTCTGGCTTTGGACCAAAGAACAAGGTGCTGGAAGGCAAAACTGAAGAGTAAACCAACAATGGATGTGGTAAACTTCTGTTACTGGAAAGCAAAAATGCTTTCATATATATATTATATACATATTGTATATATAATACATATACACATATTGTATATATAATACATATATACATATTGTATATTATATACATATCATATAATATATTATATACATATCACATAACGTATTATATACATATATAATATATACATATTACATATTGCATACATATTATATATAATGTATATTATGTGATATGTATATTGTATATCATGTATATGTATATGTATATGTATATATGTATATGTATATCATATATATCATACATGATATATAATATATATTTTATATATTATATACTATATTATTATATATAATATAGTATATATTTATATAATATATAATATATTACATATATTATATAATATATATTATATATTACATACATATATATTTTATATATATATTTTTTGAGATGGAGTTTCACTTTTATTGCCCAAGCCGGAGTGCAGTGGTGTGATCTCAGCCCATTGCAATCTCCACCTCCTGGGTTCAAGTGATTCTCCTGCCTCGGCCTCATGAGTAGCTGGGATTACAGGCATGCACCACCACGCCCAGTTAATTTTTGTATTTTTAGTAGAGATGAGGTTTCACTATGTTGGCCAGGCTGGTTTCGAACTTCTGACTTCAAGTGATCCACCCGCCTTGGCCTCCCAAAGTGCTGGGATTACAGGCATGAGCCACCGCGCCCAGCCATGCTTTCATATTTTAAAAATTTTGCTTAAATAGATCATATGTTTACATGGTACTTCAAAGGGTACAACAGAATATTGTACCCCTCGCAATCTCCCTGCAACCTCTGTCTCTACACACAGCATTTCCTACCCTGGAGAAGACCCAGTTATCAGGTTCTAAGAACAATTCCATGTAAAGTCATATGATGTTCAGTCAACGACAGCTGCATATCGGATGGTGGTCCCATAAGACTATAATACTGTATTTTTTACTGTATACCCTTTCTGTTTCCATATATTTAGATACACACATATTTGTCATTGTGTTACAGCTGCCTACAGTATCCAGTACAGTCACATGCTGTATAGGTTTGTAGCCTAGGAGCAATAGGCTCTACCATATAGGCTATGTATGTAGGAGGCTGTACCACCTACGTTTGTGGAAGCACACTCTGTGATGTTCACACAACAAGGAAATCACTAATGATGCATTTCTCAGAACATATCCCCCTTATTAAGTGACACATAATGATATTTATAAATACAAACATAAAATACTTTTTCTTGCTCACATATGATATATAAACTATTCTGCACATACAGAACATTTTAAGATGCATATGAAATGAACAGACACTCAGGGTTGAGAGGACTATGGGAGCCCAAAGTTTGGCCCCAGGTTGAGGAGAGAATGTCCGCCACACTCAAAATGAGTTGCTGGCTTGCTGTGCTCTCCTTTACAGAAAGCCACTCATAATACCAGAGGTGTGGTGTATGAGTTCCTCTGAGCTCCTCTGTTTTGAGACAGGGTCTTGCTCTGTGGCCCAAGCTAAAGTGCAGTGGTGTGATCACAGCTCACTGCAGCCTCGACCTCCCCAGGTCAAGCAATCCTCCCACTTCAGCCTCCCAGAGTGCTGGTATTACAGGTGCCCACTGTGGAGGGCTCCTGTGAGTTTCTTAAAGAGAACTACCCCCAAATGAGGGTGGTTGTGGTCTCACACAATTATTTTCTACATAAAAAATAGAAACTCAGGCCAGGCGCAGTGGCTCACACCTGTAATCCCAGCACTTTGGGAGGCCGAGGTGGGTGGATCACCTAAGGTGGGGAGTTCAAGACCAGCCTGACCAACATGGAGAAACCCCGTCTCTACTGAAAATACAAAATTAGCTGGGCGTGGTGGTGCATGCCTGTAATCCCAGCTGCTAGGGAGGCTGAGGCATGAGAATGGCTTGAACCCGGGAGGCAGAGGTTACAGTGAGCTGAGATCACGCCATTGCACTCCAGCCTGGGCAGCAAGAGTGAAACTCCGTCTCAAAAAAAAAAAAGGAAACTTAGCCAGAGTTTAAAAATAAGAGGTCAGTGGCATCCCACCCCAGAGTCTTCCCTGCAGCAGAATCTCCTGTGATCTTCATGTAGGAATTGAGAGCCCTTGGATGTGATGTGTCCTACATAGGTTTCAGAGGTAACATTTGAGTGCTTACTGTATGTTGAGCTTTTAAAAAGTGATAAGCTCTTTTCATACATTATTTTGCTTAATCCTCATGGCTGTTATCTCCATTGTACCTCTGTGGAAACGAAGGCTTAACTAATAAATGGCAGAGCTAGGAAAACTTGACCTTTGGTCTGTGTCCTACCTTCACACTGAGTCCCATGAGGTTCTTGCCTCTGTCTAGTACCCGAAGAATTAAATCCAAACTCCTGAGCCTGGAATTTCAGCCCCTTGACCATCTGTACACATTTCCCTCCCAGGCTTCTGTCTTCTTGCTCCTCGCCATGCATTGCATGCTTGAGTCACACCAGATCACTCGCTGTCACTGGTCCTTGTGTTCTTCCAGCCTTTTGCACGGGCTGTTCTTTCCCCATGGAATCTTTTTCTCTCCTCTCTGCCTGGCAAGCTGCCAATGTGATTTTTTCCTAAAACTCAATCTGACTGTTACTTCCCTGTTTAAAGCCTCTCTGTGTTTCCTCACCGCTTTCCGTGATCAGGATGAAGTTTCTTAACTTCACACAGAAGATCTTCAAGTTGTGGGTCCTGCTGACATTGCAGGCTCACCTCTCCCACTTTTGGCTCCTGCTTAATCCTCCACACCTGATCTACTTGGAGTTCCCTGAGTGTTTGGGGCACTCGCTGTTCCAGGCCTTTGCACAAGCTATTTCTTTCCTAGAACACTCTTCGCACCTCCTTCACTTGGTTAATTTTTACCTGTTCTTATCATAGCTTGGGCGACATCTCCTCAGAGATTTTTTTCCCTTACCCTTCCAGCATATCTGTGCCCTCGCTCCTCCCCCAAGGTATCTGTTTTAAAATATATTTTTTCTATACTATGACTTCCTCAACATCAGTGACCAAATCTAATTAATGTCTGGTTTTCCAGAGCCTCCCATAGGGCCTGGTATCCAGACAGTCTCAAGAAATAAGTGATGGGCTGGGCATGGTGGCTTACGCCTGTAATCCCAGCACTTTAGAAGGCCGAGGCGGGCGGATAGCTTGAGCTCAGGAGTTCAAGACCAGCCTGGGCAACAAAGCAAGACCCCGTCTCTACTAAATAAAAATAAAAAATTAGCTCGGTGTGGTGGCATGTGCCTATAGTCCCAGCTACTCAGGAGGCTGAGGTGGGAGGATGGCTTGAGCCCAGGAGATCGAGGCTGCAGTGAGTCATGATTGCACCACTACACTCCAGCCTGGCTGACAGAACAAGACCCTGTCTCTAAAAATAAAATAAAGTTAAAAGAAAGGAAAAGAAATAAAATGGGCACGGTGGCTCCTGCCTGTAATCCCACCACTTTGGGAGGCTGAGGTGGGTGGATCACTTGAGCCCAAGAGTTCATGACCAGCCCAGGCAACATAGTGAAACCCTGTCACTATAAAAAATACAAAAATTAGCCAGTCGTGGTGGTTGCATGCCTGTGGTCTAGCTACTCAGGAGGCTGAGGCAGAGGATCGCTTGAGCCTAGGAAGCAGAGTTTACAGTGAGCCAAGATCATACCACTCCACTCCAGCCTGGACAACAGAGTGAGACTCTTGTCTCAAAAGACAAAAAATAAAATAAAATGAATAAGTGGTAAATGAAAGAATTAATGAATGAATGGAAGGATGAGCTAGAATTTGGAGCCCCTAAATGGAGCCTGGGTACTCAGTCTAACTTCAGACCCTTCCTTTTTTGCCAGCTGCCGGATAGTCTCACCATTACTCCCGTTATTTGGAACCTCTTCACTGCAACGTGACCTTGTTTATGTGAGTTTAGCTCTCTGAGACTCAGTTTCCTCAAATGCAATATGATAAGGTAGGAGTATCTGATCCCTACTGTCCCTTCCAGATAAAATATTATGCAAATCCATGCTGTTTGTAAAAAGGAAGGAATTTTCCAAGCACTGTATGGTGGTGTGTGGGGAGAGCACCAATGGTATTGGTGGTTGAAAGAGATTTTCAGAGACTCCAGCTCAACTCTAACTTGTGGGTTAGTAAACTATGGCCTGGAGGCCAAATCCCATTCACCACCTGTTTTCATATAGCCCACAAATTAAGAATGGCTTTTACACTTTTAAGTGATTGGGAAAAAATCAAAAGAAGAACAATATTTCATAATGTGAAAATTATATAAGATTCATATTTCAGTGTCCATAAGGTTGCACTGGAACAAAGCTATACTAATTGTTTACGTTATTGTCTATAGCTGCTTTTTTACTACAACAGCAGAGTTGAATAGTTGCAACAGAGACTGTATGGCCCTCAAGCCGTAAAATACTTACCATCTGGCCCTTCACAGAAAACATTTGCCAACCCTTGTTCTAATTCGAGAATCCTTAACGGCTTCCCACTATCTACAATGGCACTATCCAATAGAAATATAATGTGAGTCACATAAGCAATTTTAAATTTCCTTTCTTTTTTTTTTTTTTTTTAAGAGATGGAGTCTCACTGTGTTGCCCAGGCTGATCTGGCACTCAGCAATCCTGTTGCCTTGGCCTCCCAAAGTGCTGGGATTACAGGTATGAGCCACCACGCCCAGTTCATTTTATAGACTTTTATTTTATTTTGAGATGGGTCTTGCTATGTTGCTCTGGCTGACCTCAAACTCCTGGGCTCAAGTGATCCTCCTACCTCAGCCTCCTGAGTAGCTGGGAATACATGCATGTGCTACTATGCCCTGCAAATAAACATGATTTTAAAAAGTAACACTAATAATACATCTTATTTAACCCAATAAACCCCAAATGTTATCATTTCAAAAGTAATCACCACAAAAGTTATTAATGAGATATTTTACATTCTTTTTTTCACCATGTCTTTAAAATCTGGTGTGTATTTCATGCCTACAGCACACCTCAATTTGGGCTAGCCATATTTTAAGTGCTCAGTAGACACATATGGCTTGTGACTATTATCTTTGACAGCTCAGAGCTATAAGATGAAGTCCAAACTCTTTGACGTGAAATTCTTTGGCCCTTTGTTGTTTGGTTTCAGCTTCATTCTTAACTGCTTCTTTAAATGCCAGCCAGACTGACCCATTCTATGCTCCCTAAATTAGATATGATACCACCTCTACTTCTTTGCTCCCTCCTTTCTTTCTTTGCTTTCTTTTTTTTTTTTTTTTTTTTTTTGGTAACAGCTTTATTTGGATATAATTCACATATTTGGCTGGGTACATTGGCTCACACTTGTAATCCCCAGCACTTTGGGAGGCTGAGGCGGGTGGATCACTTGAGGCCAGGAGTTTGAGACCTGTCTGGGCAACATGGTGAAACCTTGTCTCTACAAAAAATACAAAAATTAGCTGTGCATGGTGGTGTGCGCCTGTAGTCCCAGCTACCCAGAAGGCTGAGGTGGGAGGACTGCTTGAGCCTGAGAAGCAGAGGTTGCAGTGAGCCGAGATTGTGCCACTGCATTCCAGCCTGGGCAACAGAGCCTGGGCAACCCTGCCTCCAATAATAATAGTTCCATACAATTCACCCATTTAAGGTGGGTTTTTTGTATATCCACAGCTGTGCAACCATCACCACAAGAATTTTAGGAATATTTTCATCATCCCCCAAAGAAACCCTGGACCTTTTTAACAGTCACCCTCATTCCCCTCAATGTCCCCCAGCCCTAGGCAACCGCTAATCTATTTTCTGTCTCTATGAATTTTCCTATTCTGAACAGTTCACATGAATGGAATCCTACAATATATGGTCTTTTGTGACTGGCTTCTTTCTCTTAGCATAATTTTTTCAAGGTTTCTCCATGTCGTAGCATGCATCAGTTCTTCATTCCTTTTTACTGCTGAATACTATTCCATTGCTACTTCCTTTCTGATATGTTCATGTCCTCCAATAACATTCCTTCAAGAAATTGAACTCCAGGGCCCCAGCAAAAACCCAAGAAGGAAAAAAAAAAAACCTGCCCTTCCTAGTCCACAATGTCTAAGATCAAACACAGGATCTGATCAGATTTTTTAGAGGAAAAAAGATAAAGACTGTGAAACAATTACATTAGTAACAAAATACATCTTTTTTTTTTTTTTTAACCAAAATCCTACAAACCACAACATGATTCAAAGGGAAAAGAACTTTAGATGAAACTGTTGATGACTCTGCAAAGATGTGCCAGGTGAGCCCATTCAGTGCACCAATAATCTGAATATGGCAATCCTGCCTCAACTGTAAGCTGAGACCGACACGGTTCAAGCCATAAGGAGTCAGACCTCAGTACCAGCTTCCCTCGGGCAGACATTCTTGCCATGCTGAGTAGTTGGCTGATAGCTCCATGTATAATAATCCCCGTGGTCCATGCTTTCACAGCAAGAAAATAAATCACAAACACCAACTACACTCCAACCCTTGCTCCTCAGCGCCTAGGATCACAGTCCAGCTGATTCTGACTCTTCAGAGACCCCACTCCATTTCCTTCTCAGTCTTCTCCAGGCTCACCCTCAGGTCCCACCAAGGCTCCATCCTGTCTTCTTCTCAACGGACTCCTCTTTTCCTATGGCTCCCCCTCAACGCTTCTTTGTCCTCCTCACTCTCCATCCTTTTTCAGTCTCGTCGCCATTTCCTATCTCTCTCAACCTCTTCCTTTCTCTTACCTTTTTTTTTTTTTTTTTCTGAGACGGAGTCTCGCTCTGTCGCCCAGGCTGGAGTGCAGTGGCACGATCTCGGCTCACTGCAACCTCCGCCTCCCGGGTTCAAGTGATTCTCCTGCCTTAGCCTCCCGAGTAGCTGGGATTACAGGCGTGTGCCACCACACCTAGCTAATGTTTTATTTTTAGTAGAGACGGGGTTTCACTATGTTGGCCAGGCTGGTCTCCAATTCCTGACCTCAGGTGATCCGCCTTCCTCGGCCTCCCCAAGAGCTGGGATTACAGGCTTGAGCCACTGCACCAGGCCTCTCTTCCCCGTCTTGATTGCTCCCTCCTTATCTCTCCCGCCGCCATCACCTTTCCTTCTGTTCGTATTTTCCCTCAGAGCGTTCCAAGCGCTCGTGTGGAGCTGGGGAGGCCTTCGGGGCACCTCCCGGGAGACAG
Organism: Homo sapiens; assembly: GCF_000001405.40. NCBI lineage: Eukaryota > Metazoa > Chordata > Mammalia > Primates > Hominidae > Homo > Homo sapiens. The sequence goes on along the minus strand of NC_000010.11, from coordinate 101,740,882 downwards.
CCAAGGATCTAGGAGTCAGGCCCAAGGTTGAATTTGGCTCCGTCACTTAACAGCTGTGGAACGATGAGCAAATTGACTCAACCTCCCTTAGGATTAAATGCACGTAAAGCGGCATAGAGCGAGCACTCGCTAACCATTCCTCATCCTTTTCAAGGCCACATTTTCCAAGGAGAGCGTTTTCCACAGGTCCCAGAACCGCCAGTCATCTCTGGGGTCTTTTCTACAGGTCCTGTCCTCATCTTGGTCCTCCCCAGCCCCGCACGCATTCATTCTCTCAGCCTCTGGGGCCGTCTTACAATTTCCCACCCTTTCCACAGCTCTGCCCCTCTCCCCTTCTCCTCCCACTTTCCCAACGATTTCGGGGGCCCTCCCAACCAAGAGCCTTGGGGGCAGGCACGGGTGGTACCCGGAGCCGAAGTCCTTTAGGTTACGTGGTTCCTCAGTGACCAAGGTCGCCCCAGCAACAGAGAGACCCGACTCCCCTGAGCGCCTTCTGATTGACTGTCCTCTCAGAGGAGATTTCCTAGTCCCGCTGCTCCCTGCCGCGCAAGCGCACGAGTCACACGGCCCAGTGGTTTGAGCCCCAGGATGTGTGGTTTCTCCTGGGTCCGGAGCTCAGTTTCAGTGTTTTGGGATTTTTGTTGTTGTTGTTTTCTAGACGGAGTCTCGCTCTGTCACCTAGGCTGGAGTGCAGTGGCATGATCTCAGCTCACTGCAACCTCCGCCTCCCGGGTTCAAGCGATTCTCTTGCCTCAGCCTCCTGAGTGGCTGGGATTACAGGCGCCTGCCACCACGCCAGGCTAATTTTTGTAGTTTTAGTAGAGACGGGATTTTGCCATTTTGGCCAGGCTGGTCTCGAACTCCTGACCTCAGGTTATCCACCCACCTCGACCTCCCAAAGTGCTGAGATTACAGGCATGAACCACCGCATCTGGCCTCAGCTTGAGTTTTTAAATTTCTCCCTCTCCCCTTGCTTCTCTGTTCCTCCTTTCTCATCCCTTACCCTCGACTCCTCTCCCTTCTCCTCCTCCCTCTCCTCTCCCTCTTTTGAAAGTTTTCTGTATTACCTAGTCCCCAGTGCTTGCTAAAGAAACCTTTGAAAGTACATAAAAGTGAAAATAAGCAATTTTTTTCCACAGCCATGCTGCTCCTTCCTGAGCATGTCTAGGTAGGAATGTGAGCTATATATGGATTATTGTGAAAACATTGGTATCTGGCTGTAAAAATAATAGAAATAGTGATAATAATAGATAAAATGTATCTATATTTTCTGTGTGCCAGGTACTATGCTAAGAGCTTTTCACATTCAGCACTAGTACTGTCATTGTTCCCAATTACAGATGAGAAAGTGGGCTTACAAAGGCCAAGTAACTTGCCCTATGTCTTGCAGTTAGTACAGAAATGGGAGAGCCAAGATTTGAATTTGAGTCTGACTCCAGAGCCCACGTGCAGCCTCTCCTCTGTGTGGAGTTAAGTGTTTACACACAGTGTCCATTCTCCCTCTGCTTTGGGAACAGTTCCTCTGGGCATTAACGCCACTATCAGTGATGGCCTCTGTGCAATATTTGGAGACAGGGGAACTGGTGAATATTTGGAAATGGGAAATCCCAAGTGAGGACTCGATTCACTCCTTTGGAAAAGGCCTCACTGAAGCCTGAGAGCCAGCCATCCTAACCTGTGTCCAGGGACCAAGGACTAGCCCCCAGAGAGGCTGCCCTTGGGGATGAGGGGTTTCCCTGTAGCCCCGGATGCAAATGGTCGGTTGTAACAGTGGCCATCTGTAAGACATGGGCTAGATACCAGGTGATTTATAGGCATTATTTCAATCACCTCACAATAACTGTACAAGGTGGGTGAAGTGATTTGCCCAAAGCCAGTGTTGTTAGGATTCAAACCCAGGCCTGTCTAATGCTGGAAGCTGTGGTACATTTCCATTTTGCCCTTTGATTTTCTGTAAAAGTATAACAGGCATTAAAAGTGAGCCTCTGTTACATGCCAGGTACTCTACTGGGCTTCTTACATATATTATTGAATTGAATCTATGCAGTAATCCTTTTGGAAGGATATTATGAGCTGGACACAGTGGCGCACATCTGTAATCCCAGTTACTCAGGAGGGGAAGATGGGAGGATCCCTTGAGCCCAGGAGTTGGAGGCTGCAGTGCACTATGACTTGCCTGGGAAACAGAGCGAGATCCCATTTCTCTCTCTCACTTTTTAGAGATGGAGTCTTGCTCTGTTGCTCAGGCTGGAGTGCAGTGGTGTGACCGTGGCTCAATGTAATCCTCCTACCTTGGCTTCCCAAGTAGCTGGGACCACACGTGTGTGAACCACACCTAGCTAATTTTTTTCTTTTTCTTTTTCTTTTTTTTTTTTTTTTTTTTTTAGAGATGTGATCTTGCTGTGTTGCCCAGGCTAGTTTTATTTATTTATTTATTTATTTTGAGATGGAGTCTTGCTCTGTCGCCCAGGCCAGAGTGCAGTGGTACGATCTCAGCTCACTGCAAGCTCCGCCTCCCAGGTTCATGTCATTCTCCCGCCTCAGCCTCCCGAGTAGCTGGGACTACAGGTGCCTGCCACCACGCCCAGCTAATTTTTATTTTTAGTGGAGACGGGGTTTTACCATGTTAGCCAGGATGGTCTCGATCTCCTGACCTCGTGATCTGCCCACCTCGGCCTCCCAAAGTGCTGGGATTACAGGCGTGAGCCACCGCGCCGCCCGGCCTGCCCAGGCTAGTTTTAAACTCCTAGCCTCAAGCAATCCTCCCACCTGAGCCTCCCAAAGTGCTGGGATTACAGGCATGAGCTACTGTACCTGACATTTAAAAGACTTTTTTTTTTTTTGTATTTTTTGTAGAGACAGGGTCCCACTATGTTGCCCAGGCTGGTCTCAAACTGCTGGTCTCAAGTGGGCGTCCCTCCTCAGCCTCCCAAAACGCTGCAATTACAGGCATGAGCCACCATGCCCAGAGCCATCTCTTTTTAAAAAATAAAGAGAAGCCGGGGGCGGTGGCTCACGCCTGTAATCCCAGCACCTTGGGAGGCCAAAGTGGGCGGATCACCTGAGGTCAGGTGTTCAAGACCAGCCTGGTATACGTGGTGAATCCCCGTCTCTACTAAAAATACAAAAATTAGCCAGGCGTGCTAGTGCATACCTGTAATTGCAGCTATTCAGGAGGCTGAGGCAGGAAAATCACTTCAACCCGGGAGGCAGAGGTTGCAGTGAGCTGAGATTGTGCCACTGCATTCCAGCTTGGCGACAGAGCGAGACTCCATCTCAGCAACAAATAAATAAATAAATAAATAAAGAGAAAAAAATAAGGATATTATGATTTCCCTTTTACAGATGAAGAAGCTGAGGTTTAGAAAAGTCCAGTAATGAGGTTGGGCGCGGTGGCTCACGCCTGTAATCCCAGCACTTTGGGAGGCCAAGGTGGGTGGATTACCTGAGAACCTGAGGTCAGGAGCTCGAGACCAGTCTGACCAACATGGTGAAACCCCATCTCTACTAAAAATACAAAAATTAGCTGGGCCTGGTTGTGGGCACCTGTAATTCCAGCTACTCAGGAGGCTGAGGCAGGAGAAATGCTTGAACCTGAGAGGCGGAGGTTGCAGTGAGCCAAGATCTCGCCATTGCACTCCAGCCTGGGAGGCAGAGCGAGACTCCGTCTCAAAAAAAAAAAAAAAAAAAAAAAAAAGAAAGAAAGAAAGAGACAGAAAAGGCCAGTAATTTACCCAAGGTTGCATACTCTGTAAAAAGGAATAACAAAATTCACATTGGAATTTATTGACTCCTAAATGCATGCACTGTCTTCTACCCCGTGTCAGGGGCCAAAGTTTTCAATTTGGATTGAGGATTTGGACCAGTGCTGGCTTTAACCCAGCAAGCACTTGTTTAGGGAACAGGTAAGAGCTCAGATTTGTCTGAACTTCCCTCAGGACCCCAGGTTCTTGCTTTGACACCCACTATGGGGTAAACCAGAGCAAAGCCCTGAGAGGAGGCAGCTGTTCCTCTTTCTGCAAGAGGGTCACAAGGAATCTCTGCGATGTTGCCATTGTTGTGCTTTAGTCCCCCCATCCTGTGCATCTAGGTCCTGCTGAGTCTTTGGCTCTCTTGATTTTGTTTAAAAGAAAAATACCCCATGCCACAGACTCACAGGGGTGGAAAGGACTTTGAAGGAGAGTTATTAGTACAACCTTCCATCTGATGCTTCACGGTGCCCCAGTTTCTTCCTCTGTCTCTCAAGATTTCACAAGGTAGGAGAGGTAAAATAGTGGGGGTGGCAGCATAAGAACTGGAATAAATAGTTTATGGTCCTGAACACTTTAGATCAGTAGTTCTTTTTTTTTTTTTTTTTTTTTTTTTTTTTTTTTTTTTTTTGAGACAGGATCTTGTTCTGTTGCCCAGGCTGGAGTGCAGTGACACAATCATGGCTTACTGCATCCTCGACTTCCTGGGCTCAAGCAATCCTCCCACCTTAGCCTCCCAAGTAGCTGGGACCACAGCACACACAACCACACCCAGCTAATTTTTGTATTTTTTGTAGAGATGGAGTTTTGCCACGGAGATTTGCTCAGGCTGATCTCGAACTCCTGAGCTCAAGCAATCTGCCCGCCTCAGCCTTCTAAAATGCTGGGACTGAGCCACAGTCATGAGCCCCACACTTGGCCCCTAGCAGTTCTTCAAGTGTGGTTCGGGGACTCCTGTGAATCTCCAAGATCTTTTCAGGGGTCTGCAAGGTTAAAACTATTTTCTTATTAATACTAAGATGTTATTTACCTTTTTCATTTTCATTCTTTCACAAGTAGACAGTGGAATTTTCCAGATGCTACACAATATGTGACGTTGCAACAGATTGAAGAAGCAAATATGAGAATCATATCTTCTATGGAATCAGAAACTCAATTTGCAAAAATGAAAAACAATGTGACTCTTCTCACTATTCTTTTCGGATATACAATTATGTTCAATTAAAATGTTATTTATGTCATATATAATGGTTTATTATTTTTAAAAATGAATTAACTGTCTTTAAAAGTTCTCAGCTTTAATTTCTGAGCAAATACTGATAGATATTATCCACAATAAACAAAAGCTTTGTGGTGTCCTCAATACTTTTCATGAGTGTGAAAGGATCCTTATACCAAAAAATTTGAGAACTGCTGGTTTAAATAATCATTAGCATCACATTGACATTATAGGAGACCTAACTGTGAGTGCTGAAAAAGAATTTCTAGAATCATAGGCCTCACTAATTGGAATTTCCAGTGAGAAAAACCAGTAACAGCTAGGTCCTCTCACCCCAACAGGACCCAGAGACAACAGCATCAAAGTCTAAACCTGGCTGGGCATGGTGGCTCATGCCTGTAATCCTAGCACTTTGGGAGGCTGAGGCAGGCGGATCACTTGAGGCCAGGAGTTTGAAACCAGCCTGGCCAACATGAAGAAATTATGTATTTTGTATTTCTACTAAAAATACAAAATTAGCCAGGCATGGTGGTGCATACCTGTAGTCCCTGCTACTCGGGAGGCTAAGGCAGAGAATTGCTTGAACCCAGGAAGTGGAGGTTGCAGTGAGCTGAGATCGCACCACTACATTCCACCTGGGCAACAGAGTGAGACTGTCTCAAAAATAATAATGGTAAAATAAAATAAAAGTCTGAACCAGAGTCTGGCTAAGCCCTATGATATCGAACATATCAAAGAGTACATGCATTTCTAGAAATGATTAGGGATGGGATATTTTATGCTTTTTGGGGGGAATGATTTCATTTAGAACATGATAAGGATCTGTACATTTATTCAATGTGCCAAGGATTTGCATGTAAACCAGATTCACATCACAAAGAAGATTGATAAAGTTACTCCTATGCTTTTTTTTTTATTTTTTGAAATGGAGTTTCACTCTTTTTGCCGAGGCTGGAGTGCAATGGTGCCATCTCGGCTTGCCGCAACCTCTGCCTCCCGGGTTCAAGCGATTCTCGTGCCTCAGCCTCCTGAGTAGCTGGGATTACAGCCATGCACCACCACGCCCAGCTAATTTTGTATTTTTAGTAGAGATGGGGTTTCTCCATGTTGGTCAGGCTGATCTCGAACTCCCGACCTCAGGTAATTGGCCAGCCTTGGCCTCCCAAAATGCTGTGATTACAGGTGTGACCCACTGCGCCCGGCCCCCCATGCTTTTTAAAAAATTAACAAATAATAATTTAGATATTAATTTAAATAATGTACATATTTATGAGGTACATATTATAGTGATCAGATCAGGGTAATGTTCAGCTTTTTTTTTTTTTTTTCTCCTGAGATAGAGTCTCACTAAGTTGACCAGGCTGGTCTTGAACTCCTAGGCTCAAATGAGCCTCCTGCCTCAGCCTCAGTTGCTGGGATTACAGGCAGGCACCACTGCATCCAGCTTTTTTTGTACCTTGTTTCAATCTTATCAAGATATACTTGAGGCATATTAACTTGCATATATATAACGTGTACAATTTGGTCAGTTTTGACATACGCCTATACCTGCAAAACCATTATAACAATCTTATAACAATCAAGATTATCAGCATTTCCATCATACCCTAAAGTTTCTTCGTGCTCCTTTATAATCCATCTCCCCTCTGTTCCATCCCTAGGTAACCACTGGTCTGCTTTCTATCACTATTGATTAATTTGCATTTTCTATCATATTATATACACAAAACCATACAGTACATACTCTTTTGTTGTCTGGCTTCTTTTGCTCTGCATGATGATTTTAAGATTCACGCATGTTATTGTTGGAATGAGATTTGAACTGAGTGACTTTGGGGAAATTGCTTAACCTGTCTGTGCCTTAGAAAAGAAACAATAAGGCCAGGCGCAGTGGCTCACACCTGTAATCCCAGCACTTTGGGAGACCAAGGCGGGTAGATCACAAGGTCAGGAGATCGAGACCATCCTGGCTAACATGGTGAAACCCCGTCTCACAAAAATTATTAGCCAGGCGTGGTGGTGGGCGCCTGTAGTCCCAGCTACTCGGGAGGCTGAGGCAGGAGAATGGCGTGAACCTGGGAGGTGGAGCTTGCAGTGAGCCAAGATTGCTCCACTGCACTCCAGCCTGGGAGACAGAGCAAAAAAAGAAAAGGAAAGAAAAGAAAAGAAACAATAAATAATTTCTACCTTGCATAGTTGTGAAGATAAAATGAGTAATGTAAGTAAATAAAACATGTAGCTCAGTTCCTGGTACTTACTGGGTGTTTGACAAATAGTAGCTATTTTTGAATATATGTTTGGGGTAGGAATTGAGGAGGGTAACTAGTACAGCATGGGGTTAGGGGAGAATCTTGTTTAGACTAATTTGATTCATAGCTCAGGTTTAACTATTTGTTCAGCATTTCTCACCTGCTGCACACCTAAAACTTCCACACATGCCAGCCTAACCAGGAAATTTTTCTTCAGTGAGGCCTGGGGACATGGAAATTTGTAGCTTTGAAAGCCCTGCCAATTTGGAGTTACCCTGTTGGAAAAAAAATAAAATCCCACTAGGCTGCTTTGAAAAGGGAAAAGGTGTATTCCTCCTTCATACTCATTGATTTCAAGTCCAACGGGCCAGATTTGCTCAAGCTTGGAATGAAAACTCTTTGCTTGGGGATGGAGCGAACTTCAGAAGGTTCCTGGCCAGAGGAAGTAGGAAAGCAAGGTTTTCTGTGTGACTCCTTGCAGCCAAACCTTGAGACAGACGTGGTCAAGCTGAGAAGTTTCTCAGAGAATCCAAACGGGATCCCCTGCTTGTCCACCTTTCCATGCACCAAGGGCCATGGGGACCTGTTACAATCACGTTGTGTTTGCTACAGGCAACTGCAGCTTCTTGCATCTTCATGCTACTGGGAGGTATCTGCTTTTTCCTAAGCCTGAAGACACAGCCTGAGAGAAAAAAAAACAAAAACACAAAGAGGACATGAGAGAAGAAGAGAGAAGGGAGGGTGAGAGAGGGTTGAATTGATCGCCGTCTGTTCAGGTCTAGCTGGAAAACACAATGAAGTGAAAAGGCTTCTTGGTTGGTGTGCTTCTCTTCATTTTTTTTTCCCAGGGTTTGAAGTGGGGAGGGAGGGATGGGAAAAAAAAAAAGAAAGGAAGAGGAGGAGGACTGGCATGGCCTGAGCCCAAGCAGAAGCAGCACGGAGCCTTCAGCCTTAGGAAGGGGAAAGTCATTTGGGGATTCTGGTACCCCCTTGGGTCATCCCTTATTGACCAATCCCTTCCTTCTATAAGCGACTGTGGCTGAAGGTGATGCTGCCAATATTGCATTTTAAATGAAGAAAAACCAAGTGGCTGAAGCCTACTCATCTCTGCCTTAGGAAAAAACAAAACAAAACAAAACACCATACAATTTTTCTTCCACTTGGTGGTGGGATGAGTGTTTATTCTGGTTTTATTTTTTTCCAGCATAGAGTATTTGCCAACTTTTATCATGTTCTTAGTTTGTGTTAAACATTATCCTAAGTGTTTTACATGTGTTATCTCCATTAATCCTTGCAACAACCTTGTGAGGTGTTGGTTCTATCATTAGTCCCATTTTACAGATAAAGAAACAGAGGCTCAGAAAGATTAAGGAAAGACCCCAAGGTCATGTAACTAGTAAGTGGCAGAAAAGGCTTCTTCCCCGTCAGTCTGGTCTCTTAAGCCTGCACTCTTAGGTGCTGCACCATGTGGATATTTAGATATAGTCTCTCAAATAGCTCACAGTTTATTATTACTAGGGGAGGAGGGTTGGAGCTAGGGAGGAGGGAGATGGATAGTCACACATGGAAGCAGCCACAGTACAATGTGTTATAGGCAATCCTAGCAAGTTGAAATAAGTTCTTGAAATAAAGACCAAAGAAGAGAATGATTTTTCTAGAGGCCTGGGATGATAGGGAAAACTGTCTTTTTACTTTTTAAAAGGTTAATAGGTGACTTTTATTTTCTTATTTACTTATTTTTTTAGAGACAGGGCCCTACACTGTCACCCAGGCTGGAGTGCAGTGATATGATCATAGCTCACTGCAGCCTAAACTCCTAGGCTCAAGTGATCCTCCTGCCTCAGCCTCCTGGGTAGCTGGGACTATAGGTGCATGTGCCACCAAGCCCTAATAATTTTTTTTTTTTTTGGGAGAGAATGGGCCTTGCTATGTTGGTCAAGCTGGTCTTGAACTCCTGGGCTCAAAAGTCCAAAGTGCCTTGTCCTTCCAAAGTGCTGGGACTATAGGCATGAGCCACCACACCTGGCCAATATGTGACTTTTTAGAAGGCTAAAAGTGCCAGAGAAGATCTGGGGAAGAAAAAGGGGTTCGCGGGGTGGTTAAAAGTTCAAGCTGTAGAGCTTACTGCCTGGCATCCAACTCAGCTCTGCCACTTAGTAGCTCTGTCAAGTTACTTGCCCCCTCTGAGATTCATCTACAAAATGAGGACACATGCCCATGCCCAGTGGCTCAAACTTGTAATCCCAGCACTCTGGGAGGCTGAGGCGGGTGGATCACCTGAGGTGATTTGGGAGGCTGAGGGGGACGGATCACCTGAGGTGATAACTCAACAACAAAAAGACAAACAATTCAATTTAAAAATGGGCAAAGCAAAGCCAGGCGTGGTGGCTCACACCTGTAATCCTAGCACTTTGGGAGGCTGGGGCGGGCAGATCACAAGGTCAGGAGTTTGAGACCATCCTGGCCAATATGGTGAAACCCCGTCTCTACTAAAAATACAAAAATTAGCTGGGTATGGTGGCGTGCGCCTGTAATCCCAGCTACTCTGGAGGCTGAGGCAGGAGAATTGCTTGAACCCGGGAGGCAGAGGTTGTGGTGAGCCGAGATTGCGCCACTGCACTCCAGCCTGGGCAACAGAATGAGACTCTGTCTCAAAAAAAAAAAAAAAAAAAGGGCAAAGGGGCTGGGCATGGTGGCTCACACCTGTAATCCCAGCACTTTGGGAGGCTGAGGTGGGTGGATCACTAGGTCATTAGTTCGAGACCAGCCTGGCCAATATGGTGAAACCCCATCTGTACTAAAAATACAAAAATTAGTGGGTGTGGTGGCACGCGCCTGTAGTCCCAGCTACTCGGGAGGCTGAGACAGAAGAATTACTTTAACCCAGGAGGCGGAGATTTCAGAGAGCCAAGATTGTGCCATTGCACTCCAGCCTGGGTGACAGAGTGACACTCTGTCTCAAAAAAAAAAAAAAAAAAAATGGGCAAAGGACTTGAATAGACATTTCTCCAAAGAAGATATTCAAGTGGCCAGTAAGCACATAAAAAGATGCTCAAGGCCAAGCGCAGTGGCTCACACCTGTAATCTTAATACCTTGAAAGGCCAAGGCACAAGGACGAGACCAGAAGTTTGAGACCAGCCTGGGCAACATACCAAGACCCCATGTCTACAAAGAATATATTAGCAGGGCCTGGAGGCACATGCCTATAGTACCAGCTACTTGGGAAGCTGAGACGGGTGGATTGCTTGAGCCCAGTGAGCTATGATTGTGCCACTGCATGCCAGCCTGGCTAGAGTGGTTACTATTTAACAAACAAACAAGCAAACAAACAACTCAGTGATATGGTTTGGCTATGTCCCCATCCAAATTTAATCTTGAATTGTAGTTCTCATAATCTCCATGTATCATGGGAGGGACCCGGCGGGAGGTAATTGAATCATGGGGGCGGTTACCCCCATGCTGTTCTCGTGATAGTGAGTGAGTTCTCGCGAGATCTGATGGTTTTTTTTTTTTTTTTTTTGAGACGGAGTCTCGCTCTGTCGCCCAGACTGGAGTGCAGTGGCGCAATCTCGGCTCACTGCAAGCTCTGTCTTCCGGGTTCATGCCATTCTCCTGCCTCAGCCTCCTGAGTAGCTGGGACTACAGGCGCCCGCCATTACGCCCGGCTAATTTTATTTTATTTTATTTTTAGTAGAGACAGGGTTTCACTGTGTTAGCCAGGATGGTCTGTGTCTCCTGACCTCGTGATCCACCCGCCTCGGCCTCCCAAAGTGCTGGGATTACAAAATGCGTGAGCCACCACGCCCGGCTGATGGTTTTATTAATATAAGGGACTTTAACCCTTTGCTCAGGACTTCTACTTGCTGCTGCCATGTGAAGAAGGACATATTTGCTTCCCCTTTCACCATGATTGTAAGTTTCCTGAGGCCTCCCCAGCCCTGCAGAACTGTAAGTCAATTAAACCTCTTTCCTTAATAAATTACCCAGTCTTGGGCAGTTCTTTATAGCAGCGTGAGAAGGCACTAATACACCCAGAAAATAACAAGTGTTGGTGAGCATGTGGAGGAATTGGAGCCCTTGTGCACTGTTGGTGGGAATTTAACATGGTATATATTAGATGCTATGGAAAATAGTATTTTATTTATTTATCCCTCAAAAAATAAAAAATAGCCATATGGGTACCATGTGACCTAGCAATTCCACTTCTGGGTATATACACAAACAAATTGGAAGCAGGGTAACAAGCAGCCATTTGTACACCCATGACCATAGCAGCATCATCTACAATAGCCAGAAGGTGAGAGTGACCCACATGTCCATCGATGGATGAATAGATAAATAAAATGGGATATATTCATACAATGGAATATTATTCAGCCTTTAAAAGGAAGGAAATTCTGATACATGCTACATCATGGTTTGAGGCTTTTCCTATCCAATTCTGCTTCCTTCCTCATTTGTCTTTCACAGGGGTTACTGCCCCCAACCACCAAAATCTTATTTTGTCTCTGCATCTGCTGCCCAGAGGACCCAACTGACACAAAGTTCAATAATGACTCCTTCTGCAGGATTTGTCCAGCCTGTCTGAAAATAGAAGGCCTAATTTCTCCTTCTTGTCATTCTACATCTTTCTCTCTCTCTCTCTTTTTTTTTTTTTTGAGTTGGAGTTTCACTCTTATTGCCCAGGCTGGAGTGCAGTGGCACCATCTCGGCTCACCTCGACCTCTGCCTTCCGAGTTCAAGCAATTCTCCTGCCTTAGCCTCCCGAGTAGCTGGGATTACAGGCATGCGCCACCATGCCCTGCCAATTTTTGTATTTTTAGTAGAGATGAGGTTTCTCCATGTTGGTCAGGCTGGTCTCGAACTCCCGACCTCGGGTGATCCCCTGCCTCAGCCTCCTTTGTATATGTATGTAAATCTATGTATGCATATCCCAAAGTGCTGGGATTACAAGCATGAGCCACTGCACCCGGACTGTTAAAAAAAACTTCTGACTTTCGTTCTTGATTAAAGCACTCGATTATTTAGCATTTATTAAATATTCACTGTTTAACATTATTCACGCTAACCTGTATTAGGAGGGCTTCCATTTCTTATCTCATTTAATTCTCAGGTGAGTCCTGTGAGATGAGGTGAAAGGAGAGTCTTGAAAGATTAGGTGATGTATCCAAGGTCACATTGTCAGAGGGTGACAGGTAGTTTGTTCAGATCTGGTTTTCACCCCCTTAGAGAGCCCTGCCTTCCTGTCTAGAACCTTCCCTGCCTCCATTATTCTCTATTCCTCTGCCAAATTTTCTATTTCACCATAGCATTTACCGCTGTCTGAAGTCACCATTCTCTGTGTTTATGGAGGACAGAGGGTCTGTCTTACTGACTGCTGTATTCCCAGAACCTAGAACAGAATCCGGCAAAGAGTCATTGAAAGGATGCTTAAACTCACCTTTTTTTTTTTTTTTTTTTTTTTTTTTTGAGACAGTCTCACTCTGTCGCTCAGGCTGGAGTGCAGTGGTGCGATCTCGGCTCACTGCAACCTCTGCCTCCCAGGTTCAAGAGATTCTCCTACCTCAGCCTCCCGAGTAGCCAGAACTACAGGCGCCCACCCCCACGCCTGGCTAATTTTTTTTTGTACTTTTAGTAGAGATGGGGTTTCACCATGTTGGCCAGGCTGGTCTCGAACTCCTGACTTCAGGTGATACACCCTCTTCGGCCTCCCCAGGTGCTGGGATTACAGGCATGAGCCATCCACCGGCTAAGCTCACCTTTAAGGCATGTTTATATTCATTGTTTTAAATAATAGGTCACATTTGAATAACACTCTACAGTTTACAGAAACTGTGTTTCTGCTGGCTGTCACCTCCCTTGGTCATCCTCACAGAAGCCTTTGGGGCAGGCCCAGCACAGGTTACTCCTTCTTCAGGGTCTGCTCAGACTTGCTGGTTCTTCAGCCGGGGATGCCCCCAGTTCTTTGCCTGCATCACTCTCTGCCTCCTTCTATGTCCGTTCCTCAGGAAGGCTGGCCCTGGTCTTGCAGCCCAGGTCAGGAACCCTGCGACATACTCTCTTCTCCCTTTGTAAGTCTCTTTGTGGCCCTAATCACAATGGCAGTGAAATCATTATGCCAGTATTTTATGATAGGCTCCCTGACTAGCCAGTGCTCCACGGGGACAGGGCCTTGTCATGCCTGTATACCTCACACACCCCTCACTGTGCCTGACACAGAGTAGGTGCTCATTAGATGTGTGTGTATTTGTATATGTATGTATATCTATGTATGCATATAAAATGAATTATTTCCAACAAATAGACTAGGAGATCGAAGCTCTATGGTCTCAGCCAGGGGTCCCCAACCCCCTAGGCCATGGACTGGTACCAGTCCATGGCCTGTTAGGAACCTGGCTGCACAGCAGGAGGTGAACATCAGGCATAACTGCCTGAGGTGTACCTCCCATCAGATCAGTGGCGGCATTAGATTCTCGTAGGAATGCGATCCCCATTGTGAACTGTGCGTGTGACGGATCTAGGTTGCCCACTCCTTATGAGAATCTAACTAATGATCTGAGGTGGAACAGTTTAATCCCAAAACCGGCTCCTCCACCCCATCCAAGGAAAAACTGTCTTCCGTGAAACCTGTTCCTGGTGCCAAAAAGGTTGGGGACCACTGGGCTAAGCCACTGGCTTGAAAACTTTTTGTTAGTTACCTATAGTAGAACGTTTATTGTTCATTATGACCCCAGGAATCATACATACACACGTGTACTTCCCCTTACTGTGGACTAAGCCCTGGTATTTTCTATTCTACTCAATTTATTTTATTAAAACATTTTTTAGAGCCTGGCGCCATGGCTCACACCTGTAATCCCAGCACTCTGGGAGGCTGAGGAGGGCAGATCACCTAAGGTCAGGAGTTCGGACCAGCCTGGCCAACATGGTGAAACCCTGTCCCTACTAAAAATACAAAAATTAGCCGGGCTTGGTGGCAGGAATCTGTAATCCCAGCTTCCGGAAGGCTGAGGCAGGAGAATCGCTTGAACCCAGGAGGTGGAGGTTGCAGTGAGCCGAGATTGAGCCGCTGCACTCCAGCCTGGGCAACAGAGCAAGACTCCATCTCGAAAAAATTTTTTTTTTAGTTCCAATCTATTTCATTGATTTCATGACCCACTAACATCTATGGAAGCTTAGCCAATGTGACTTGTTCAAGGTCCCATAACTAGTAGAGTGGTGGAAGCCAGTATTCTCCTGCCTATTACATTCTGGTGGGTTTCTTGCCCTAAGGCAAAACTAAAAGTTTTGTGTCAGTTTTGATAACAAAGGAAAAAATTCATTCTTTTACTTCTCAGTCACAGTTCAGGCAAGGCTGGTCTCACCATCTGCAGGCATTTCAATTAGGTTCATCGAGGTACTTCAGCTTTCTGCAATGTAGCTATCCAGAAGGTTCCTCCTAGAAGCTCCAAAGGGAAAGCTTTAGTCCTAATGGGTGGCACACCCAGACTTGCTGGAATTCTCATCCGAATTACACAAAACATTAACATATGGACAAAGGCACACTGCATATTAAATGATTTACTGGGGTCAAAGATCAAGTCAATGGCAGGCTTAACGTTAACCTGCCGCACGCAGATCCTCAGAGTCTGCTGGGCTAAGACACAGGGAAGCCTTGGCTAGGCTGGGCCCAGCAGCCCGGACCTGGTCAGTCATCAGCAAGTTAATCTACAACGGCACCTTCTTTTCCTACCAGAGGGAGGTTTGACTTGAACTTTTGGAAGACCTGCCTATTTGGAATCCAGATTCCTCTGCTTCAGAGGCTAATTTAGCTGGTGTTGGATGCAGAAGCCTAGAGAAAGCCGAAACTTATTTGTTCTTTTATTCCTGGATTTATAATTTGACCTAATATACTGTACGTCTGTACATATGTTGATCTCAGAAAATGTTTGAGCTTGCCTGCTGCTCAGGCCACGTTGGCAGACAGCTGTTAAAGCCATCAGCAATGTTTGCTTCCAGTTACAAAAGAAAACATTCTCTATTTGGGGCTATGTTGTTGTTTTCTTCTTTCCTGATTTAAAAGGGGAAGTATGTTTCCCAGTAGAGATGTGGGGCTGCCCCCATCCCCTTCTAGGGTTAAGAATGACTAAGAAAACTTTTCAGCACACCTGGCTCATCATCTTTCTAATATTCATACTCTTTTTCTCTCCCTGTGGAAGTATCCTCAGGGGCTTTGGTTTGAAATTATTTGAGCAACTGAGCAGGTTTCTCTCCTTTCCCTGGGGACACCAGTTTATGGTTCAACATCTCCCTCAAACACTGGTGTGTTTTTAGCTAAGAAAGACTCAGGTTTTGTCCCATTATCAGGTGCACTGACAAAATAACTGCTGATGGGAGTAAGAAAACACGAGTAATTCTAACTCCTGCCCAGAACCTTTGAAGGAATGCACAAACTCTGACCTTGCTTTGGTGCTTTGGAGAGACCATCTGGGGAAAACTTCATTTCCAAAAACATATATGAATTTGAGAGTTCCTCTGGCTGAGATGGAGGAAAAGCCATATGGTAAATGGCGGGGTGGGGGAGGGTCACATATGCAAATATTTGTTTCAGAGAAAACAACTCAAATCAGAGTTGTCCATGATACGTCCACCCTTGAATGCCTGACCTGTGCACTGGGGAGGAGGAGGGAAGGAGTAGAGATAAAGGGGAATGAAGAACAGAGAAGCCAGACAATGGCCGGGAAACAGGCCACAAAGGCAGGACACTTGCTGTAGGCTGGAGGTACTGTTGGAAATGTCAGACCGAAGTTCAGGAACCAGCTGGAAGCAAAAGAGGCAGGAAGGTTTGAAAATGAGGAATGGAAGTCTCTGAGGAAAATTTGGCTGCCTAAATGAAAGAGGCTTGGAGAAAAAAAAATGTCAACAAATAGTACCTCAGAGGAATCCAGTGACTATTAGGACCGCTCAAAAATCCATTTTGACTCAAAATTGAAGATGAGATCTGGGCTACTACATGGAAAGGTCTCAACAACCCCAGGATTTCTGGTTAAAGGGCACAGTCAAGTTGAAACTGCAAATCACCAAGCTAAGGTGTTCACTTGAACCACATGACGCCAAGAAATAAGGCTTATAAATGTTATCTTTTTTTTTTTAAATTTCAAATCCCAGCCAGGCACAGTGGCTCACACCTCTAATTCCACTTTGGGAGGCCAAAACAGGAGGAATCCCTTGAGCTCAGGTGTTCAAGACCAGCCTGGGCAACATAACAAGACCCCATCTCTATAAAAAAAAAAAAAAATTTTTCCCAATGAGCCAGGCATGGTGGCATGCACCTGTAGTCCTAGCTACTTGTGAGGCTGAGGTGAGGATTGTTTGAGCTCAGGAGGTGGGGCCTGCATTGAGCTATGATCATGCCACTGCACTCCATCCTGGGTGACAGAGCAAGACCCTGTCTCAAAATAATAATAATAATAAATAAAATAAAATTCAAATCCCAATTGTTCATTGCTGGTATTTAGTATATGACAGAAACTGGCTTTTGTATATTGATCTTGTAACATGGACTCTCTCTCCATTTATTTAGATCTCTGATTTTCTTCACCAGTGTTATGTAGTTTTTCTCATATAGATCCTGTATTTATTTTGTTAGATTTGGGCCTAAGTGGTTTTTGTTTTGTTTTGATTTTTGTTGGTGCTATTGTAAATGGTATTTTTTTTACATTTCAAATTCCAATTGTTCCTTGCTGGTCTTTAGGAAAGCATAAAAAACAAGGCTTTTTTCTTCTTAACTGCCATTCTGAGTTTGTACCCAAAACTACTCCTAGTGAGGGAAAGCTGGGGCAGGATGGGTCAGTAATCACAGCTGTCCCCTTCCCATCTTTCCCTCCCCTTCACTCTGTAAATGTTTGTTTATTTCATTTGACTGAATTGATGTTATGCTAAAGAACAGCCAGGGAGGAGAGGTACTGTTAAGAAACAGGGGAAAATTCTAAGTCCAAGGTTAAGATCACTGGAGAAGAGATGTTTGAACTCTTAGTGTTTGAGACAGAATGGAGGGTGTGGGAAAATTAATAGCAATAGCACAGTGAGAGAGAGAGGGTGTTTCACCAAATGAGGTGGGCACGCTGGGCGAGGTGGCTCATGCCTGTCATCCTAGCACTTCAGGAGGCTGAAATGGGCAGATGGCTTGAGCCTAGGAGTTTGAAACCAGCCTGGGCAACATGGTGACACCTCACCTCTACAAAAAAATACAAAATTAGCTGGGTGTGGTGGTGCGTAACTGTGGTCCCAGTTACTCAGGAGGCTGAGGTGAGAGGATTGCTGAAGTCCAGGAGGCAGATGTTGCAGTGAGCTGAGATTGCACCACTGCACTCCAACCTGGGTGACAAACCCTGTCTCAAAAAAAAAGATGGGGAAATAGACACCTGGTAAATATGATACCTAGGGTTACATGTAACAATCTACAAAAACAGTATATGAATTGAGTTCAAACTCCCATTTTTGGCCCAGAATAATTAGAGTATAAATAAGGTTTTTGTTTTTTATTTTTATTTTTTTAAATAGAGATGGGGGTCTCACTATGTTGCCCAGGCTTGTCCCAAACTCCTGAGCTCAAGCAATCCTCCTGCCTTGGCCTCCCAAAGTGCTAGGATTATAGGCAAGAGCATGGCCTAAGTCATTGCTGTTACTGTTTATGCCAATGCTTGTTTCAGAAAAACAAGAAGATTGCAAATGTGATAGTCTCTGTGCAACTTGGAGTTTGCTGTTGATATGAGGCTTATTGGTTGTGAGAAAGTAGGACTTTCTGTGGGATGAGAAAAAAATGAGAAGATTCACCCTTTTACTCAAGTGCCTGGCAAGTTACCTAGGAAGTAGTGTTCAATAAATGCATATTGAACGAATCTGGAAGTAACTAGGCAACTTTGATCTTAGCATCCAAGTGTGTGATGGTGGGGACAGAGTTGAGTTTAAGCAACTGTTATCAACAGAATCTACAGTAACAGCTAAGTCAGGATTCATTTGGCTTCCAAGAGTTGTTTGTTTGTTTGTTTTTAAGACACTTTTGGCCTGGCATGGTGGCTCAGCCTGTAATCCCAGCACTTCTTTGGTGGGGCAAGGCAGGAGGATTGCTTGAGCCCAGGGGTTCAAGACTAGCCTGGGCAACATAGCAAGATCTCATCACTAAAAAAATAAAAAATTAGCTGGGTATGATGGCACATGCCTGTAGTCCCAGCTACTCAGGAAGCTAAGGTGGGAGGATTGCTTTAGCCTAGGAGGTTGAGATTACAGAGAGCTGTGATCATGCCACTGTACTTCAGCTTGGGTGACAGAGCGAGACCCTGCCTCAAAACAAAAACAAAAACAAAAAATGAAACACACACACAAAGTAAAGAAAAGAAAATAATTTTTTTTTAGAGATAGGGTCTCGCCATATTGCCCAGGCTGGCCTTCAACTCCTGGCCTCATGCATTCCTCCCACATTGGCCTCCCAAAAAAGTGCTGGGATTGCAGCCTGAACCACCATGCCAGGCTGGCTTCTAATAGTTTTTAATGAGACAAAGGGTAGAGCTATACTCTGTACAAAAAGGGTGTTGCTTACTCAGTGACCAAGGAAGCTGAGAGACATGGTTCTGCCTTGGATTGCAGGTGAACTATCTGTGGATTCACACCTTCCCTAAGTCTGAAGAATGTCTGCTGAGCTGTCAGGATGAAATGTGTAGCTGGGAGGTATGCGGGTGTGCTAGAGAACCGAGTAGTGATAGGATGTCCCTCAGAATCTCTTCTAATCAGAATCACCTGTGATTCTTTTGGATTGTGTACAGCTGTACTCCAAGATGCCCTTGAGCTGTGGTGAGAGTTGTGCCCTTTGCTGGAGGGAGTCTAGTTCATGGTGACCACAGGGGGACACCTCCTGGCATGCCAGAGCCACGGCTTGGAGGAGAAGTCCCTGAGCCTTAAGGGGTAGGGACAGAAGGTCACCAAAGAGATAATAAGTGTAGCAGGGGAACCATTTCTAAAAGATCTGCTCTGAGTCACAATTAATTAAGGTGTAGGGGAAAGGGTACCTTCTTACCAAATGCCCAGGTGTCATTCTGGGCCCCAAGAAAATAATTTACACAAGTTTCTCACCTGGAGCGTTTCCCCCAAGAACTGGCATATTGTTTTTGTTCCTTTCATGCCTCCAAAAACACTGAAGAGGTTTCTTTAGGTGGTTACTATACCCAAGAACACCGGCATTTTCTTCTTAGGCAAGGACCTCAAATTCAACCATAATACTACTTTAGAGACTAACAAATGTTCATGAACAGTTAAATACAGAAGGAGGTTTTATGATGTGAGGCCATGAGCATGAACTTTGCAAGCAGTAGATCTGAGTTCAGTTTCCAGTTTTCCTGTACATTAGCCTTGTGTCCTTGGACAAATCACTTGACCTTTCTTAGTCTTCGAGAAATAGGGATGATGAGAATAATAATATCCTTTCTGTTAACTTTACAGGCTACTGTTGTAAGCTAGGAGGTGCTGTGCATTCATTTTAATTATTGTTGGGACAAACTGATATCAGGGCTCTCTGAAAACTGCCTCAGGAGAGAGTCCACTTAGAAGGACTGATGCAAGCCTTATGGACCTACTGACACAGGCAGGTCATGAAGCACAGGGAAAGTGAAAAGGGTCAGCATAAATACTTAGGGCCCGCACAGTGGCTCACGCCAGTAATCCCAGCAATTTGGGAGGCCGAGGCAGGCAGATCACTTGAGGTCAGGAGTCTGAGACTAGCCTGGCCAACATGGTGAAACCCTGTCTCTACTAAAAATACAAAAACAAGCCAGGTGTGGTGGTGTGCTTCTGTAATCTCAGCTACTTGGGAGCCTGAGGCAGGAGAATCCCTTGAATCTGGGAGGCAGATTGCAGTGAGCTGAGATCACACCACTGCACTCAAGCCTGAGCAATAGAGTGAGACTCCGTCTCAAAAATAAATAAATACATAAATACTTAGCATTTCCTATGTGGGAAACATTCTTGATACGGAGGTGGAAAAGTGGGGTTGGGGGAAGAAATAGTAGATAGTAGATAGTTAGCCGGGAGCGGTGGCTCACGCCTGTAATCCTACCACTTTGGGAGGCTGAGGCGGGCGGATCACGAGGTCAGGAGTTCGAGACCAGCCTGGCCAACATAGTGAAACCCCGTCTCTACTAAAAATACAAAAAATTAGCCGGTCATGGTGGCGCGTGCCTGTCATCCCAGGCACTTGGGAGGCTGAGGCAGGGAATCGTTTGAATCCGGGAGTTGGAGGTTGTAGTCAGCCAAGATCTGCCATTGCACTCCAGCCCGCGTGACAGTGCGAGAATCCGTCTTTAAAAAAAAAAATAGATAGTAGAAAGTTTGGCTCCTTGACAGGTCACTTGGAGAAGAAAAATACACTGTAAAAAAGTATAACCAATACTAGGTAGTACTGACCAATGCCAAATCAACGGAATAGCCAGGGAGTGCTTAGGACTGGTGTGGGAAGGCTTTCAAGAGGGATAAAACATATCTGCTTTGATGGATGGGCAGGATTCAGATAAAAGAAGACTTTTCCAGAAAGAGAACAGTTTGGAGCAAAGTTCAGAGGCCAAACAAGACCTTTGTGTTACCTATCAAACACTCAGTATATATCTGACATTGTGCTAGCTTCTTTTACATTCTGTTGTCCAGTTTAACATATACATAATAGTACAACAAATTAGGCTTTGTTATCCCTATTTTACAAATGAAGAAACCGAAGCTCAGCAAGATTCAGTATTTTCCCCAGGGTCCTAATAAAGCAATGGCAGACCCAGGGTTCAAATCCACATAGTCTAACTCCAAGTCCAAAGATTTTTCCAGAATATATGCTGCTTGTTTGGCAAAAAGGAAATAGGTCAGTTTGGATGGAATGGAAGGCTTCATGCTGGGGCAGTCAGGATGCAGAGAGGTCAGGGGAAACCAGAATACTGAGTGCTAGGCAAGACGGTTTGGATTGACCAGGAAGCCCTTGGGTGGCTCAAGCTTTCTGAGTAATAGAAGGACATAACTGAAGTTTGTTCAGGATTCCCAGGTCTAAGGCTTTGTCAGGGCATAAGCTATACCAATTAATAATTAGTTCTGGGCCGGGCATGGTGGCTCACACCTGAAATCCCAGCACTCTGGGAGGCAGAGGTGGAGGCTGGTGGATCATTTGAGGTCAGGAGTTTGAGACCAGCCTTGCCAAAATGGCAAAACCCCGTCTTCACTAAAGATACAAAAATTAGCGGGGTGTGGTGGCGCACTCCTGTAGTCCCAGTGCATGCCTGTAGTCCCAGCTACTTGGGAGGCTGAGGCGGGAGAATCACTTGAACCCGGGAGACAGAGGTTGCATTGAGCCGAGATCGCACCACTATACTCCAGCCCGGGTGACAGAGGGAGACTCCGTCTCAAAAAAAAAAAAATATTAGTTCCAAAAGGAGAAAGCTACTACCCTGTCATTTATTCTGGGATGTTTCCTCCTATTGAACTTATTTTTCAGTTTATTTTCTCAATTGTGTTATTCTTGGGTACTCTTAAATACTTCTGCAACTTCCAGCACAGAGATAGCATCATATTTCAGTAGTGGACAAAGTAAGAAGGATTTAGATTGGTCCTGGATCCAGTAGTGAACTGCAGAGATGAAAGTACTCACACACAGACTATTTTAGCACCCCAAGTACCACTGAATCTAGCCTTCCATTAAGAGGCTCCTACATTCTTTTCCTAAGCTGAAGGTTTCAATGTAGGTCAATGGTGAAAGACAAATTGTTGGAGGACTAACAGACAATGCTCACTCTTTACATTGTGTGTGGGAATTTCTCAGCTGATTCAATAGATGTTTGCTTGGGTGTTAAGCATGTAACAGCAGTAGCAATTCCTTCTGTCCTCCCATCCCTCTTTTAAACTTCATTTTAAAATGGACATTGATTTCAAAACTTTAAAAAAGTTTATGTGCGATGACGCAGCAATATCACTGTTAGGAATTTATAAGCAAATGTAAAGCAAAGTCTAAAATGTGAATATGCAGCACTCTTATAATGCCAAACATTTGGAAACACCTAAGTTTCTAATAATAGGGAATTGGTTGAGTAAGTTATGGTACATCTTATCCAGTGGAATGCTGCACAGCCAATAAAATGACATTGTTGAAGAACATTTTTTTTTTGTTTTGAGACAGAATTTCGCTATTTTTGCCCAGGTTGGAGTGCAATGGCGCCATCTCAGCTCACTGCAACCTCTGCCTCCCCGGTTCAAGCGATTCTCCTGCCTCAGCCTCTTGAGTAGCTGGGATTACAGGCGTGCACCACCATGGCCGGCTAATTTTTGTATTTTTAGTAGAGATGAGGTTTCTCCATGTTGGTCAGGCTGGTCTCAAACTCCTGACCTCAGGTGATCCCCCGCCTCAGCTTCCCAAAGTGCTGGGATCACAGGCTAAAGCCACCGCGCCCAGCCCTGAAGAACACTTAATGATGCAGAAAAATGTTAACATTACGTTAGTCACAGTTTAGGCCATTGTTTGTTTATTTATTTATTTATTTATTTATTTTGAGACAGGGTCTTGCTCTGTTACCCAGGCTGGAGTGCAGCGGCACAATCTCAGCTCACTGCAACCTCCGCCTCCCGGGTTTGAGTGATTCTCCCTCCTCAGCATCCCGTGTAGCTGGGATTACAAGCATGCGCCACCATGACCTGGCTAATTTTTGTATTTTTAGTAGACACTAAGTTTCACCATATTGGCCAGGCTGGTCTCGAACTCCTGACCTCAGGTGATCCACCAGCCTTGGCCTCCCCAAGTGCTGGGATTACAGGCGTGAGCCACTGTGCCCAGCCTCATTGTTTAATTTTTAAAAGTATATAACCACTTCACATACATTATTATAAAAACAAAACATGTGGGCAGGGGGCTCACACCTGTAATCCCAGCACTTTGGAAGGCCAAGGCAGGAGGAGAACTTGAGCTCAGGAGTTTGAGACTAGCCTGGGCAACAAAGTGAGACCTCATCTCTACAAAAAACACAAACATTAGCCAGGTGTGGTGGTGTGTGCCAGTGGTCCCAGCTACATGGGAGGCTGAGGCAGGAGGATCACTTGAGCCCAGGAGGCCGATGCTACAGTGAGACATATATTGCACCACTGCACTCCAGCCTTGGCAATAGAGCGATACCTTGTCTCAAAAACAAAAAACAAAAAAACACAGGGCTTGGTTTGTGACTCACATCTGTAATCCTAGCACTTTGGGAGGCTGAGGCCGGTGAGACCAGCTTGGGCAACATGGCAAAAACACATCTCTACAAAAAATTCAAAAAATTAGCCAGGTGTGGTGGTGTGCACCTGTAGTCCCAGCTACAGGAGGCTGTGGTGGGAGGATCGTTTGAGCCCAGGAAGTTGAGGCTGCAGTGAGCCGTGATCATGCCACTGCACTCCAGCCTGGGTGAGTGAGACCCTGTCTCAAAACAAAACAGGAAAACAGCGTGTTGGCATGGATACGGAGAAATAGAAACCCTTGTATAATGCTGGTGGAAATGTAAAATGGTGCCTCTGCTGTGGAAAACCGTATGGTGGTTTCTCAGAAAATTAAACATATAATTACCATATGATTCAGCAATTCCACTTCCGAGTATGTACACAAAAGAACTGAAAGCAGGGACTCAAACAGCTGTTTGTACGCCAATATTCATAGCAGCATACTTCACAGTAGGCAAAAGGTGGAAAAACCTGAATGTCCATTAACAGATGAATGGATAAACAAAATGTGCTAAATACATACAATGGGGTATTGTTTAGCCTTTAAAGGGATTGATCAGATACATGCTACAACATGGATGAACCTTGAAGACATTATGCTAAGTAAAATAAGCCAAACACAAAAAGACAAACATTGTATGATTTCACTTAAATGAGGTGTCTAAAATAGTCAAATACATAGATACAGAAAGTAGAACAGTGGTTACCAGGGATTGGGGGGTGTGGGGTGGAATAGGGAGTCATTGTTTACTGTGTATAGAACTTCTATCCGGGAGGATGAAAAAGTCCTGGAGATAGATATTAGTGATGGTCATACTAACAATGTGGATGTATTTAATGCTACTGAGCTGTATACTTACAAATGGTGAGAAGGGTAAATTTTATGTTATGTATATTTTACCACAATAAAAAAAATTAATTTTTGTTGTTGTTGAGACAGGGTCTCCCAGGCTGGAGTGCAGTGGCACAATCATGGCCCACTGCAGCCTTGACCTCCTGGGCTCAAGTGATCCTCCCATCTCAGTCACTCGAATATCTGGGACTACAGGTGCATGCCACCACACCCAGCTAATTTTTGTATTTTCTATAAAGACGGGGTTTAGCTATGTTGCCCAGGCTGGTCTTGAACTCCTGGTCTCCACTGGGTCTGGCTTCCTAAAGTGTTGGGATTACAGGCATGAGCCACCACGCCATTCCTTAATTTTTATAGTACATTTTAAATTTAATGTAGTACACTGAAGACTATAAAACATTAATGAAAGAAATTGAAGAAGGTGGCTGGGCACAGTGGCTCATGCCTGTAATCCCAGCACATTGGGAGGCCGAGGAGGGCGGATCACTTGAGGTCAGGAGTTCAAGACCATCCTGCCCAACATGGCGAAACCCTGTCTCTACTAAAAATACAAAAATCAGCCAGGCATGGTGATGTGCACCTGTAATCCCAGCTGCTCGGGAGGGGAGAATTGCTTGAGCCCAGGAGGCAGAGGTTGCAGTGAGCCGAGATCGCACCACTGCACTCCAGCCTGGACGACAGAGCAAGACTCTGTCTCAAAAAAAAGAAATTGAAGAAGACACGAGTAAATGGAAAGATATCCTGTGTTCACAGATTAGAAGAATTAATGTTGTTAAAATGTCCATTTTGGGGCCAGGTGTGGTGGCTCACGCCTGTAATCACAGCACTTTTGGAGGCCGAGGCGGGCAGATCACGAAGTCAGGAGTTCGAGACCAGCCTGGCCAGCGTGGAGAAACCCTGTCTCTACTAAAAATACAAAAAGTTAGTTGGGCATGGTGGCACGTGCCTGTAGTCCCAGCTACTCAGGAGCCTGAGGCAGGAAAATTGCTTAAACCTGGCAGGCAGAGGTTGCAGTGAGCCGAGATTGCGCCACTGCACTCCATCCTGGCAACAGAGCAAGACTCCATCTCAAAAAAAAAAAGTCCATACTACCCAAGTGATCTACAGATTCAATGTAATCCCTATCAATATTCCAATGACATTTTTTACAGAAATAGAACAATCCCGAAATTCATATGGAACCACAAAAGACCCTGAATAACTAAAGCAATCTTGAGCAAAAAGAACAAAGCTGGAGGCACCACCCTACCAGATTTCAAAATCTACTGAAAAGCTATAGTAATCAGCTGGGTGGGGTGGCTCACATCTGGAATCCCAACAATTTGGGAGGCTGAAGCAGAAGGATTGCTTGAGGCCAGGAGTTCGAGACCAGCCTGGGCAACATAGGGAGACCTTGTCTCTACCAAAATAAATAAGATAAGATAAGATAAGATAAGATAAAATAAAATAAAATAAAATAAAATAAAATAAAATAAAATAAAATAAAATAAAAATTAGCCAGGCATGGTGTCACATGCCTGTGGACCCAGCTACTTGGGAAGCTGAAATGGGAGGATCACTTATGCCTGGGAGGTTGAGGCTACAGTGAGCCATGATTTCGCCACTGCACTCCAGCCTGATCAAAAGAGTGAGACCCTGTTTTAAAACAAAACAAAACAAAACAAACAAACAAAACAGACACAGACACATAGACCAATGGAACAGAATAGAGAGCCCAGAAAGAATTCTATACATTTACGGTGAATTGATTTTTATTTATTTATTTACTTACTTATTTTTATACAGATGAGGTCTCGCTATGTTGTCCAGGCTAGTCCCGAACTCCTGGGCTCAAGTGTTCCTGCCTTGGCCTCCCAAAGTGTTGGGATTACAGGCACGGGCCACTGCACCCGGTTCAGTTGATTTTTGACAAAAATGCTAAGAACCACACAATTGGGAAAGGGCAGTCTTTTCAAATAAATGGTGGTGGGAAAACTGAATATCCATATGCAGAAGGATGTAATTAGACCCTCATCTCACACCCTATACAAAAATTAACTCAAAATGGATAGAAGACTTAAACATAAGACTGGAAACTGTAAAACTACTAGAAAAAAATGGGAAAAGCTCTGTGACATGGGTCCGAGCAGTGATTTTTTTGGATATGACCCCAAAAGCACGGGCAACGAAAGCAAAAATGGACAAATTGGATTACATGAGACTAAAAAGCTTCTGCACAGCAAAGAAAACAATCACCAGAGTGATGAAAGACTGTATTTGCAAGCCACACTTCTGATAAAGGGTTAATATCCAAAACATATAAGGAATTTGGCCAGGTGTAGTGGCTCATGGCTGTAATCCCAGCACTTTGAGAGGCCAAGGTAGAAAGATTGCTTGAGCCCAGGAGTTTGAGGCTATAGTAAGCCATGATCATGCCACTGCATTCCAGCCTGGGCAACCCTGTCTCTAAAAAAAAAATTAAACAATTTAAACAAATAAATAAAATATAAAGGAATTCAAATAACTCAATAGTAAGAAAACAAATAACTTGATTCAAAAATGGGAAAATAAGCCCCAATAGACATTTCTCAACAGAAGACATACAAATGGCCAACAGGTATATGAAAAAATGTTCAACATCACTAATCATCAGGGAAATGCAAATTGAAACCACAATGAGATACCACCTCACACCAGTCAGAATGGCCATTATAAGAAAATGAAAGATAATTGTTGGTGAGGATGTAGAAAAGGGAATCTTTGTACACTGTTGGTGGGAATGTAAATTAGTACAACCATTATGGAAAACAGTATGGAGGCTCCTCCTCAGAATTAAAATTGGAACTACCAGCCGGGTGCAGTAGTTGTAATCCCAGTACTTTGGGAGGCCAAGGCAGGAGGATCACCTGAGGTCGGGAGTTCGAGACCAGCCTGATCAACGTGGAGAAACCCTGTCTGTACTAAAAATACAAAAATTAGCCCGGTGTGATAACACTCATCTGTAATCCCAGCTACTCGGGAGGCTGAGGCAGGAGAATCGCTTGAACCCGGGAGGCAGAGGTTGCGGTGAGCCAAGATCACACCATTGCACTCCAGCCTGGGCAAGAAGAGCAAAAACTCTGTCTCAAAAAAAAAAAAAAATTTGAAACTACCATATATCTAGCAACCCCACTACTGGGTATACATCCAAGGATATAAAATCAGCATGTTGAAGAGATATCTGCACCCCCTTCCCGCCCCTGCCCTGTTCACTGAAGCACTATTCACAATAGCCAAGATATGGAATCAACCAAAGTGTCCATCAAAGGATAAATGGATAAAGAAAACGTGGCATATATACACAATGGAATACTATTCAGCCTTAAAAAAGAAGGAAATCCCATCATTTACAGCAACATGGATGAACCTGGATGGCACTATGTTAAGTGAAATAAGCCAGGCACAGAAAGACAAATAACACATGGTCTTACCTATATGTGGAGTCTCCATGAACTCTGAAACAGAGAGTAAAATGGTAGCTTCCAGAGGCAGGGGTTGGGGTGATTGGGGAGATGTTGGTCAAAGGACACAAAATTTCAGTTTGACAGGAGAAATAAGTTCAAGAAATCTATCATACATCATGGTGATTATAGTTAATAACAATATATTGTATACTTGAAAATTACTGGCAGGTGGCTGTAGTCCCAGCTCCTCAGGAGGTTGTGCCACCCACCAAAAAATGGTAAGTATGTAAGGTGATAACACCTGTTAAGTAGCTTGATTTAGCCCTTCTGCAATGAATACAGCAATTAAGACATGTTGTACACCATAAATATTATAATTTTTACTTGCCAAATAAATAAAGTATATATACAAAAGACTATATGGGAGGCTGGATAGTAGTTTTTTTTTCTTTTTACTTATCTTCTGTGTGTTGGTTTTTAAAATCTTTTAAAAATTGTGTTTTGGCAGGGCACGGTGGCTCACGCCTGTAATCCCAGCACTTTGGGAGGCCACGGTAGGCAGACTGCTTGAGCTCAGGAGTTTGAGACCAGTCTGGGCAATATGGTGAAATCTTGTCTCTACAAAAAATAAAAAATTAGCCAGGTGTGGTGGTGTGTGCCTGTAATCCCAGCTACTCAAGAGGCTGAGTTTGGAGTTTCACCTGGGCCCAGGGATGTCGAGGCTGCAAGTGAGCCATGATTGCACCACTGCGCTCCAGCCTTACAGAGCGAGACCCTGTCTCAAAAAAAAAAAAAAAAAGTATGTTTTAATTACATTACATGAGAATTACATAAATACATTTGCCTTATAAAAAAATAAAACATTACTGATAAAATTAAAGTCCTCTTAAATACTTCCCTCAATCCTGTATATCCCTGCATATATATATATCTGAACCCACGAAAATTATATGATTCATTTGTACATATCATTTTAGTAATATTATTTTCAACTTTTTGTTTCTCTCAACGCTATTTATTTTTTCTCTCTTTCTTTTTTTTTTTTTTTTTTTTTTTTGAGACAGGGTCTCACTGTGTCACCTAGGCTGGAGTGCAGTGGTGTGATCTTGGCTCAGTGTAACCTCCACTTCAGGGCTCAAGTGATCCTTCTGACTCAGCCTCCCTAGTAGCTGGGACTACAGGTGCATGCCACCATGCCAGGCTAATTTTTGTATTTTTTTTATAGAGACAGGGTTTCACCATGTTGGCCAGGCTGGTCTCAAACTCCTGGGCTCAAGCAATCTGCCCACCCAGGCCTCCCAAAGTGCTGAGGTTACAGGCATGAGCCACCGTGCCCGGCCTCAACGCTATTTCTTAGACATGTTTTCATGTCATTATTTTCCACTTTTGTGTTCTCTCTTTTTTTTTTTTTTTTTTTTTGAGACAGAGTCTCGCTCTGTTGCGCAGCCTGGAGTGCAATGGCATGATCTCATCTCACTACAACCTCCGCCTCCCAGGTTCAAGTGATTCTCCTGCCTCAGCCTCCTGAGTAGCTGCGATTACAGGCGGCTGC
Organism: Homo sapiens; assembly: GCF_000001405.40. Taxonomy (NCBI): domain Eukaryota; kingdom Metazoa; phylum Chordata; class Mammalia; order Primates; family Hominidae; genus Homo; species Homo sapiens. The sequence goes on along the minus strand of NC_000010.11, from coordinate 101,711,592 downwards.
CACCACGCCCAGCTGATTTTTGTATTCTTAGTAGAGACGAGGTTTCACCATGTTGGCCAGGTTAGTCTCGAACTCCTGACCTCAGGTGATCCGCCCGCCTCAGCCTCCCAAAGTGCTGGGATTATAGGCATGAGCCACTGCACCCAGCTTTTGTGCTCTCTTTTTAATTATTATATTCTTTTAAATTATTACATGTTATTCCATAGATAAATACATTGTCGTTTATTTAGCCAGTTTCCTGCTGATGGGCATTTAGGCTGTTTGCGTTTTATGCTATTATAAATAATGCTGCATGGACACCATTTGTATTTTTTACATTGATCTGAATAAAGTGTGTTACATTTATAGAGAGAAAAAATATTTGTAAATATTTAAAAATATTTGTTTTAATTTGAACTGGAACAAAGGCCATGACTTTAGGTTTAATTCAGCGTGTGTCCCCATCTTTCAAGTGGCCAAGGTTGTCCAAGACACACATAATGCCTTTACACTGTTTATGTGTTAGAACTAAGTGATAACACTTGCCTTCCATCTATTATTTTTTCCCTCACAGAATTCAGAGCAGTATAAATCTGTCAGCTCCCCAACTTTCAGGATCCATAGGAGAACTGAAAAGACCAACCACTGCTACAGATAAGGGATTGAATCTCATTCCTTCTAAAACCTCAAGTCATAGAAACTGAGACCTGGAGAGAGATTTTTCAACCCACAGAGGGACAGGAGGTGATAAAATAGATATCTCAACCCCCATGGCAGATCAGAATTCGTAGCTAGAATTGATATAATTTGATCCCTTGGATACGCAATCACATTCGTTCCTGTCATCACTTGATCTTCAACTCTTACCCTTACACTTGGGATGCTGGAGACAATTAATGAGGAAATCAGCAAATTCCCAGCTACTTCTACTTGGTGCCATGTCATCCTTAACCAAAGGTGCAACTGAGTGTAAAATAAATAAAGTTCTTGTATTTGGTAAAATTAGTTACAACACAAAGGCTCTCTGGTAAAAAAAAAAAAAAAAAAAAACAGAGAAAAAGAAAAAAGGGAAAGAAAACACTCCCCTCCCTTCAGCCTCCCCTCAAGCCTCTAATCTCATCTGTGAAAAAGAACTGTACTTTACTGTCCACAAAACAGTCTATTTTCAAAGTGAGAGGAGAATGGCCCTGTGAGGAAAGCCATCAGTAACTGCAGTTCCCAAATTCCTGCTTGTTTATAGAAAGTAGTGGCGGAGGATAGACACTTTGAAACCACCTGTGAAAGAATTAAAGACCAAGGGGGGCAAACCCCCATCACAAACAGAATCTCACTGATCAAGTGTGAAAGAAAAGGAAGAAAGAAAAAGCCAAGTAGATCTTTGCAGGCAACCACTAGATGGACATAGAATTCAAAAACATTCTTTAGCGAGATCAAGGATGGCAGGCTTTGAAGCCTGGAGAGCTGGCGAGTCTCAGAACGGCCTGGCCGTGGCAAGCCCCGCACCGAAGCGCCCGCAGTCTTGCACTTGCTGGAGTAAAGCATTTAAATTGGAACAATGTCAAATTTCACAGCTATCTTATGTCTAGTGACCTTACGGGACCCCAAGGGGAAGACAGATAAAAAATGATTGTTCTCGACAAGTTCCTGAAAGCAAAGAAGTCAAATAGGCAACCTCTTGAAATGAAATCGCCCACAAACTGTTGCATGCAGGGTGGCCAGCAAACAGGGCTTATTTATTTATTCATCTATTTATTCATTTTACCAAGGACTCATAGCGTGTCCCTTTCTTCATAGAACACACACAAAGATAAAGTCCCATCATCACAGTATATTAATTTAGAAAGAAGGTTATTGTGGGCAAAGAGGAGGTAACAACTATTCTGAATTATTCAATCGATTTGAAACAGGTTTTACTGTTGTTTCAAGAAAGCGAGACATAACTAGTGTCTGACACACAAAAAAACTATACATTACGTGAAAGAACAGTTTATGAGGACAAAGACGAGATCTCAAACTTCTGCTGTGTTTTTTAGACAAGAATTTCAATGACACTTCACATCCCCTAACTATGCCTAAGTGAGTCATCTTAGCTTAATGGCTTTTTTTCTTTTTTAAAAAAATAAACATTACAGAGGTAGCTAAAATTCCCTTTTACTACTACCCTAAATCTCATTTGCCTGCTTCCTTTCCAGAGGCAGCCACTACCATGAGTTTGAGGTGCATAATTCTGTTCTATTTTTTGTACTTCTACGTATATATATATATATATATATATATATATATATATATATATATATACACACATATACATATCCTTAAAGAATTACAATATTGTTTTGTGTTAAATATTTTTGTATATATTGCTCTGAATGTATTTTGCTTATGTCGCTCAACTTGATGTTTTTGCCACCTATCCACATATATGTTTTGTTCCTCTTTTGGACTTAATGTTTTAAAGGAAGAAACCAAGGAGGAAGAGGTTTATTCACACAAGAACAGCTATCTGTACCTATGTTTCCGCCTGTCTCTGATTGGAGACTGAAGTCAGGAGGACTTCTTGGAAGAAGCAAGGAACTGAATTTGGTTTTTGAAAGAGACTGAGAAAATGCTGAGTGTGAATGTTGTGGGGGCATTTCAGAGATACCCCTTACAATAATTCCATAGACTAGGAATTGTGAGATTTGTTGTATGATCTTTCTTTCATTATTTAGTTATAGATTCTATGGCTTTTTAAATATTTAGGTTAGACAAATGTTTTGACTGTGGAAGATACATTTAAAAAGGGATGCTAAACAAATCAAGATTTACTAAAACTGAACAACAGAAATCCTGTAAAACACTATCATTTAAGCCCAACAGGTGGACACACAAACCAATTACAAATCAAAGAGGCTTTGATCCATGGAGTCTTTGGTGTATGCCGAATAAAATACATTCAAAATGTATTTGTAGTGTGAGATAAAGATATAAAGGTCACTTTGTAAGTGCTGCCTATGTTAGTAGTTTTAATTTTACCTTGTCAGTGCCTCTGTGTACAAAACTGAAGAAAGCAAGACTTTGATTTGTTCAGGTTTCCTTAAGGAGGGACACAGAATCCTTGAAGCATGATTTGAAAAAGATGGATAAGATATTCTACCCAAAATTCAACATCACCTTTAATCTTGCCCTCTCCTCCTCTAATCCCTAGGTAATGTTTTGTGCTTCTTTTGCAGAAAAGCAATTTTGTTAATCACTTTAGCACCAATTCTTGCATCCCTGGCAATACTCAGAACTGCTTCCATCCAAGTCTTTGATGTGGGAAAGAAACACACACACACTCTTTCGCATGTAATCTGAAAACAATTCACCTCTTGCCAATGAATGCACAGCACTCCACTTTAATAGAGAGCAAGTTCTGTGGAGGTTTCTAATCCTTTCTGCCAAAGAAGAGAAGAGAGAGAATCACTCAGGTAGCCCAACCTCATTCAGGAGTTAAAATCACTTGGAATGTTTTGTGGTGTGTTTGGGGGTTTTTAGAAATATCACTTGCTGAAGATTACTGCTCTCAGGGGAAATCAAAACAACTCAAGATCAAAAAAAATAAATAAAAAATAAAAATATAAAAAGATTTCCCAACTTAAACAGGATATTCTTCTCAACTTAGATAACTTAATCTAAGTGTATTACAATAAACCTACTTTAATCCCTCAAAGCAATGGTGTTATAGATAAGCGGTAACTGAGGTGGCTTAAATTCCAGAAATGTACAAAAGATTTGGTTAGAAACAAAACTAAAAAAGAAAAAAGCTCAATCAGCATTGCTGTGACTTAAAGAGGTAAATTTAGGGCAGTAAAAATGCAAAGAATGACCGTTATTAAAGAAATACTCATAAAAGTCCAGAATTATCTCAATGCTCTCATTGGCTTTTTATAGTGTCTGTATGTGTGTGTATGTGTTTTGGGTGTGCATGTGTTTGCGTGTGTGTCAGGGTTCTATGAAATTGAAATTTTTTTTACTGATATGTACATATGATAGGGTTCATTTGAAAATTTATTTATTCATTATACTGTGATGTTACAACATGCTGAAGCTTTATTCCATAATTTTTTGTTCTTTTTATAATTTTTGGTTGAGTTATAGTATTTTCTTCCTGTTTAGTCCATTTCCTAACATATCATTGCTTACTTAAATGCAATGAATGAATTTTGTTCTGTTTCCTTCTGTCAATAATTATCCTATTTTCACAATCTGGGTATTAATTTTGATCTACCTTCAGATATCCCAGTTAACACATTGCAAATCCCCACTCTCCCTTCTGCACTGTAGCTCTCTATTGCAAAATAAGGGCAATTTCTTTCATTATGGACTCTTCCATTTACCCAAAACATGCTCTAAAAATGCCCTTTCACTTTTTGGAGAGTCCCCTTAGAGATGAAACGCTTTTCAATAGGTAATACATGCAAATAGTTAATAAACATTTAAAAGGCATAAAATAGTATACAATTGACAAGAAATTCTGTCTCCCATCCACCCAAATTCCCCTCCTTACAGGCAAACACTGGTACTAGGTTTTTGTGTATCTTTATGGAGATATTTGGTGTACATGAGTCAAAGCACACAAATACAGTTTTCCCCTCCACAAATGGCAATATATTATACACACTGTTCTGAATTTTGTTTTTTTCTTCACTTACTGTATATTAGAGATCCTTCTCTAGTGATACATACAGTCTTTCTCATTTTTTTCACAGCTGCTTATTATTCTGTTCTACGGATATTCCATGATTTATTTAAACAGTTTGGGAGACATTTGTTCCCAACACTTCTATTCTCTGTCAGTGTCTTGTTCCTTCTCAGGTTGTTTCTATGACTCTATCTTGGATACTGTTGAATATGTGATTTTATTTATAACATGGAAGACTACTGAAAAATAATTTAAATTTTATTTTCTAAATGTTTTAAAACTTCAAAAAATTGCCAAGAGTGATGTGGGTTTATAGTTTTTAAAAACCAGCATTGTGAAAGCTGTATGATACCAAGACTTTTTTTTTATTTTTATTTTTTGAGACAGGATCTCACTCTGTCACCCACGCTGGAGGGCAATGACACCATCTCTGCTCACTGTAACTTCTGCCTCTCAGGCTCAGACAATCCTCCTACCTTAGCCTCCCAAGTAGCTGGGACTACAGGCTTGGGCCACCATGCCCAGCTAATGTTTGAATTTTTTTTTTTTTTGAGACAGAGTCTCGCTCTGTCACCTGGCTGGAGTGCAGTGGCCCGATCTCGGCTCACTGCAATCCACTTCCTGGGTTCAAGCGATTTTCCTGCCTCAGCCTCCCGAGTAGCTGGGACTACAGGCGTGCACCACCATGCCCAGCTGATTTTTGTATTTTTAGTAGAGACTGGGTTTCACCATGTTGGTCAGGATGGTCTTGATCTCTTGACCTCGTGATCTACCTGCCTCGGCCTCCCAAAATGCTGGGATTACAGGTGTGAGCTACCGTGCCCGGCCTAATTTTTGTATTTTTAGTAGAGATGGGGTTTTGCCATGTTGCCCGGGCTAGTCTTGAACTCCTGGGCTCAAGTGATCCACCCGCCTTGGCCTCTCAAAGGGCTGGGATTATAGATGTGAGCCACCATGTGGAGCCCAAGACTTTCAATTACTTCTTCTCAGTCTCCTCATAGATCCCACTTAGATTGGGTCATGACATAACTGCTTAAACACTTAAAATTCTGTTGTTCATTTATTTCTTATGTGGGCTAACATAAGACACACATAGCATCAATAACTTTCTTCTAATAGCTGATATTAACTTTAATTCTCTTACCCCTGCAAAATATCATTAAATATTATTACTTTACACATCTTTAATTAAACTCCAACATGCTATCTCATACGTGACTAAAGACTCAAATCAGAAAAATTGCAACATCTGGTTGACCTCAATTCTTTTACAGGAGTTAAGCAAGCTATTGGGTCTGACCATTGTGGTTCCTCTCCTATTGTTGTATGGTCCAAGAGATGGAGGTTTCTTTTGTTTGTTTGTTTGTTTGTTTTTTGAGATTTAGTCTCGTTCCATTGCCCAGGCTGGAGTACAGTGGTGTGATGTAGACTCACTGCAACCTCCGCCTTCCGGGTTTAAGCAATTCTCCTGTCTCAGCCTTCCAAGTAGCTGGGACTACAGGAGCCTGCCACCATGCCCAGCTAATTTTTGATTTTTGTTTATTTTTGAGATGGAGTCTTACTCTGTCGCCCAGGCTAGAGTGCAGTGGCGTGATCTCAGCTCACTGCAGACTCCGCCTCCCTGGTTCAAGCGATTCTCCTGCCTCAGTCTCCCAAGTAGCTGGGATTACAGGCGCTCACCACCGCACCTGGCTAATTTTTGTATCTTTTAGTAGAGATGGGGTTTCACCATCTTGGCCAGGCTGGTCTCGAACTCCTGACCTCATGATCCACCCACCTCGACCTCCTAAAGTGCTGGGATTACAGGCATAAGCTACCGCACCCGGCCTAATTTTTGTATTTTTAGTAGAGATGGGGTTTCACCTTGCTGGTCAGGCTGGTCTTGAACCCCTGACCTCAGGTGATCCACCCGCCTTGGCCTCCCAAAGTGCTGGGGTTACAGGTGTGAGTCACCGAGCCCGGCCAGAGATGGAGATCTTGAGAGATTATAAAGGTGCTGGGTTGTGCCACATATCTGCTGAGCTTGGTGCAGTGTAGGGAATGCATGAGCACCTGGTCAAAAATTCCTCTCTACTCATTAGTTGCTGCATAGCATTTACAGACCCACACCCTTGCCAAGAGATAATTTGAGCTCTTAGCTCTGTCTTGCCAGGGCTGATATCGATGTAATTATTGTTTGATTCTACTATAAGACTGAATTCAGTTTCAGCTTTTTAATTTGTCCATTTCACTTCTCATTTATCAGCTTCTATTGCAGATGTGAAGTTTAGCATTTCTTTGCTCACTCTTTTACTGGGAAACTCTTCTAGCGGAAAGCCTGTCATCTGTTGTGAAGGAGAGCTGGTGTTGACTTGAAGCAACAGAGTTGGTGGTCCAGTGGCCATTGTCCTGTGTTAGGAGCAGGTGGTCTCGCTAAGCTCCATGTGTTTGGAAATTTCTCTGACCAGTGCTTGTTCTGCTAAAGGAAGAAGAGCTCAAGCTGCACTCCTTGTTTCCAGGTCAATCTACTGAACCTGGGAAAATCCCCAGGGGCTAGCTTGAACTTCTTCCTGCTTTTCTCTTCATGGTGGATTTTAAACATAGGGGATTTTCCTCATTCATCTATTTGTATTTCAAACAGCTGCTATAAGAAAGGGGAAAAGGCACATTTTATAGTACATATTTTTAGAAGCAGTGACATAGTTTCTCAAAGGATAACAGTTAAATTTTGGTCCAAAGACTATAATTGCTCTTTACTTGGTGGGTGGGTGTGTGTGTATTTTATATATATATATATACATATGTGTGTGTGTGTTGTTTTTGAGTATGTGTGTATACATTTTTTACTAAAGTAAAAAACAAAAAAATTAAGATCTATTCTTATTCCATTCACATTAAAACTTGTGTTTATATTTAACAACTTAACACAATCCACCATCTGTTGAAGATACTGTATGAATGATACTCCAGAAAAGTTGTCCTGTGTGTTTTTCACATTTTTTTCCACATTTTTAACAGGACTTGAAACCTAGGACAATATAAATAAATGATATCCTGTGGTTTCATTCAGTGTAATAAATGTCTCAAATGAAAAAAATTTACTTAAACTTTGGCATTGTTAAATAGTAGTAATAACAATAGAATCAGAAATAAGAATTTTGTATTTAACCTGGCACTTTCTTCCAGAAAAACTAAAGATGCTTGGGAGCAAATTTTTTCTAGAACTTAATTCTCATTATTTTCTTGGAAAAGAACTCATAAGGTCATATTTGTACATATTCTATCTTAGTGGTGACTGATTATTTACTTATACTTTTAAAAAGAACCTAGAATCTGAAGGCAAGGTAAGAAATCCCCAGTGATCATGAAAATTTCACAAGGTTTTGTGGTTCCCTTCATCTTCAAGTTTTTTTTTATCTTCTATCATCTGTTACCAAATGACTCAGTCTTCTGACTGGCAGAGACCAGAAAAATCACAAAACCTTTTTTTTTTTTTTTTTTTTTGGAGAAGGTCTGTCTCCCAGGCTGGAGTGCAGTGGCATGATCTCAACTCACTGCAACCTCCACCTCCCAAGGGTCAAGCGATTCTCCTGCCTCAGCCTCCTGAGTAGCTGGAATTACAGGCGCCTATCACCATGCCCAGATAATTTTTATATTTTTAGTAGAGACGGGGTTTCACCATGTTGGCCAGGCTGGTCTCAAACTCCTGACCTCAAGTGATCTGCCTGCCTTGGCCTCCCAAAGTGCTTGGATTACAGGTGTGAGTCACCACGCCCGGCTTAGAAAAATCACAAAATCTGATGTCACATGGCAATGGCAATACAAGAATTTAATCTTAGATCTGAATGCTGATGGTATGCTCTATATTTTATTCAAAATCTCTTGGAATGTACACTGTTGACACAAAGAAGGCCATTGCCTACTAATAACAGCATTACTAACTGGCAAAACCCCTGGAGATCTGTTTTTTTTCCCCCCAGAAAAATTACATTGTATATTTCTATCCTGCCCACCTGCCCACCTCCTTACTTACTCTACTGTTCATTATAGACATATGGTCCTTAACTTTTGTAGACATAGCTATACATTTACATACCATATATTTAAATGCATACACATATATAATTTATATAAAAATTAGTGATGGGAAATGTCTGTTTTTCTCAGTTATAAAATTAGGACAGTGTCTTGGAATGATGTTATGTGACCCTTTGGAAAACATCTTACAGCTGTTGTCCAGGCTGGAGCATAGTGGCGGGATCATAGCTCATGTAACCTCCAACTCCTGGGCTCCAGTAATCCTCCAGCCTCAGCCTCCTGAGTAGCTGGGATTACAGGTGCCCACTACCACACCTGGCTAATTTTTGTATTTTTTGTAGAGATGGGGTTTCACCATGTTGGCCAGGGTGGTTTTGAACTCCTGACCTCAAGTGATATGCCCTCCTCAGCCCCACAACGTGCTGGGATTACAGGTATGAGCCACCACGCCCATTCTAAGATGAAACTTTAAAAAACTTTTTTAGAACAGTTTTAGATTTACAGAAATATTGTGAAGATAGTAGAGCGTTTCCATAGACCCCTATTATCACATTTTACAATATTATGATTGTTATTATTAACAAACCGATCCAATTTCCTTAGTTTTTATCTAATGTCCTTTTTCTTTTCTGTTCCAGGATCCCATCCAGAATACATTACCTTTAGTCATCATGTCTCCTGTGGCTCTTCTTGGCTGTGACAGTTTCTCAGCTTTCCCAGTTTTAATGAACTTGCCATTTTCATCAGATTGTACCAAGACCTACTATCAATATGACTTATGACTAGTGGTGCTGACCTTGATCACCTGGCTGAGGTAGTTCTTGTCAGGCTTCTCCACTGTCGAGTTGCTCTCCCCATCCCCCTTTTCCATATTGTACTCTTTGAAAGAAAGTCACTATATGCAGCCCTTCCTTAAAAATATTAAAATGAACTAGCTTAATTAAGTTCTTTCTTACATTTAGGTGTAAATACCTCTGAGGTTTTTTTCTTTTAAAAAATGATTATCTATGTAATACATACTCACTGCACAAGACTTTAAAAATGCAAGAAAAGTATAAAGCAGCAGCAAATAGAACTACCCATAATTCCATCTGTCACAAGCAACCATTTCTAGCTTTTTGTCATATTTCCTTCCAGTTTTTTTTCTTCTGCATAAAATAACTATTTTTATTTCTATTTATTTATTTTTTTGAGACAGAGTTTCACTCTGTCACCAGGCTGGAGTGCCGTGGCACAATCTCGGTTCTCTACAACCTCCACCTCCCAGGTTCAAGGGATTCTCCTGCCTCAGCCTCCTGAGTAGCTGGGACTACAGGCGTGCACCACCATGCCCAGCTAATTTTTGTATTTTTAGTAGAGACGGGGTTTCACCATGTTGGCCAGGATGGTCTTGATCTCTTGACCTTGTGATCCACCCGCCTCGGCCTCCCAAAGTGCTGGGATTACAGGCATGAGCCATCGCGCCTGGCCAAAATAACTATTTTTAAATAGCACTTGCTTGAAATTATTTCATAGGTGGTAAAAATATTTTATCTTTGAATATGGCAAAGAAGATGGATTCATATAAAACCAGAGCAGATCTTGGTGGTACTTCAAGATATAAACTACCAACCCAATAGATAATTTCTGAAAATAACATTTTAGAGTCTCTTCCTCTATTTTTGAGAAGCTTGAATATTTACAAATACAGCATTCACTGTGAGACTTCTTGTTTCTTTTCCTTTCTAAGACTTTTAACTTGTTGTTTATTTTACTATTACATGAAACACATTTTATTTTAATTTTTAAAGTTTTAGTGTTTTTTGAGACAAGGTCTCATTCTGTTGCCCAGTTTGGAGTGCAGTGGCATGAACATGGCTCACTGCAGCCTCAACTTTTTGGGCTCAAGTAATCCTCTAGCTTCAGCTTCACGAGTAGCTGGGACTACAGGTATACACCACCACACCTACCTAATTTATTCTTACAGTTTTTAGAGACGGGGGTCTCGCTGTGTTGCCCAGGCTGGTCTTGAACTCCTGGGCTCAAGCAATCTTCCTGCCTCAGCCTCCCAAAGTGCTGGGATTACAGGGATGAGTCACCATACCCAGCCTTATTTAAATAAGGTTTGAGGAAACTTGGGTAGCTGGTTAAAACTCTGGCAATGATCTAGGTTTCAAATCATCAAATTCCTTTTTGCATGGTGTATAGACTCATGACAACTCTTATTTTTTTAAAGACTTTATTTTGTACATGCTTCTTATTAAAAAATTAATACAGAAAAGTACAAAGTAAAATCCCAAAATTCTATCACCTAAAAAAACCATTATTAACATTATTCCACAAACCTTCCCTTTGCATATATACACAGAGAGATAAATTTACACAAAAGGCTCACACATACCATACATAGTTACTAAATGAGGATGAAGCAAAATGAAGAAATTGAAGAAAATGAAGCTGAAACAAAATGAAGGAATTACCAAATTTTAGCTAAATGTTCTTTTGCAAGACACTTTAGTTCCTAACAATCCCTTTGAAGTTTTGAAAAAAGATTATGAAAAGCATTAAGAGTTTGAAAGTCTACATAATTAACTTTTTTTTTTTTTTTTTTTTGAGACAGGGTCTTGCTCTGTTGCCCATGCTGGAGTGCCTTGGTGTGATCATGGCTCACTGCAGCCTTGACCTCCCAGGCTCAACTGGTCCTCCCACTTCAGCCTCCGAAGTAGCTGGGACCACAGATGTGTGTCACCAAGCCCGGCTAATTTTTTAAAATTCTTTTGTAGAGACAGGATCTTCCAGTGTTGCCCAGGCTGGTCTTGAACTCCTGGAGGCTGGTCTTGAACTCCTGGGCTCAAAAACAATCCTCCTACCTCAGGCTTCCAAAGTGCCAGGATTACAGGTGTGAGCCACCGTGGCTGGCTGGAAAACTCTTCTAATAGTGGCTGGCATGTAGTAAGTGCTTATAGTAAATGTAAGCCAATGCTATTATAGAGGAATAATGGTGAGCATCTGGGCCCACGTATGATATTGAAATCTGTCACTCACAAAATAATCTCTTTGTCTCTCATTCATCTCAGAATAATTTTCCTGTTAAATCTACCAGCTCCTGAGGGGCCCTGAGGGTATAACCAATGAGTATGTGGGCACCAATGTAATGAATGTGTGAATAGGTGATTCTGTCATCTGTTTATAAGAATGACCAGAATACAAAATTCTAGCCTTTTTACAATCCTAAACATATACTATGTGCTACCAATAACAGCAACAATCACCATCATGCATGTCACTTACATGTACACACTAACATAAAGAACTTTATATCTCTGCTTTAAAATCCTCTTTAAAAGTAAACTATTAGCCTGGGTAACATGGTGAGACCTTGTCAATGAAATAAAAAAATTAGCCAGGCACCTGTAGGCCCAGCTGCTCTGGGGCTGAAATGGGAGGATTGCTTGAGCCCAGGAGGTCAAGGCTGCAGTGAGCCAAGATCATGCTACTGCACTCCAGCCTAGGTGACAGAGTGAGACGCTGTCTAAAAAAAAAAAAAAGGTAAATTAATGTTAGTGTTTCTAAATACCCACAAAATTATGAAATTTATATTATGTCTTAAGTTTTTTTTTTTGTTTGTTCGTTTTTGAGATGGAATCTCGCTCTGTCACTCAGGCTGATGTGAAGTGGTGCAATCTCAGCTCACTGCAACCTCCGCCTCCTAGGTTTAAATGATTCTCTGGCCTCAGCCTCCTTAGTAGCTGGGACTACAGGTGTGCGGCACCACGCCTGGCTAATTTTGTACTTTTAGTAGAGACAGGGTTTCACCATGTTGGCCAGGCAGACAAGCCTGACCTCAGGTGATCTGCCTGCCTCGGTCTCCCAAAGTGCTGGGATTACAGGCATGAGCCACCACACCCAGCCAATATTGTGTCCACTGTTTTCAGTTTATTAATCTATAAATTAATTTTTTAAATAAAAAAGCTTTATGAAAACAAAGGTAGATTTCACCTCCCTGCCTTATTTCATGATGATTCCTGAATCTGAACTTCAAGGGAGTTGATGACTTTTACTTAAAGATGTTCTGGGCCGGGCGGGGTGGTTCATGCCTGTAATCCCAGCACTTTCAGAGGCCAAGGCGGGTGGATGGTCTGAGATTGGTAGTTCAAGACCAGCCTGGCCAGCATGGTGAAACCTCGTCTGTACTAAAAATACAAAAATTAGCTGGTCGTGGTGGCAGGTGCCTGTAATCCCAGCTACACAGGAAGCTGAGGCAGGAGAATCACTTGAACCCAGGAGGCGGAGGTTTCAGTGAGCCGAGATCTCGCCATTGCACTACAGCCTGGGCAACAGAGTGAGACTCTGCCTCAAAAAAAAAAAGATGGTCAAGTCCACCAAAGTCTTTCTACCTTCCTCTTTTCTGAGTATTAATATATTTATTTTCTTTGATAGAAAAATGCTATTCAGGTCCTTCATGAAGACATGCATTTACTTTTATTACAAACTCATCTTTTCAGCCACATCTTTTCAGTTGCTTTTTTATTTTTGACACTCTATCCCAAAAAAGAATTTTAAAAGTAAATTTTATGATACAATTTTTAAGTTTGGTTACATCCCAAATTGGATTTTTCTTTGTTGGCAGGGAAAGGGAGAGTTGATGAAATATTCTAGCTGCTTCTCTGAGCTAAGGCTAAAGGTTTTCTTCTTTGTTGTTTTCTTTATCACATGTTTGGTAATTTAGGGACACACATCACCACCAAATAACAGATTATATGCCAATTTTCCATTTTGGCTTTGCTTTTTTTCCTGCATAGTGAGTATGTTGACTTTTTTGGAAATCATTACATTACAAATTCTAGGCTAAGAGTTTACCTGATCTCTAGTTTGAATGTGAAAGAGGATGATTTGATGTTTTTTTTTTTTTTTTCTCTCACCCAGGCTGGAGTGCAGTAGCGCGATCTCGGTTCACTGCAAGCTCCGCCTCCCGAGTTCAAGCAATTCTCCTTCCTCAGCCTTCCCAGTAGCTGGCGCCTGTCGCCACGCCCGGCTAATTTTTTTGTATTTTTTAGTAGAGACGGGTTTTCACAGTGTTGTCCAGGCTGGTTTTGAACTCCTGAGCTCAGGCAATCTGCCCGCCTCGGCCTCCCAAAGTGCTAGGATTACAGGCGTGAGCCACCGCGCCCGGCCGCTTTAATGATGCGCCCGGCCGCTTTAATGATGACCGCTAAATGATGCTTTAATTTCTCCATTAATGAGGGCCGGGGGCAGTGGCTCACTCCTGTAATCCCAGCACTTTGGGAGGCTGAGGCGGGCGGATCACGAGGTCAGGAGATCGAGACCATCCTGGCTAACATGGTGAAACCCCGTCTCTACTAAAAATACAAAAAATTAGCTGGGCGTGGTGGCGGGTGCCTGTAGTCCCAGCTACTCGGGAGGCTGAGGCAGGAGAATGGCGTGAACCCGGAAGGCGGAGCTTGCAGTGAGCCGAGATCGCGCCACTGCACTCCAGCCTGGGCAACAGAGTGAGACTTCGTCTCAAAAAAAAAAAAAAAAGAAAAAGGCCGGGCAAGGTGGCTCATGCCTGTAATCCCAGCACTTTGGGAGGCCGAGACAGGCGGATCACGAGGTCAGGAGATCGAGGCCATCCTGGCTAACACTGTGAAACCCCGTCTCTACTAAAAATACAAAACAATTAGCCGGGCATAGTGGCGGGCGCCTGTAGTCCCAGCTACTCGGGAGGCTGAGGCAGGAGAATGGCGTGAACCCGGGTGGTGGAGCTTGCAGTGAGCCGAGATTGCGCCACTGCACTCCAGCCTGGGCGACAGAGCCAGACTCTGTCTCAAAAAAAAATTCTCCATTAATGAAAATAAAGTAAATTACACTTGCATGATTATGGATTTTAATCCTGATTTATGTTGGGTTAAAGAAGTTTTAGTGCCTCCACTAAAAATGAGATAGAATATAGATGAACTACTCAGCTTTACTATGTATCCTGAATGAGTTAAGTACTCAAACAGTAAGAAATTACAAACATCTCTAACACAAATCTAAACACAAAATGCAGGAACCATATTCCTGCTATATCATTTGTCTTCCTTCTTGATTCGCTCATAGTACACAAATGTAGCAAAATCAATAAATATTGAACTCATGACATCACCTAAATGTGAAGTATTCCTGCCTTAGTAGTCTTCTAACAGTATGGTACCTGTGAATAAGTAAATTTCTTTATAATGATCTCTAAAACATGGCTTAAATTCTTTGGCCGCATTGAAATCTATAAAATAGTGCTTTCAATAAACCACTGCCTTGAGTTTGGAAATCGTTTTCTACACAAAGTCTTTGTTGCATTTGGAGAGGGGGAGGGATGGCATTTTTTTGTAACAGGATTTGACCTGTAACTATTATTAAGAATTTTCTTAGAGGAGTTCAAAGCATTTTACAGGGATCATCTCATTTATCCCTCGAAAGTAAGGCAGAGGCATTATCTCCACTACAGATTGAGAACACTAAAAGGCCAAGATAGGTGGGGCTTTTTGTTGTTGTTTTGCTAAGATCAAAAAGTAATTCTAGGGCAAAGCCAGATTCCGGTCTGACCTTGTTACATGATGCTTCTTGCAGCACCATAATACAATGTAGTTGCTTCCCTAGGTTTCTCTTTGGCTATGCTAGGTGTTGAATAATTTTCAGGGTCAATTTTTATTCTTCCCTGCTCCCTGAAAATGAGTGTTAAGATGTAGATAAGTACAAAAGAAAACTCTCCAATCCTTCCTACCTGGATTTGGAGTACAGGATAAACAGACAGAAATTGGCATCTTCCTCCCCTCCTCCAAGTTTTACTGCCTAGCCCAATGCTAATAGAAAAATAACCCGAGCCACAAATGCAAGTCCCATGTATAATTTTAAATTTTCTAGTAGTTACATTAAAATATATTGTATTTAGCCCAATACAGCGTATCCAAAATATTAACACTTCAACACGTAATCAATATAAAATTATTAATGAGATATTTTGCATTCTTTTTTTTGTATGGCTTCAAAATCTGGTGTGCATTTCTCACTTATAGCTCATTTCAATTTGTATTAGCCACATTTCAAATGCTCAGCAGCCACATGTGACGAGGGAGGACACTGTTGGACAGCACAGGTCTAGACCTCAGTAGCTCTCCCTTCAGATTAATGCCATGTGAATCGAATGGGTGGTATGAAGAATGGATGCTGAGTCCTTGGAGAATCCACTTGCACTTGGGTGGTGACTGATAAGAAGCCCTAGCTGTGCCATTTCCTGATACATGACTGTTTTTGAAGTTATGGACTCAGGATCTAGAAGACTGCAAATCCCCAAATACGTCTAACACCCAAGCTCACGCCAGGACCGTGCTTCCGGGCCTGTGTGAGAACCTAAGCTATGGAACCTGTCAACTTCTAGGGCTGCAGATTCGTTGGGCCCTCACATGTGGCCCGTGGAAAGGAGGCATCACTCGAGGAAGAGGAGGGCTTCTAGAGGGGCAAGGCCACCCAACTAGGGGCTTCTTGAGGGCAGGTGCTCCAAATGGCCGCTTCCTGAGGGCAGCGGGTCCTCTTGTGGCCTCAGGCAGGGCCCTGAAACCGGCCTCACGTGTTTGCAGCGCGAACTCCTGTGCTTCCACCAAGCGCTCTCGGGGATGCGGGGGTGGTGTCAGCGCCCCGGCCCCAGCCCGCACCCCGAAGTGGCTCCAAGGCTGCAGGTGTGAGGGGCGTGCCCAGGGCTCGGCCCGCGCCGCCCCATGTGACCCGGTCCGACATGGTGTCGCCTCCTCCCGGGGCGGCGGCGGTGGCGGCTCGGGCTGGGCTCCGCGTCGGGCCGGCCCCGCGGCCGCTCATGGGCAGCCAGGGCCGCTCGGGGCCCCCCGGGAACGGCGGGCCCGGCGAGGGCGAGGGCGGAGAGGCGAGGAAGCTGCAGGAAGGGAGGGTGGCGAGGGGGAAGCGAAGGAAGGGGAAGGGGAAGGGAAAAGCGAGAGCGGGGCAAGGCGGAAGAGGAAGCGGGGCGGAAGGGAAGCCCGGGCCGCAGACGGCGAAGGAGGCAGCCGGGCCGGGGGCTGACGCGGGAGCGAGGGCATGCCCAAGGGAGGAAGCAGAGGGAGGCAGAAGCGTGGAGGAAGGGGCGAGAGGCATCGTCAAGGGAGTCGAGGGGAGCGCAGGGGCCGGGAAGGAGGCACAAGGAAGAGAGTATGGGAAGAAGGAGGAATGGAGGGTCAGGGCTAGGCGGCGGGAGGGCGCCAGGCCGGGAAGAGCACAGGGACGAGGGGGTCAGGCTTGGGCCGACATCGCGGGGACAGGGGTGGCCATGGCGGCGGCGGCCGGGGAGGAGGAGGAGGAGGAGGAGGCGGCTCGGGAGTCGGCTGCCCGCCCGGCCGCGGGGCCTGCGCTCTGGCGCCTGCCGGAGGAGCTGCTGCTGCTCATCTGCTCCTACCTGGACATGCGGGCCCTCGGCCGCCTGGCCCAGGTGTGCCGCTGGCTGCGGCGCTTCACCAGCTGCGATCTGCTCTGGCGCCGGATAGCCCGGGCCTCGCTCAACTCCGGCTTCACGCGGCTCGGCACCGACCTGTAAGCGTCCGCTCGCCCGCCCGCTCCCCGCCCCGAGCCGGCCCCGCGTCCCGGGAAAGGGCGGGGCGCCGCGGCCTGGTCGGCCCAGGGTCGTGTCGCACCCCGAGTTTCTAGGCCTACACCTGACCTCCGCCTACACCCTTTCCCGAGCACTCTCGGGGACCCCTTTGCCCCTCCTCCCCAAGGCCTCCATCTGAGGCAGCCTCCCGAGAGCATCCCTCAGTAGGCACCCTCCCGGGTGGGCCGCTCCTCACAATTAGCCATCTTAGGCACTCCCTACAGCTTTCGATTGTGTGTTTTTGCAGAGGTTTAGCTGCCCCGGTTCCTTCGCCCCAGAGGAGCCAGTCTGGTACGGTGCTTTGGACGATTCCTTGAGTCCAGGTCTAGGACTCAGGTTCCTTAAGTGGTCTATCATAAATTTTTGTGGACTTTCATCTTTCATCCTCCCTACCCTTTTCTAAAGGTTGTTAAGCTTCAGGGCTCGGACCTTAAGAGAAGCCCTCGGTCCCAGTGTTCAGCCATAGTTTATGACTTCATATAGGCAGAGCGACACGAAAAAGGGGGCCTGCTTGAGGCAGGAGGCTGGAGTCTGTCCAGGATGTGTACAAGACATGGTATTGCAATTTGGCCTGTTTTTGGTAGGGTCTGAGACCTGTGAATGAAAAACTTTTCTGAACCACTTAAACTGTTAAATAGGAAGGAAAAAACATGTAGGGAATTGGGGGAATAAGAGCTTTCAGATTGCCCCCTATTCCACCCATTTTTTAAAAAGTAGTTCTTTCTAGTACATTATGACAACATTAAATAACGTTTTTAAAAACATAAAAAGCCATAATACCATCACCTCTAGACAATTATTTTCATTTAAAAACCTTTTCAGTTGCACATATAATTGCTATCTTACTGATCCTAACAGAATAGGTACATAGTAAATGTTTGTGGGCTGTCGCATAATGAGATTAAAGAACATCCCTCTACTATTAAACTTACATGTAGTGTTCAGCTTTTTGTTATTATAGATAATAATGAAATAATGCATTTTTGAGTAACAGCTTTACTGAAATATAAGTCACATGTCATTACCATACATATTTTTTAAAAATCAGTTCCTTAGGATAAAGTCTCAAGGTGGCATTATAGCAAAGGTTATGGTTTGCAGAGGTGCTGTACCAAATTATAGTGGGACCAGCACAGAGTGAACAAATTTTATGTGAGAATTTAGAAAATCTTTGCCACTTTAGTGGTCATTTAAGGTACCAAAGTTGTGTTATTTTGCATCTCTTTTACCACTGGCTGGGATAAATATATTCCCATGTGTTTGTTTCACCTGGGAGACTGTCTCTTCCCACTCTTTGCCCATTTATTACTGGGGTCTTCTTGTTTTTCCTATAAATTTGGAATCTTTGTGGGTCTTAGATGTTAGAATCTAGTCTGTCATCTTTGATCCAGATATTTTTCCCAGTCAATTCATTTTACTTTACTGTTTTACACTTTATTAGGCTCTGCCAGTCTTTTGTGATTTTTTTCTCTTTTTCTCCCCAAAGCTGAGAAATTTATAATTCCTCCACAGACCTGATAAATCTGTTTCCCACTGGTTTTCTTACAAATTTGATTTTTTTTTTTTTTTTTTTTTTGAGACGGAGTTTCACTCTTGTTGCCCGGGCTGGAGTGCAGTGGTGTGCACTCGGCTCACCACCTCCTGGGTTCAAGCGGTTCTCCTGCCTCAGCCTCTTGCGTAGCTGGGATTACAGGCATGCACCACCACACCCAGCTAATTTTGTATTTTTGGTAGAGATAGGGTTTCTCCATCTTGGTCAGGTTGGTCTCGAACTGCCGACCTCAGGTTATCTGCCCACCTCGGCCTCCCAAAGTGCTGGGATTACAGGCATGAGCCATGGCGCCTGGCCTAATTTAATTTTTTAATAGTTAACACTTTCATCAATATCACTTTTGGTGCAAGAGGTGAATTCAACTTACTATTGTTGTCTACAACTTTGTTAAGTAATTCTCTTTTCCTTTGTTTTGGACAGCTTATTTTGCCATATAATAAGTTTATATATATATTATATATAATATACACATGTATATACACATAGACATATATGTGTGTATATTGGATCTATATCTGAACTCTTCATTGTGTGTCACTGATACAGTTTTCCATTTCCATACTATTTTAAATATTGTTACTTTTTGATAGAGTCTAGTAATCTGTCAGGGTAAGATTATCCTGTTGGATTTATGTGTGTGTGTCACTTCTACACTTCTGTTCAACTCTCTGTCAAAAAAAAAAATTCTGTACTTTTTCAAGGACTTTTGTGGTTTTCATGATAAAGTTCTTACATATCTGTTGTTGCACTTACTCCTATGTATTTCCGAAAATGTTATGCATTTCGTTTTTATTGCAAATACACTCTCTTCAGTATGTTTTCTGGCTGGGTATTACTGAATGTAGAAGATTACTCTACTCTTGTAAATTTTGAATTTGATGGTTTTTTATTCTAGGATGATTGTATTCATGATAATGGTTCCTTGGGACTTCTTGGGCATGCAGTCTTGTCACCTGCAGAAATAGTTTTTTATTCTCTTCCTTTCTCATGAGAATAACTCTTTCAAAGAATATTATCAGTTAACCTATAAGAGAAGTCTAAAGTGACTGTAACCCAAGCTAGCTAAGGCAAAGTTTGGCTTTCTCTCTCTTCATATAGAGATTGAGTGAATGAATGAAAGAATTGATGTTTATTTTCAAATGCTCTAAAAGAGAGATATTGGGAATGAATCTACATTCTGTAGCAATAATAACAACAAAAAAAAAGAAAGTGAATTTATGGTGTAAAATGCTTTGAGATTGCCAAATGATATGGCTTTATTATTTATTAGACATGTGTGTTTTGATTTCTCGCCCATGTCCTAGGGTAAGGTGTCCTGGCCTTCTAGGGAAGTTATTTTGCCATAGCACTTGATAAAGAGCAGGGTCACTGCTCGGGTTTTCTGGATTGAGGGAAGAAGTTATGCGTGTTACAGCAGGTGGAGAGAATGTTTACCAGTGTGGTCCGTTTCTGGACAGCTGCAGAGACTTAATAAGCCACTGAGAGAGGTGGTTGTCATCCCTGGAGGGAGAAGGCATGCACCCCAGTCCACTTAGGGAGTCAGCGAACCCGGGCCCAAAGTACAGCAAGAGTATGGCTGCTTGGATAGTGGCAGGGCTGTCGTTCATTGCTTTGGGCTAATTAACTGCAGACTAGATAAGTGAGATGAGTTTTTATCAGCATTACACAAAACTTGATTTGACCAGAAGCCACATAACCTCACTGGCCCTAGGTTTTATTACCTATAAAGAATGGGAATAACCTTGCCTGGTAAAATGAGGCTTAAGTGTAGAATGCTGGCTAGTACAGCATTAAGCACATAGTAAGCACACAATAAATTGTAAAACGGAACTTTTTAATTGTTTGGGTTCTCCTCTAGTTAGTCTGTATATAGCAAAAGTGGGGATGGTTTGACTTAGAGGTGCTGACTAAAGACAAAGGGAAGAACACGCACACACACGCACTGTGCTTCGTTTCTCTCACCTGTCCTGAATGTTTTTGGAAACATGACAGCAGAACCTGTGGACTTATGGCCTGCACTCCGGGACGAAGAGCCTCTTGATTCTCAGAAACACAAACTGCTAAGGTTTACTGACCTTCCGGCCCAGGGCAAGTCCCATTCAGTTTGGCTGTTCCTAACTGATCATAGCTTTGTTGAGTAAGATGAACTGCTTTGGTTCCTTGTGATTTGCTAATGGTCTTATACTTGTGCTTGAAGGCATTCTGGCCACTTTAAAACCACAAACAAATAATTTGCTTCCCTTTAGGCCTCTTGCCCGAACAGTGAACACTAATAGATATCCTAAGCTTACTTTTCTTTTTTTTTTAAAGGGACACAAAGATAGTTGGAGTCAGTCATCTGATTTAAAATCAGTTTTGTTTGGAGATTTTATGAAGCCTGTTGGAATAGAAATATCCTGAATATAACAATAAAAATCAAAGAAATGTTTCATATAGCAGTCTTTCAAATTTTCCCTAAAGAGTAAGAGGACAAACTAACCTAGTTCCGTTTACAAGAACAAGACAGTGGAATTCAGCTGTCACTTGATAATGTAGACTGAATGCAAGAAGTAGACATTATGACAGGGGAAGAACAGGAGCGCTATCTGCAAATTCTGATACTGAAAATTAACAAACGCAAATAATGGAAAGAAAAAGTACATCTGTGCATGTAAAGCTATTTTTAAAAGATTCTATTGCCAGTCTTATGTTAAAGAAAGCTTACTTGATCCTCTTCCTCCCGAATTAAGTGCTACATATTCTCAAATAGGAATTTTATTTTAAATAGCCTTTGAGCAGTACCTGGGTGCTGTCTTGCATTTGCCTATGATAGATTTGCCTGGAATTAACAATAGGTGTTTAGGGAGTGAGGCTCCTGAGGTGTTTGTCCTGGCATGTACATTCATTCCTGTGGAGGGGTCCTGTAGCCTTGGAGCTCTTTGAGGCTGGGGGCCTGGGGTATCTATTTCAGTGATGATTAACGTCCAGAGTGGTGAGATAGACACAGATAAGCAGAGTGTGTTTATTTGTTTTAAAATGATTGTGCCTAAGAGCATTTTCTTGACCCAGAAAGCATATAGTTTCCTAACCAGTTTCCTAACCCTGAATGGAGATGGTATTGCTAACTGGTTACATTTAAGGCCTAAACTGTGATCTTCAGAAAACAATTAACAACTCAAAGTAGCTTAGGCTTTCTCCAGTTTTCTGCCTTACCCAGGGAGGACAGTCACTTATTTGTTCTGTAATTCACGGAATGATTTCGAATATGGATGTATTTATTGTCTTCGGCGTTTGGAAAGGCCTTATTTTTAATGGTTTCTATGAGTTAATAAAATAGAGTTTAGTTTACAGGTTCAAAATAAAACAGTACACCTGTGGAAGCAGGACATGGTCTAGTGCAATCACTACCTCCAAATGCGAACTGGAAGAATGGAAGAAGCCTTCTCTAAGACCATGAGAATACAGAAGCTGTTTATATCCTTTCCAGTCTTGTAAAACTTGAATGGTAGGGGCTGAATTTTCTAGCTTTCAAGGCAGAAACATGGAGAAACCCAATGTCTTCACAGTCTGTGAGATGAGCAATCTGTAGTATGAGTTCATACTGGAATGAGAGCTCTGAAAATATTTCGGTACTCCATACTTTCATTTTTTTTTTTTGCACCTGGAACCTTCATCTAAGGTAAAGATTGTGCTTGAGCTGCTGAAATCCCCAACTGACAGTGAGGTCACTGAGGAAGTATACAGGTTTTTTAAAAAATTATTTTTGAATGTGTGACTTAGAAAAGAATTACGTGTGTGTGACAACTTAACCTTAGCTCTGGGTTGACCCTGGCACTGGATTAGTTTCTGGTCCTGACTTGTAACCATGGAACTGGGAGAAATTTAGGCAGATTCTTATTGAGACCAGGCTCCAAAAATATTTGAAAATTAAGATGAGATCAACTGTTTGAAAAAAAGAGGAGAAAATTGGGTTTTGAATTTTCAGTGAAAATTGGCAGACTCCCTTCTTTGATCTGCAGAAACTGACTTTTGCTAAGCTTCAGAATTTACCTCAGGTGTGTCAACCATGAGTCAAGGTTGAGAATCCAAAGATTTGGTTTACCCTTGAGGAAAGTCCTTCCTATTCAGTAGTCTTGCTCAGATGGAACTCCAATTGTAATCAATTGAATCAAAATGGTTATGGTAATTAAGAATATGTTTATGTACCCTGAATCATGTAAATATTTGAGCTTTCTCTAAAAATGAGTATGAGACTATCTGGAGAAAGAATTTATCTCCTGTTAGAGGTTTGGCTGCCTTGTCTCAATTTTGAGTCATTTCTTCATTTTATCCAAACTGTCCACATTGCCCTCCCTGGAAGTCTGGGCCACCCAATGGGCCCCTGTGCCTGCCGCCCCTCTTTAGCCCACAATTAATTGCCAGCACATTCTTTCTTCTTCCTCTTCTTTTTTGGTATTTGACATGAGCTCAAATTGCTGAGAAAGGTGACAACTGTGAAATGAAGACAGGGCTTGGAGACACCTTAAAAAATACATGCAAAGGCCACTAAATGACAAGAGCAGACTGCCAGGCTCTTTCAAAACATCACCACGTCTGTTGACTTTCCATTCCTTGTCCACAGCACAAAATTGGAGGTCAAAGAATCATAGGAGTTAGAGATGGAAAAGACATTTGGGGTCAGCCAGTTCATTCCTCTGCCTTCTCCTGCCCCTGATTTCAAATCATTCCTTACATTATATTTTCTCCCCCAGCTCTTGTACAGTTTTCACGGTCTTCACTCAACCCTGGCTGTCACCTTTGGGGAATGATGCTGGAGGTTGTCTCCAGTTTCTCCTCAGCAAAGAGAGATATTGCCTGTGCCCCCAGTTGACATTCATGGACTTCTTTGTTGGTGGTCTCAGCTGAGAGGCTGAAGGATAACTGGATGCTTCTCTGTTGCCTGGTGATGGGGTGTTTTTAGACAGAATTGAAGAGCATTTAGTGTATGATGATATTGGGCAAGGGATATTGGGCAAGGGCTGGGGTGTAGGGTAGCCATTGATGAATTTGTTCCTAGACTTTTGTTGTTCAAGTCTCTTGACCTGGAGGGGGATTCGTATTTGTATGAAGTGTGTGGTATTGGGACAGGTGGGCAGGGATGGGAAATTATAGTGAATAGGAGTTTGATAGGAACCCTAACTTGGAGATTGGTAGATTAAACAAATAAGAAATACTGGTCTTGTGAGGTGGTAGAGGATTGTTTTAATAGTTACATGTTAGGGGAGAAATAGAGTGGTGGTTACTGTACAGAAGCTTCAGTTTGGAGTCATATTGAGGAGAACAGATGGGCCGGAAGCAAGTATTTTGGATTAGGGTACGCTGTTGATTTTGTGGTCTCCCCTTGCTTTAAGAAAGTAGAGAAAGAGAAGTCTTATGCTCACTGGCTGTGTGGGTTGGAAGGGGGAATGGTCATTTTTAGAGGCAGCTTTGGAGGGATACCCCCAGCTCTCCTGTCTTTTTCCAGCAGCTGTTGGGAGCAGTCCGAAGGGGGTATTATATTTCTTCTGGTAACTCTGCCAAGAATGAGAGGAAATCCACAATCTGTGGGTTTTGTAGGGGGGATGAGGATGGGGTGGCAGGTGATGGGACAGGGAAATTAAATTGTTTTATAGTAAATATGTTGAGATACTTTTCCTGGAAAGCTGTTTCACTGAAAGGAATGATATTTCCCCTGCTCACTAACCCTGTAATGAGTTCATTCTCCTTAAAGAAAAGGAAATAGTCTTTGAGTACTTCTTTTCCTTTTTTCCCTGTAGTTCCAGCTTTGACCTCCCATGTTTCTTTGAGTTTTCCTTTAGAAAGTCTACATCAAAAAGTTGAATCAAGGTTCAGATATGGGTGGTATGTGTGTTTGTCCCCTCCAGAAGTGAGTTGCTAAGGGAGAACTTCATCCCTTATCTTGGATGCAGTTTGACTTTATCATAATGGCCTAGAAGCTGGAGATGTAAAAACTTGCTGGGTGACGTCTGGTTCATATTCTCCTCATCCCTTCATTCAGGCTGGAAGGTCACCAGGGATTTTGAAGTCTGGTCACTTGGGTTGAGAACCTGTTTTGATGATTAATATAGAACACAGTTTCATGATTAAAAACAATAAAAAACAACCCTGGGAAGCAGAGCAGTGTAATTATTTCTCACATTTCAGATGAGGAGTCTAGGGAAAAGTCATTTTGAAGGTATGAGAACAAAGTCTACCTCTTAGTCTGCTAGTGCCTAATTCATGACTCACTTAGAGGAAGGCCTGTTCACCGCTCCCTGCCCCCCA
This sequence comes from Homo sapiens, assembly GCF_000001405.40. NCBI lineage: Eukaryota > Metazoa > Chordata > Mammalia > Primates > Hominidae > Homo > Homo sapiens. The sequence goes on along the minus strand of NC_000010.11, from coordinate 101,686,488 downwards.
AAAATCCGCATCTTTCTTGCCATTGTTCATTTTTAGAAAGTACTAGATCAGCCTTTCCAAAAGTTGTATTGTGGGATTCTTGAAAAACTAATTCTGTAATCAAATGAGTGGGGAAAATGCTGTGCGCCACATTCCCTCTCTTGGGGATCACAATGTCCATTGGGGATTAAAGGCACTGACAAGTCCTGTGATAGAGGGACCTGTTTACTTTTGTTTCAGCCAGCATCATGCAAAATGTTTTGACCATAAAATTCTTTTTTTCACTGCTAAATATCTCTTTAACATCTTGCAGAACACACATACTGGTCAAGTGCCGTGCAAATACAGAACCTAACCAATGCCAGGAGGAAAAGGATGTGAACACAGCCAAGTTCTGAATCTTAAGCTCATGCACATAAAGGACCCAGGGTTATGCTTAGTGCTTCTGAAACTGTTTAGACATTTTTGACATGTGGGTGCCATGTTAAGATACTTTATCTGCTCAGATTTCTTCCCTTGAGCCTCTCTAGAATAAGAATTTAGAGGCTTTGGTTGAATTCTTGAAGATGTGGTATGTTACACATTTTAAGGAAGGGCCTTTGGAGCTACGGGTGTTGTTCAAAGTGTGACTTGCCAAAGGGAGGACCATGTTTTTGGAAACTCTTGCTTGAGCAGTTCCTAAGCAATGTCTATCAAAATACCTATTATGCTAGGACCATGGTTCTCACTTTTTGTGTTAAAGACATAGTTTTGTATAATGTTAGAATTTTTGATAGTACATTAAAGAATTAAAGGTAAATGTCATTTTTTTTTAAAAAAGCAAGTTTCAGAAAATTGAAGAACCTGTTCGTGATTATTTACACTATTGTTCACCCTCTGGTGTGTTACTGTTTGAACAGTATTGTTTGCAGCCCTGACCTTGTTCTCTTATATCCTTTGAGGTAAAGTTCATATATGTTCCTCTGAACATGCAATCTTTATTTTATTTTCAGCAAATTGTATCATGGGCAATATTTTGGCTTAGTGTCTGATAGAAATCCCTGTAAAATTGTGGATTGTTAGTTGAACAAAAATAAATTCTATATATTGTTTAAAATTTGATGGTGCACTTATTCAGGGTTACTGCTATACCACTTGTCTGCACAGTGATGGTTGAGAGCCACTTTTAGAAGCACAAAGTTGTTTAAGACTTGATCCTGTGGAATTTATGACTAAATTAGCCAAAAAAGATGATGTATAGCTGTGAAAAGCTAGCAATGCCTAGGTGTATGGTAGGTTCCATCTAACAGTTCAGATGGCATGTTTGGAAGAGTCACAGAAGTAGAGGCTTTATCTAGATTTTAAAGAATGGATGAATTTGACTAGTCCCCAGAAGTAGCAGTCAGGGGCAAAGGTAGGCTGGGGCTGGCAGTATAGGTGAAAGTGTGGGTATATGAATGAACGTGGAAGAGATTGGCTTGGTGGGAGTCCAGTTGCATAGTGTGAAGCATGAAAAGTGAGTTGAATGGGTAAAGTGGGTTGACAGCTGGGGGTCTTTCAAGGGAGCTGTGGGTCAGTTCAGTCAGCTCCATGCCCTCTTTGTGCATGGTCTTGTCCTCATGCTGGCATGTTTCCTACAGTTTCCCTTCACTCTGAATTTTGGGGCTATTCTCTGTTCCTTGGCCAAAAGGATAAGCAATTTAACATGATATAAAGATTTTTTATTAATTTTGTTTGAACCTTAATTATAAACCTCTGCTACTGAAGCTATTGGAAGATTCAGGCTAATGCAAGTATAAATGAAAAGTTAGAAGGTTCTTATCTTTGGCTGCTTAAATACTTTACACTAAAGCCAAGTTCTTAGCATTGATAGAAGAACTGGTGAGAACAGGCAATCTGGGGAAAAATCTGGAGAGAAAGAAGATAAGAGAAATCAAGAGATAGTGTTAATATAAAATTCCAAGCCCCAAGGCCTGGTGCTGTGGCTCACACCAGCACTTTGGGAGGCCGAGGCAGGTGGATCATTTGAGGTCAGAAGTTCAAGACCAGCCTGGCCAACATGGTGAAACCCCATCTCTATTAAACATACAAAAATTAGCTGGGTAGGCCAGGCGCAGTGGCTCACGCCTGTAATCCCAGCACTTTGGGAGGCTAAGGCGGGTGGATCACAAGGTCAGGAGATCGAGACTATCCTGGCTAACATGGTGAAACTCTGTCTCTACTAAAATTACAAAAATAAAGTAGCCGGGCATGGTGGCGGGCGCCTGTAGTCCCAGCTCCTTGGGAGGCTGAGGCAGGAGAATGGCGTGAACCTGGGAGGCGGAGGTTGCAGTGAGCCGAGATTGTGCCATTGCACTCCAGCCTGGGCAACAGAGCAAGACTCCATCTAAAATAAAAAATTAGCTGGGTAGGAGTGGCATGTGCCTGTAATCCCAGCTACTTGGGAGGCTGAGGCAGGAGAATCACTTGAGTCTGGGAGGTGGAGGTTGCGTTGAGCCCAGATTGTGCTACTGCACTCCAGCCTGGGTGACACAGTGAGACCCTGTCTCAAAAAAATTAATTAATTAAAATAAAATAAAATTCCAAGCCCCAAGCATTTTGTGTAACCCTGTTTTCCCCTCCTTGGCCTGGTGCCCCTTGACATGGCCTTGTTGTACACTTGGAGACACTTTCCTTTCCTGAGTTTCCTTCCAAATCAGCAGGATGTTATGCTTATGGAAATCATGCCATCCGTGCAGTTGGTCAGCATTGGTGGCTTCCAGGGGAATCAAGCTGTGAGATGGGACAGAGAGGGAAATTGATCTGTGTTCCAGGAGTTTTCTGATCTCAGAGATTATGTTGTTTAAGACCTCTTCGATATACCTACACTTCCCCTTCCTTCCCCCCAGCCAGTTTTCTTCAGACTAGGTTTATTTATTTGCTTTTGGTTTTGGGGTGTGAGCAAGGAGAGGGGAAATGAAAGGTCATTCTAGATAACTGCCTAGATTAATTTCTGTCCCTCTGGACTCACTTGCCAAGATTTGAAGGGGCCAGATAGCTTACTGTGGGTGCATGTTGTGTTGTTTTTGTTTAAAATAGGTCATATGCCCAGGAATGCAAACTCTAATGGTTACTAAGTGCCGGAAAGCTGAGAGAGAAGGGGCCTAGTGGAAAAATGAGCCTGAGGCAAGAGAAGGAGGGCTGGGAAAATGGCAGTTCAGCCAGGCCCACGGGGCCAGGTCCTCTGTGCATTAACATCCACGGAGAGATTTATTTACAGGGCACTAATCATTTTTTTGAGAGGAGCACCCTCACTTTACATTAGTAACCATATGGAGAAATGGCTGGCCAGAGGCCTCTTCAAGGATGGGAGCAAGGGTCCCTGGTGAATTCCAAGGGGTACCTGCTCCTGTCTTCTCAGGTACTTTTCTTCTGCTGCCTTGTTCTCCTGACCCCCTTTGACTGGCAGTGACACGTTCCCACAGGGATGGAGGGATACCTGTTTTCAGAGAAAGGAGATATATTAAAAATTTCTTTGGATTTTTCAGGTGCTGAAGCCAATAAAAATATAGATATGATTTGGCCAACAGCTAGGGAAACTGTAACCATCCAAGATGGTTAGACAAAAGATATGAAAAAGCTGAGTTGTTAAATTGTTTTTAACAAAGTAGAGCTTTTTCAAGTCAAAGCCAAATTGAACTTTTTTTTTTTTTCAAAGTCTAAATTTGAAGGACTACAGCCAAGTGTTTTGATTATGATATTCTTCTTGGGAGAGGATGCCTGCACCTGCTGTTTGGTAGCAGCTTCTAAAGTTCAACTTTGAAAGTTTCTTGGTGCTATGATCAAACCCTCAGGGGAGTATTTTGACCCCTAGTAAAGTGTCACATGGCAGTTAAGTGACCAGGGAGGTGAGAGAAGTGCTGTCTTTATTCCAATTCAGGAAATATATCCATTCTTTTACTTTCGTTTTCTTCCTGCTATGATCCAGAGTACTCCCTTTTTAGTTTCATCACCACTCATTAATTTTAGACCTAATTCAAGAGAAGAGATATAACTGTAAACAGTTTCTTCCTTTATATCTGGGAGGGATTTGCAGATACGAGGAGCAGACAGGGAAGTCTATTTTTTTTTTCATTTAGATTTCAGTTCCTTTGGCCCATCCTGTTAAGTATCTTTTACTGTCCTCAGCAGTAGTCTGGTAGTGTAGGTGGCTCTATAGTGATTTAAAACCAGGGACTACATTCACCCAACAGAATAATTCAGTAAAAGATTTTAGCCTTAACATGTGTATAGCCAAGTCCTAATTGTTCAGCCTGAAAAATAACAAATGTTTGATATTGGAGGAACAATTTCTAATAGTTATAACTAAACTAATTAGAAGAAAAACGAATGATTATTAGAGTCACATTAGTGACAACACCATTAATGGATATTATCTACTACCTATACTTATGTAAAGATAATTAACTTTTTTTGTAGTGATTTATAACATGTATTGTACTTCGTTTTAGGTGTCATTTTAAAAAACAATTGTGTGAAATATTATCCTTATTTTATAGGTGAAGAAATGGATAATTGGAGAAGTTAGTTACCTGGGTTGTATAATTAGTAAGCGGTAGAATTGGGATATAGATCCCAGTTTCCTAAGTCTGCCTTCTGTGCTTTTTCAGTTTTATTTAATCTGCTCTTTAGTTAAAGGTAAATAGGAAGACATAACTGTCAACAATTATGTGATATATTTTCAACAATTGATCACTTAATAAAGCACCATCTATTAACATCTTTAGACCTGTTATTATTATTATTATTATTATTATTATTATTATTATTATTTTGAGACGGAGTCTCGCTCTGTCGCCCAGGCTGGAGTGCAGTGGCGCGATCTCAGCTCACTGCAAGCGCTGCCTCCCGGGTTCATGCCATTCTCCTACCTCAGCCTTCCGAGTAGCTGGGACTACAGGCGCCCGCCACCACGCCTGGCTAATTTTTTGTATTTTTAGTAGAGACGGGGTTTCACTGCGTTAGCCAGGATGGTCTCTGTCTCCTGACCTCGTGATCCGCCTGCCTCGGCCTCCCAAAGTGCTGGGATTACAGGCGTGAGCCACCGCGCCCAGCCTAGACCTGTTAGTATTATTATTATTATTATTATTATTTTTTTTTTTTGAGACGGAGTTTCGCTCTTGTCGCCCAGGCTGGAGTGCAATGGTGTAATCTCGGCTCACTGCAACCTCCACCTGTCAGGTTCAAGCAATTCTCTTGCCTTAGCCTCCCGAGTAGCTGGGATTGCAGACGCCCACTACAACGCCTGGCTAATTTTTGTATTTTTAGTAGAGACAGGGTTTCACCATGTTGGCCAGGCTGGTCTCAAACTCCTGACCTCAGGTGGTCCACCCTCCTTGGCCTCCCAAAGTGCTGGGATCACAGTTGTGAGCCACCAAGCCCAGCCTAGACCTGTTATTTATGGAGACATAATTTTATGTAGTGTCTCCCCACCTCTACCTTTATAAATTTAACTTAGTTTTAAAAATACCATTACTTGCTATAGTTGTTGCCAAAATGTTTTGCAATCCTCACATTTGTCATTTCTAGTGGCAGTATATTCCATTGCATTAGTATACTATTCTCCTCCACAGACAGACCTTCGGGCTATTTCCAGATTTTAGCTCTAATATATAGCTGCAGCTATAAATATCTTTGTAAAAATTTTTTCTTTTGAATTATTTCTTCATGATACAGTGCTCAAAGTAGAAATGCTAGATCATAAGCTGTCATTTAATGACTTTTGTCTTAACAGAATTCCTTTCTGAAAGACTGTACCTGCTGAATGTGCTATAAGCAACATGTAACCAAATCCACACTCTTATATCAAATTAAAGCTAGTGTCAGTTTTTTCTACTTAATAGATGTGAGGTGTACTTTAAAAATTGTTTTAATGTACATGCCTGTAAACTATTCTTGGGGGATGTTTCCTCCAATGTTTTATATTGTGAACACTGTGACTGTCCTTATCCTCTGTTGGACATGGATGATATGGTATTGGAGACAGGGTGTTATCTTGATAGATTTTTATCAGCTCCCTAAAAGTTTTAGAGAGAAAACTTATATCTACAGTGTTAGTTAAAATTTTTCCCCTACTCTGTTGCTTTTAATCTTTTTTCCCTTCCTGTAGCATTTCAAATTTAATAGCATTAAACTCAAATACTTTATAATTGATACATTTCTATTGCTTCAATAGAATAATTTCTATTATCCCCATTTCAATTGGGAAATTATCTCTGCTCTTCATTGAAATATGTATATATTTTGTTTTCTTCTAGTTAAACTTTTAAATTCACCCTCATATTTTTGGAATTTATTATATTGTGGTATGAGATGGCAATCTAAATCAGTTTTTTTCTCTATTGATATTCAACAAGTTTTATCAACAGCATTTATTATTACTATTTTAATCAGTATTTGAATATTACTCAGCCATAAAAAGGAATGAAATAATGACTTTTGTGCAACTTGGATGGAATTGGAGGCCATTATCCTAAATGAAGTAATGCAGGAGTGAAAACCAAATACTACATGTTCTCACTTATAAGTGGGAGCTAAGGCATGGGTACACACAGGCGTACAGAGTGGTGTAATGGACATTGGAGATTCAGAAGGGAGGAAGGTGGGGGGGTAAGTGATAGAAAAATTACCTACTGGGTACAGTGTACGCTATTCAGGTGACTGGCATACTAAAAGTCCAGACTTCATCATTGTACAATTCATCCATGTAACCAAAAACCATTTGTACCCCTAAAGCTATTGAAAGTAAAAAAATTTTAAAAAGGAAAAAGAAAAATTAGAAAATATGTAAAAGCATAAAGGAGAAAATAAAAACACCCAAAGTTGACTATCCACAGTTAACTATGGGTGTTTTATTTTATCCTTCCAGTGTTCTTTCTAGCCATGCATATTCTTATTCCCTCTCTCCTTTCCTTCTCATGAAGTCAACTTGCTATACAAACCCAATAGCACTAATTAAAGTGATTTATTTCCTTAGTTTACAATTTTCTGTTTGTTATATATTAAATTCATATCAGTTTGGGCCATTTCTTGCTTTCTTTTTTTAAAATCAAAGACAGTTGCTTATTGCTTATTTCCAATTGAAAAGAATATACTTTCTAGAAATATAAGAATTATAATTGCTCTTTATGAGCACTTACTGATATGCGTAAGGCATTGGGCAAATGAAAACAGTGCCTGGCATATTGTGAGCACCACATTAAATGTTGGTTAAATAAATTACAATTGGAATAATGATCCAGAGAGATTTATAACATTCTGTATAATTTAAAAATAGTATTCAGCTGGCCAGATGCAGGAGGATTGCTTGAGGCCAGGTGTTGGAGACCAGCCTGGGCCAAGGCAGGAGGATTGCTTGAGGCCAGGTGTTGGAGACCAGCCTGGGCAACATGCATATATACTTATCTACAGTGAATACATAGTTGCCTCTAGAGAGGGAGAGTCTTGGCTAGGGGTTTCGAGAAAGACTCACTTTTCATTGTTAACCTTTCATACTATCTGTGTGTGTGTGTTTTTTTATCCTGTGCATTTACTACTTTATTAACCAAAAATAATTATTCTATATGAATAAATAAGTGAAATAACACCAGGAGGCAGAATATTATTTAGCTAAAAGTGAATTAGGTATCTTCTTTCTGCCTGCCAAAACCATTCTTTCTAACCTGTGTCCATTAGAATCTTGAAAGCTGGACTTGCTTGCTGGCTTTTAGTAAAATTTGGCAAATGTGACGGTATAAGTAGAGGCTCGAATAAATGAGTGTATCTCGCCGGGCGCGGTGGCTCATGCCTGTAATCCCAGCACTTTGGGAGGCTGAGGTGGGTGGATCACGAGGTCAGGAGATCGAGACCATCCTGGCTAACACGGTGAAACCCCGTCTCTACTAAAAACAGTAAAAAAAATTAGCTGGGTGTGGTGGTGGGCACCTGTAATCCCAGCTTCTTAGGAGACTGAGGCAGGAGAGTGATGTGAACCCGAGAGGCGGAGCTTGCAGTGAGCCGAGATCGTGCCACTGCACTCCAGCCTGGGTGACAGAGCGAGACTCCGTCTCAAAAAACAAACAAACAAAAAAGAAATTAGTGTATCTCTCCCTGGCCAGCAAATTTCCAGGCAGACATGGCAGTTATCACTCTTGTCCCAAGCAGTGTACCTTGTATGGGCAGTGGAGCAAGCTAAGGAGACACAGGAGATATATGGGAACCTAAAGTGGAATTTTCAAATTCTTGCTCATGATTTCAAAATTCTCTTCAAAGGCGTACTCTGTAAGGGGCTTAGAGCTCTTCTCCCTATTGCCTATTAACCCATCCCCAAACAGTGCCATTCCTGTAGCTTGTGTGCTCTCTTCTCTTATTGCTGTTAACTCAGCTCACCCAGAAAGTACTATTGACACTCGCCCTCCAATGTTTTGAAGAATTTAAAACTCAGAAAAGTTGAATGAATTGTACCATGAACACTCATATATGCACCACCTAGGTTCTACAATTAATATTTGGCTGTATTTGCTTTATCATGCATTTTAAAATAAGTTACAGATATCAGTACATTTATCCCTAAAGGCTTCAGTGTGCATACATATCATTGACTAGAGTATATTAGTTTATGGGTTTTTTTTTTTAAGAAAAAAATATATACAGTGAATTTATATTTGAGTAAACTGCACAAATCTTGTGTATCATTTGATGTATTTCTTTTCTCTTTTTTTTTTTTTAGAGAGGGAGTCTTATTCTGTTGCCTAGGCTGGAGTGCAGTGGTGGAATCACTGCTCACTGTAACCTCGAATTCCTGGGCTCAAGTGATCCTCCCATCTTGGCCTCCCAAAGTGTTGAGATTACAGTTGTGAGCCACTACATCCTGCACATTTGGTCCATTTCTGACAAATGCATATAAACTTGTATAACCCAAACCCCCTCAAGACTTAAATATAGACTATTACCTCAAAGTTTCCATATGTTCTTTCCTAGTCAGTCTCCATCCCTATCCTGGTAGTAATGACTGTTCTGATTTTTTCATCATAGGTTAGTTGTCTCTCTTCTCAAGCTTCATGTAAATGAAATCATACACTACGATTTCTTTTGTGTAAGATTTATTTCATTCAACATAATGTTTCTGTGATTCATCCACATTATGTTGTGTATCAGTACTTCTTTCCTTTTTTTTGCTGAGTAGTATTCCATTATATGAACCTACCCTAGTGTGTTTATCCACTTTCCTGTTGATGGATGCCTGGGCTGTTTACCACTTTTGGCTATTATGACTGAAATTCCTATGAACATTCTTGTGTAAGTCTTTTTGTTTCTCTAAGGTTATTCCTAGGTCATAGAGTACACATATGTTTAGATTTATAATAAACTGCCAGACCTTTTCCCAAAATGGCTGTACCATTTTGCTTTCCCACCAACAATGTAGGCGAGTTTCTTATTGGTCTTCTAAAAATATATGAACAAATACAAAGAGGACTTCCTCATCACGGTACAAATTCCTGTCAGATATACATTCTGTGAATCTTTTCTCCCAGACGACGGCTTGTGTATTCATTTTGGTGAGCAGATGTTTTGGATTTGATGAAGTCTGATTTACTGGATTTTTATTTTCTGTTATTGCTTTCTGTGTCCTAAGAAATCTATGTCTACCTTCTTAGTCTGAGAGATGTTTTTATATATTTTCTTCTGACAGCTTTATAGTTTTAGATTTTAAGTTTATGATCTGTTTTGAATTACTTTTCCTGTATGGTGTGAGGTAGGGGTCAGGATTCATTTCATTTTTTTTTTTTTTTTTTTTTTTTTCCCAATCTGGACATCCAGTGGTTCCAGGATTGTCATGCATTCTCCATTAGATTGCTTTGGCATCACTGTGAACATTTTTGATAGTTTAAAGGACAGGCTTTTCTCCTTGGCTTTCTTAGTCAAGTATGGAGAGAGAACAGTTACTCCTTCCTGGTCTCCTAATCTCTTTACTTGTATTCTGGATGCTCCTGAATCCTGACTCAGTAAGCCCATGAAATTTTCTGTGGTTGGCAATAAGTTGTAGTGATTGGATTATCTGTTCTGTCTGGACATAGGATGACCAGTGTCCCAGTGAAGGAACGAGTGAAGGTGTCTCAGAACTGGAGACTGGGGCGCTGCCGAGAGGGGATTCTGCTGAAGTGGAGATGCAGGCAAGTAGCCTCTTGACTTTTTAAAAGCTACTTGGGACATAAAAGCATAATGGAAAGTAAAAAATCTGGTCCTACATAGAGGCTAATGGGGCTATCTTGGGTGGGTGGGCACTGGTGAGCCTTTGAATAACACAAAGGGGGCATCAGAAGGACAACTTTTTCACATTTTAAAGAAGGGAATACAAGAAATGTACTTTAACAAATGACTTTTTTTATGATTATAAAGAAATCAATGCTTATTTTAGAAATTTGAAGAAAAAGAAAATTCTAAAGAAGAAAATAAAACTAACCTGTAACTCCACCACTCAGAGGTAACCTCTGTTAACATATGCCATCAAAGGAAATAAATCAAGGTTTCAATTCATCTTATTTTACAAATATTTTTATTTAAATCTTCTACTCTATGGAGTTACTTCTTCATTCTTGGCTTCCCTGAGTCCTCTCCCCTACTTTATTAAAAGGCAGGGTAGGATCTAAAGGTTTGGATATATATGTTACAGGAGTTAGAGCTTAGAGCAAGTATAAGGAAATTTAGAAAATGCCTGTGGCACTGCTAATGCTACCAATTTTTATGCTTCATTGGTGCTAAATGATTTCATAGTTATTATTTGACTCTCTACCAAAAAATTGCTCCTTGTTGATTGGTTGCAGTGGATAGGGAACATCATGATTCCACATTCCAGAGTGACCTGTACCTGTGCTGAAGACACAGGCGGCCCTCTTCATCTGATGAACCTTTCTTTCCTGCTTGCATCCAGTTTGCACTGGTTTCACTGGCATCAGATACTGTGAATAATGTGGTATTGGGTAGTGGTGGTGATGATGGTAAAGAAACTACAGGAGAGAAAGACGGATTTTTATGATGAAGGACTTTACCCTCTGCTTCCCACATTTGCCTTTTGGGGCTAGTTTCAAGCAGTTTGGCAAATAAACACACAGAACAGTTACCAGGCTGCCCTGGGATTCTCCACTGTTCACCTGGCATGAACCTGGTTTCTTGTCCTAGGCAAATGGCTGTTTACCAGATGGCTCTAAACACAAAAATTCCCACCCTCTCTGTTTGCTGCCTACTTGAGTGTGCCACACACTCACGCAAGGGGATATTGAAGAGGAATGTGCATAATGAGTGAGAGAGCAGGCATCTGTACACACTCTACACATGTTCCATGTAATATATGCACACACTTGTAAAAACCTCATGAGCAGAAACTCAGTTACTACAAAGTCTAAGCTGCATTTAATGGCCCGTCAAGTCAATTTGCAGAACTTTTCCACATTCCCATGACACTTGTACGAGTCTGGGGAAGAAACACAGCCCAGTTTACTCAGACAGGCTTGGGAATAGGAGATGGTGGCTGTTCTTGGGGATGAGTCAGCTGTCCCTGTGCTTTTCTTGGGACCTGGTAACTCCAGAACCCCTATGTAGAATAGGACAGGTGGGATGTCCACCTTGGGAAAGGGGCTTAGTTTCCACCAGAGAGCCTAGTATCTGACAGTCTTCTTTCTTCTTAAGTCTCATTCCCTGCCACAGGACTTGTCTGTGGCTTCTAGCCTTTCTTCCTCCTGTCAGATTGCAGAGGGAATCTAACTATTTGTGGATTTCTCTTATCAGTTGCCTGTGAGAGCTGACTTTCTCTGTAGCCCCTGAACTGTAGCAGAATGCTCTGGGGCTGTGTTTTTCCATTGCCACACTTACTCTCTAATACAGAAATGTAGATATCCCTGTGAGGATCTAGGTATCTAATCAGTACATTAGCATCCTTTCCTAAATGGCTTCATTCCTTTCACTTATAAATGACCCCTTAGCTCTAACAGAATAAGGGAATGGGGCTTCCCTAGGTTTATTCTTCTCTTTTCTCCATCACACCTTAACTGATCTATTGCGGAAGAGGTATGTATGGGAATCCTAGAACCTTGAAACTTCCCACTTACACTTCAAATTAATGAGGATGCAGAATGAAAGAAAGTTATTTCACTTGGCTAGAAGATTTCTTTCTTTCTTTTTTTTTTTTTTGAGACAGTCTCCCTCTGTCGCCCAGGCTGGAGTGCAGTGGTGCGATCTCGGCTCACTGCAACCTCCGCCTCCCAGGTTCAAGCGATTCTCCTGCCTCAGCCTCTGGAGTAGCTGGGATTACCGGCGTGTACCACTATGCCTGTCTAATTTTGTATTTTTAGTAGAGACGGGGTTTTATCATGTTGGTCAGGCTGGTCTTGAACTCCTGGCCTCAGGTGATCCACCCACCTTGGCCTCCCAAAGTGCTAGGATTACAGGTGTGAGCCACTGTGCCTGGCTGAAGATTTCTTTTTGACCCTTCTCACCCCTTGACCGTTGAATTTTGTAAGCTCTGCGTACCCATGAGAAGTCTAGGTAGCCAGTAATTGAAATATTAAATATTCTCCAATTAAAAGTGGTATTTAGTTGGTCTTTTAATTTTGAGTCTCTTTTACAAAGTCCAGGGAAGTTTAGATCACCACAAGGCTCAGTTACTCTAGTTTTCTGAGGATAGCTGATGGGCAGGTAATTTTGAAGGAGGGTATCAAGTATAGATAATAAGCCTTGTTGGTTATCCTTACTAAGTTGGGGATTGGTCAGCTTCTTCAAAGATTGGAGTTGAGTTTTCATACTGTATCTTGATGACTTTTAAATTTTCTTTTCCATCATTTCAGTCAGATGCCCTGGATGCAGCTAGAGGATGATTCTCTGTACATATCCCAGGCTAATTTCATCCTGGCCTACCAGTTCCGTCCAGATGGTGCCAGCTTGAATCGTCGGCCTCTGGGAGTCTTTGCTGGGCATGATGAGGACGTTTGCCACTTTGTGCTGGCCAACTCGCATATTGTTAGTGCAGGAGGGTAAGTGCTATAGGTTTCTCCTTCCACCCTTTTCCATCTTATACTTCGGGGACATTCTGCCTGCCTCTGACTTTTCTGTCTTAACTCCAAAGGGATGAGGAGGGAGACCAGAAGGGTTTTCCATTTAAAGCAGAGAGATTTTACCAAAAGGAGTTAATAGGGTTAGCTGGAGAAGGAAAACAGGAAGAGCTTCTAATGAAAAGTGAAGCTGGTTTTGATATTCTCCAGGGGAAAATATATTTTTTCTCTCAGCTCTGTTCAGCCCCAGGTGTGCTGAAGAAGTAAAGGTATCTAGAAAGTCAGCACCTTACTGGGCTGAATTGTCTAATGCTTAGCAAATTTGGATGTCACTGGAGACTTGGGCTGTTTCTGGAGAGTTGTTCTCTTTCTACAGAAAGAATAATTGGTTCTTGGGGGTCGGCTCCTTATTTCTCTCCTAGGGATGGGAAGATTGGCATTCATAAGATTCACAGCACCTTCACTGTCAAGTACTCGGCTCATGAACAGGAGGTGAACTGTGTGGATTGCAAAGGGGGCATCATTGTGAGTGGCTCCAGGGACAGGACGGCCAAGGTGAGGTGGTCTCCCCCTTACATACTATTACTCCCTCCTGTCTATAGGGAGGGGGTGGATAGATCCCTGAGTCTCAGGATTGGCTGAGAGTATCGTCTGGGGACAGGGGAGAAAACGACACAATAAAGGACTCACTTATGTGCCTCTGGCATGCAGCTTGCCATGCCAGGCGTTGTCCCTGCCAGCTGGACTGGGAAAGGAGTGGACAGTGGCTGGGAAGGTTGCCACTCACTTGCAATGTGGCGTGAACTCAAAAACAGAGGACCTGGCAGCCTTTCCTCCCTGAGTTGCGTTTCCTCAAGTTTGTGGGTTGAGTTCTGACCCTAATATTTTATTTTAAAATCTCCCTCCTTTTGCCTGCTCTCTGTTTAGGGAGGTTAATTTTTCACCACCTTGTTTATAAGCAATCAGGCTGATAATTAAAATGTGTTTTCACTGCTTCTCTGGAGAGTGATGTGGTCAGTAAGCAGCAGAGACGATGAGAGAGGGGTGTTGTTTGTTGCATCTTTGCCAAATTGCCCGGTCCACAGATATCCACCAAGGCATAAAAGAAAGTAAGGCTGATAAATAGCATGACACTGGCTTCATGGACTCATCCACATCTGGATCAAATAGGCTTCCACCTGTGAGCAGAGAAGTCTTTCTCCAGGCTTGTGCCCAACAGCCCTAGCCAGGGCCTGCACAGGCCTGGTCCTTTAGGGTTGCTGTGGGAACTTTGCTGACAATTCAGTTGGTGGTGCAGGAGGCCCAATAGTGTCTTGTTATGTATTTCCTAGCATCTAGGTTCCATAGTGCTAACAGGAAAAAAATGCTTGCTGGTGTGTCAGCAAATGGGCCTCTAAAACACATAGGGAGAGGACTCAGGAGAGGGAAATTGCAATCTTTACTCAGTAACTTCTCTGACTGCATGTACCCTCTGGTGATTACACCTCCATATAGAAATATTGCTAATTTATGTAAAAAGAAGGGCTAAATATGTTCCCTTCTTTTTATGGAAGTTTCTCCTCCCTTTACTGTTTTCTGCCTTACTTTGTACTCACACCAGCACAGGAAGCTTGAGAAAAATCCAGCATATCTTTTGAACCAACATGGAAACTGAATTTCCTGTCACTTGCTTCCTATTACCCTACTTCATACTTACTTCAGGCTTCTGATTGGTCACTGTCTTTGTACCATTCCTTGAAAAGATTCTGGCCTAAACCTGTTATACTGCTCAAAAGTCAATTTGCATAGAAACCTTTTGTGGCATGTGTGACCTAGGTACTCCTGTCTTATTCTAGCCATCTTCCTGTCATGGCTTCAGGCTTACTCAAGTTCCTCCTTTTCAGTGACACCTCTTTCTTCTATTCTCTGTGGTCTGACACCCAGAACAGTATAAAACTAAGCTTTATAACCATAGGTAGCAATCTGAGGGCATGGATTACTTACAGTTGACGAAGAATAGCAAGTTTGTTTGAGATACTGGGTTAATTTCATGTTTAAGTACTGATTTAGCCCTATTTAGTATCTTAGATTTTTAAAAAGATCTAAAATAAGTGCTTCCTTCTAAAATTGTCACCACAGTCCATCTTCTTCCTTCTGAGGATTTCTTTTAGGTCAGTGACAGAATTCTCTTCTCTGGTCCTGCAAGCTGGTCAGCTGGTTTGCAGCTCCCCTGTGACTTCTCTGCCAACTCTTCTTTCCTGGCTTTCCGGATGCTGCCTGGGTTTCCCTCCTTTCTGTTGTTGTCTTTGCATCCAGCCACCTTTGTTATCCTGAGCCATTTCTACATTACTATTGTATTCAGTTTGTCTTTTATAACTGAAACATCATTTCTTTTCAGTGGCATCTGAAATTCTACAGCTGCTTCTCCAGGCTTCTAATACACCTGAACCTTCATAAGAATTTGCAGTGATATTTGCCTGTAACCATCTATTTTTGGGGAGTTTCCCAAATATGTACTGTATTTTAGGAAAGAGATTTATTTTATGGGGTAAAGGGAAGTAAAACAATCTCTTTGCAAGACTTCTGAGCTAGGGACTGTCCAAAGAACCCTCTTCCTTCCCCTCCCCACAAGCCCAGTTTCAGGTTTATTGTGACTTAGCTTGGATTGTGTCTCTGGGCTTTAGTGGGGCCAGCCCCATCCTGAGATGTGAACAGCTGGTAGCTTATGTTCTTAATGAGCCTGGGCTGGTACTAACCATTCCTTCATTTCCTTCTTTATTTCTCTGTTCTTTCTTATGAGTGCCTACTGTGTGTGAGGCTTGGTACAGAGGCACCTGGGCTCTTCAGAAGTAAGGGAGATAAAGCCTCTTATCCTTAGGATGAGAAGAGATGTGCGTACCTGGCCAGGGAGCTGATTGGAAGTGGCTAGGACTGTGGAGTATAAAGCTCTAGGGCAAGAGCCAGAAAGTGTAGAGGGTGGAGAGATCAGATCACATCTGGCTTAGAAGGGAAGATTTATTGTAATAAGAATCACCATTATTGTTTGCCTGATACCTGCCAAATACTTTGCTGCTGTGCTAGATGCCTTATACTTATCTCCACTTTTCCACACTATAACCCTGAGATAGGCATCATTTCCCATTTAACACATGTGGACACGGAAGCTAAGAAGTTACCATTAAGATCAAAGATAATAAGTAGCAACTGGGGTTCAAATCCAGATTGATCAGATGCCAAAGCCTATGCATGCTTTCTCTGCAATTGCATGCTGCAGGGAATATTTTACCATTTAGGTTTTTCTTTTGTTTTAGGATTATTTTCTTTAGGATAGATTTTCAGCAACAAAATTACTGAGTTAAAGCCTGTGGTCATTTTAAAAGTTGTGATGCGTATCACCAGTCTGCTTTTTAAAAGAACTGTATAAATGTCCACTCCCGGCCGGGCGCGGTGGCTCACACCTGTAATCCCAGGACTTTGGGAGGCTGAGGCGGGTGGATCATGAGGTCAGGAGATCGAGACCATCCTGGCTAACACAGCAAAACCCTGTGTCTACTAAAAATACAAAAAAATTAGCCAGGCATGGTGGCAGGCGCCTGTAGACCCAGCTACTCGGGAGGCTGAGGCAGGAGAATGGCATGAACCCAGGAGGCGGAGCTTGCAGTGAGCTGATATTGCGCCACTGCACTCCAGCCTGGGCAACAGAGCAAGACTCCATCTCAAAAAAAAAAAAAGTCCACTCCCACTGAATCTTTTCCAGGGATGGATCTGTTTTGAATTTGGCCATGGAGGGCAAAGATAGGATCAGCATATTGTTGTCAACTCTTGTCCCTCAGGTGCCAGGATGGAATCTCATGTTTCTGGAGGGTGATGTGCTGCTGGGCCAAGCCAGGAGGGCCACTTTCCTAAGATCTTGCTCAGAATTGGTGGCATGCTTCCTCAGCCGCTCCTGGAGACCAAGAACCTTGTTCTGTGGTTTGCAGAATCTAGGAATCAACCTTCCCTTTCCGTGGAGGACATTAGTGAATTCAGGCCTAGGCCTTCCCCATAGATTTTGTAATCAGAGTCCTTAGTGTTTCCTCACCCCCTAAGAAAGAATCTGCCTCCCAGGGAGTTTGTGTCAGGGAAAAGGCAAAGCTGTCTTTTTAGCTGGGCTGCCTAAAAGAGTACATTGGAAATGTATCTAGTTATTGCCAAAGAGGACTGACTATGGAGTCCAAAGAGTAGGCCAGAATCATGGCACTCAGGAAAAGTTGTGGTGTTTACCTTTGTTTTCTGCCCCTCCTCATTTAGGATCCTCTTAGTATGTTTATTTTCTTTTCACTGTGTTGGGAAAAGTAACTCACACAATCATCCCATCCCCCACCCCCATCATACACACAAACTCTAAAAAACACTTTCTCCTTTTATAGGGAAGAGTTATCATGTGACTCTTAAGAAGGCAGGACCACCCCTACTCCATCACCTACCCTTTAAACTCAAGGAATGTTTCCTTTAAAGTTCTTCCATCTAAGGTCCTGCCTGAGTTTTGTGTGTTCCCCTTATAGCACTGCTGGGACCTTAAGAGGTCACTGATCCATCTGGCTGCCTCTGGATCCCTCTGTTGCTGCTGTCTTGGGATAGTCCTGTACGTCTGAGATTTCCTTTCTGTTTGGTTAGGGGCTTATGTCCCTGTGTGTGTCATCTAGGGTAGGGTGAAGTGAGGGGGGAGCCCTGTGCTTAATGGGAGATGTCTAAATGCACTGACTGCTGAGAGGGCTCTGTGAGTGTTGATTAGAGTTAAGCCCAGAGTGGCTGCTAATGTACATTCCTGACTGATAGAGACCAGATAATGTGCTCCAAGCAATATTTTTAACCTGTAGGAGATATGGAAGCTTAAAAGAGTTAAGCTTTTCTGCTACTTTTGGTGACACTAGGTGTTAAATTCCCTGCTGACGTGAATAGTATTGGATCCTGGGCATTATCAACAAACAAACAACAACACACCACCTTCCCACTTGGAAGTCTCTCTTCTTCTTCCATTCTTTCCTTCCCTTGCATGTTTCTTTTTACTTCTCTCCCTAATTCTATTGCTGTCCCCCTATACTATGCCTTGATCTTCTTCCCTCTCCCTACTTCTCCAAAGTAAAATCTTGGTGAGAGATGGGAGAAAGGAAAATCCACAAATACAGGAAAGCTGTCAAAAGAGGCAAGCCCCACCCACCCACTTCTTCTCAGTCAAGTCTCCGCTGAGGAATGTGGAACTTCTGATTCCCCAGTGTAAAGTTGGCTGGTAAGTAAGGGCTGTCAGTGGAAGTAAAAGAGGGTAGTTAGGATGGAGAGCTAGGGCCTATCTGCGGGGGTAGGTGAGCCAGAAGCTGCAGGGGCCCCTCTGCTGATACCTGAGCTCTGTGTGTGCAGGGCATAAAGGATTCCCCATTTCTCCACCTCCAACAGTCACCTCTCCCGGAGCACCTCTCCTCCCCACTGATCCCAGGCAATGCCAACGAGAGCATCTCCTCTCCTGTTTCTAGGTGTGGCCTTTGGCCTCAGGCCGGCTGGGGCAGTGCTTACACACCATCCAGACTGAAGACCGAGTCTGGTCCATTGCTATCAGCCCATTACTCAGGTAAGGGAGACATATTTGGATGTGGTTTTGTCCTGTATAATAATGCTTTTATTTTACTAGATCAGGTGAGCTAGAAAATCTTCCTGTTGTGTATTCTAGGTTGCTTTGAGTCACTGTCTTGGAGATTTTTTAATCCTCCAGAGATTTGAGTTATTTAGGCCACTTCATATATGCGTGGGATTGAGATAACCTTCTAAATGCGAATTTCCTAAGCATCTAACCTCAGAAATGTTAAGGAAAGAGTACTATATGAGAATATAACTAAGAGTCCAGCTGTTAGCCAGAAGTGTCCCTTCTGGAACAGTTGTCCTCTGGGGTCATTCTCAAAGCAGAGGCCTCTCACCACCTCTCGGAGGTGACAGCACCAGCCAACCTGCTCTTACAACTCACATGTCTGCTTTGTTCCCCTTGGAAAATGTCCTCTGGAGTATCCCTTACAGTCTTAAGTCATCAGGAGAGGCTTGGGGCCCAGATCCAGCTGGGTCCTCAAACAAAGACATGTATGTGAAGTAGTAACATTGATTATTGTAGCAAAAGTGTGAAATTTTGATGATGGCTTTACTGTACCCTTTGGTCTGATTGTTACTTCTCTTTTTTATTATTATTTATTTTATTTTATATTTAGAAATGGGGTGTTTGGTTTTTTTTTTTTTTTGAGACGGAGTCTCGCTCTGTCACCCAGCCTGGAGTGCAGTGGTGCCATCTCAGCTCACTGCAAGCTCTGCCTCCCAGGTTCACACCATTCCCCTGCCTCAGCCTCCCGAGTAGCTGGGACTACAGGCACCTGCCACCACGCCCAGCTAATTTTTTGTATTTTTAGTAGAGACGGAGTTTCACTGTGTTAGCCAGGATGGTCTCGATCACCTGACCTCGTGATCCGCCTGCCTCGGCCTCCCAAAGTGCTGGGATTACAGTTGTGAGCCACTGTGCCCAGCCCTAGAAATGGGGTGGTTTTTTTTTCATTCTTTTTTTGTTTCTGTTGTTTTTTTGTTTTAGAAATGGGGTGTTTCTATATTGACCAGGCTGGTTTCAAACTCCTGGCCTCAAGTGATCCTCCCATCTTGGCCTCCCAAAGTGCATGAGCCACTGCACCTGGCCCTGACTGTTATATCTCTAACTTTACCTATGGACAAGTGAGGTTTGCATCCCGACTTCTGCTTTCGAGGCTCTCTGGAACCAAGACAGAATCCCTCTCCTCCCCAGCAGAGTACATAGACTCTCCTGTACCTGTTCTATCACAACATTTTCCTAGGATCTTCGTCCACTTCCTTCACCCTACTCACATGGAAATGTGAAAGCTGTAGGGCTGCCACCCTCCAACATTAGGTTTAAGTCAGTTGCTTATTTTATAAGAGACTTGGTCCTACCCACTTCGTTTAGGCCCTTCAGCTTCTTTCTCCTCACCCCATGGAGCCTGCACCCCTCCTCCTACTCCCTTCCACAACTCCCTTTCAATTTTTTTTCTTTCTAAGAATTAGAGCCGATTAGCCACGTCATTAATTCTTCAATTTGACGGCTGATATAGCAGGACCTGAAACACATTGCTGACCCCGGAGAATGGAGACCCCATTCCTTAGCATATTGACGATGAGAGAAGTTAATTAAAATTCCACAGAGCAGAGGTGTCGGCTAACCTATAAACCTGTCGCTGTTCAAAACAAATCATTCTAGCAATCGTAGGAAAGAGGGAAGGAAAGACCAGCAGGGAGTGGAGAGGCTAAGTGTGTGGGAGCGGAGAGTGGAAAATGGAGCCATTGAGCTTTGTCTCCTCCTCAGTTTCTTCCTAATGCTGCCCTTTTAAAAGCCAGTTAGCCAGACCTGGGTATCCGTGGGCTGAATAGAAGGAAAGTGCTATGGCCAGTGAGAAATGACAAGTGTGCTGGTGACTTTGCCTTAATGGTTGCTTGTGGACTTCTGCTGGTTTTGGGAGACTGGAGTGGAGGTGGTGGTAGAGAGAAGCTCTCAGGGCCGGAGATGGTCTGTGCGCTTCCTTCATATGGATTGAAGCCAAAGAACACAAACAGGCTCTGCCCTGCATCCCTACCCAACATTTCTCTATTCCAGCCTCCTCCTCTGGAATGTGTTAGGCTACCTCTTAACAGAATAGGGCACAACAACTATTGAAGATGGTGTCAATAAAAGAGGTTGAGGACAGAGTCTGCCCTCATCATTAAGAAGCATTTAAGATTACAGTAAACTGATTTTGGGTTTTTTGGCCACAACTTGGAGACTGACTTTGGGGAAGGGCCTAGCTTTCTGGCATTATTACTGCTACTACATGACTGCCACTACTACTAGCAGCTAACATTTAGTAGTCATCTGCTCTGTGCCAGACCCTCTGCTAAGGTCTCGATGTGTCTCATCTTTGGTGAAGACCTAGGCCTTATGTTTTCTTCCCATTCATCTTCAGGGTCTTCCTGTCCTCTTCTTGGCCCTGGGATGATTTTTTGAGAGGGGTCTCACAGTGTTACCCAGGCTGGTCTTGAACTCCTGGGCTCAAGCCATCTTCCCACCTCAGCCTTGGGATGATTCTTTCACTCTGTCAGCTCCTGACCAACAGTTTTTAAGATGGTCTTCCCCTAACTCCAGAATTGAGGTCTTGGAGTCTTTTAAAAAATAGTTTGTGTTTGAGATTCTGTCTTTACACTAGATGACCAGAGTGTATGCCGGTGTTATCTCTGCCTCTTTTTCTCTTACCCAAAGAATATACTGGGATAGGGTCTTTTTACCTCATTATTAGATCCATTTCTTCTCAATGTGACCTTGAATTTGAACCTTTCAATAAACTCAGCCATTTTCTCAGTCTTGAGAGACACTGCCTCCCAGCCTCAGGGTCTGTTCTTTAAAGCAGTCTGGGAGATGAGTTCTGTTTTGCCTTCAACTAGCAGTGTGGCCTCAGGCAAGTCATTCCCGCTCCCAGCCTCAGTTTCGTCATATTAAATATGAATACTATTTCCTTTACAGACCTTACTAGAATATTGTGAAGATGACCTGAAATAATCTATATGAAAATATTAATACTCTGAAAAGCTAAAAGGGCTGTAATATATGTGTTATGCATATTGAGACAGGGTTTCACTTTATCACCCATGCTGATTATGAACTCCTGGCCTCAAGTGATCCTCAAAAAGGGCTATAATGTAATGTCAACCAGAATCCTTTCTTGCCTGGTGTAGCATTTGCTTAGTGGCTTCAACTGCTGTCAAGTCTGTACCCTTTTCCTGGGCTCCTTCTGGCCCCAGGAAGTTTCCCTGCTCTTTTGCAGTCTTCTTGAGGTGGGGACTCAGTAGGAATCTCTCTTCCCCCTGTAGTGTTCCTGCCCTCAATGACCACCTTCAGTTCCCCTCCCTGCCACCATTCCTGTTGAGTATGGTTGTCAGTGTCACTAATATGATATGACCCTGGACTCCTCATGGAAAATATGAGGGGATGTGGCAGCCAGTGTACTGGCCCTAGGGCAGGTACTCCTGGTTTACCTGCCAATTTCTCAACCCTTTGTTGCTCCCTTATGCAGTTAGGAGGAACCTGGACAGTTAGGAGACCTAGCACAGCTCTTTTCTCAATTTATCTCTTTCTTCTATTTAAAATAATTTGTCAGATATATTAATCTTATTTATCTCTGATGCTGGGACTTTTCTACCTTATCTTCTTATGTATGTACTCAGGCACTTGTATGAAACATGAAACCTCAATCCAGAGGCTTAATTTGAGGTCCTCACGACTGAGAGAAAGCAAGTATCTGTCTGTGTTCAAATGTCTTCTTTCCTTTCTTACTTTACTTTGAGTTCTTGATTTGTAAAGAGTCATGGAGGATCATATTTAGTACTGGTTATGTGCTTAGAGCCATGTGTAGTCAGTCAAAAAACACAGAAGGAGAACCAGCAGGCTCCAAAGGAAAGTGGCAGGCAAGGACCTTTTCTTCTGCCTCTCGCATACCCTTCTACCCATCTTATTGTTCAACACCGGTAATCCTGTTTTTAAGATTCATGACCTGGAAAAGAAGCCCTTCTCCTGTAGAGGAGGTCTCACCTGGAGTTGTTGGATGATTGATAGAAGGACAGGTTAAGATGGCCCAGGAATGAGATGCTGGAGGCGTGCCTGGGGTGGAGGGGCATATGTCTGAGTATAATTATGGGGCAGGAATACCTTCAGCTCACAGGCCTCAGAGATACAACCTCCTGAGGTCACATGGAATTCTGAGCAACTTCCCAAGAGTAACACAGAAGGGCAGACTCTTTTTTTTTTTTTTGAGACAGGGTCTTGCCTGGAGTGCAGTGGCACAATTATATATCACTTGAACTATTGGGTTCAAGTGATCCTCCCACCTTGGCCTTCTGAAGTTCTGAGATTACAGGTGTGAGCAGCTATGCCTGGCCAAAAAGCAGATTTTAAAAAATGTGTAATATGTTTTATTGCCATTTAAAAATTATTTCCAGCTGAATACAGTAAATACTAAAGTATGAGGAAATGTAGAAATACTAAACACTTAACTTCATTCCCTTTGACTTTCCATCTCTTCCCTTCTCACCCTTTCACCTCACTCCTTGTGTATTTACTGAACACTTGATACGTGTCAGCTTCCCCAAGGATCTTATTCAGTGGTGGGGAGATGATAGGCACATGGCTGTAATGATTGCCAGATTATACTAAGTGCCTTAACCTAGGCTGTCCCTGGTTGGGGAGGAAGGGGGAGTGTCATTCTCTTCTGGGGAAAGGCAAAAATTGAGGCCCAGGGAAGATCAATGCAGGGCCACATGTGGAATGGGGCAGAAGAGGAGTAGTTTGTACCCAGTTCCCTAGCCTGTTCCCATGTCCTGTGTGCTGAGGGACAAGCAGGCCTTTTGTCATTGCTGTGCCTTATTCACCAGCATCTTGGATGGTAGCTGTGGCCCATAAAAGGCTCTGTGGGGACCTGTGAACATTCTCTCTTCCTGAAGGCCAGAGTTGAGACAGGGAGTGGTGGGAGAAGGCAGCATATGATTGAGGCTTGGGCTCACTCAGGTAGCTGTGAATGCTTGCACCATTCCAGGAGTGTGAATGCATATAGATCTTCAGCTTTCAGGGTCCCCTCCAAGCCACCCATGGGGGGCATGTGGTGAAGTGAATCTACAGATCTACATACCCTGTTTGCCTGGGAGGGGAAGGGAGAGGCGCCCACAGCTCCTCGTCCCTCTGCAGACACCATATGTATTGCCCTCCAAGAAAAAAAAGGTGCTTAGCAAAACCCTTTCCCTGTCTCCAAAGGACACTTGCTATCGTGTGAGAGAGTGTGGTCAGGAAGGCTTCCCATGACACTTGGGTTTTAATCCCTTCTCTCCCGCTTCTGTCATTAGGGAAATATATGAGTGGTATAGGTGTAGAAACTTGACTTAGCTGTGTTATTAAATATACAATATAATTTTGTGTAACTTTGCTTGCTGTGGTGGCCTGTTTGTTTTTGAGGGGATTAGTCCAAGTCTGCATGAAATGTACCGATTCAAATTTGTAAAGTGAGTTGCAGCCTCTGGGGGGTTTTGATGGAGGAGCTGCCCCTTCTTGCTTCATTTCTCCCAGAGGTGAGGGAGCGTCTGGAAGGAAAGCAATCACTGTGTACTGTTCGGTAAGCGGGTGGGTTTTGGGGAAAGGAGGGTGTTTGTTCCCAGTAGCTACAGGGTTTACTGTGTGTTGTGTGTGTGGTAGATGCATATTCAGCGGCCTGTTGAAATACATCTTTCTTTAGTGAAAGGTAATTGCATCTGGAGTTTTCTCTGACAGAGAGGTTTGAAAGATTGGAAAAGGAGGCAGCCAACTTGCAGTTCAGATTCTTTTGGTTGCCAGTGGTGCTGCAGTCCTTTGGCCCTGGACTTCATAACTCGCTGAGTACTTCTAGGGGAAGAAGAATCAAAAGTAAAGATTGTGCCTCTGAGTTTTTCTTTTTCTGGCTGGCTGTGGACAGCTGGGTGTAAAGGGGATGCTTGACCTTGATAACTCGAGGAAAAACTCAGGTGGATGACTATAGTGCTCTGCATTGTAGCTGGTCCTCCTGATGGCGTGGACTGTAGCTGACTTGGGGACCTCTCTCTTCTCCTTTCCCAGGGTCAGGGGCAGAGTGGGTAGTTTCTTCTGGGTCTTGTCTAGGGAAAGAAGACCTGAAGAGCTAGTCAAAGAGTGGCTTGGTGTCCCCCTTTGCGAAACTGCAGAGTAGAGAAGGGAGCTTCTTGCCTGTGGTGCCCTGGATGAGAGAGTTGCAGGGACAAAGACACCATGGAGGGCCCAGGGCTGGCATGGCTAGAAGGGGCGTCATGACACCCGGAGAAAGATGGAAGCTCCAGGTAATTCTAGGTGGGCCCACTGGTTCAACTGGCAGCAAGCTAAAATTGGAAAGGGATCAGTGTGGGGATGTCATTGATTTGGAGTCAGGTCCTGCTAAATCTCAGTACAGTGCCCTCCACCCTGGAGTTCATTGCCCATGCATATGCAAGCCTCTCAGACAGTCATATCCATCAGTAGCAAGGACCAAATACCACAGGGGTGGGTTTCAATTCCTCAAGACCCTGGATTTCTGCCATTACCCAGGGCAGGATAGGCACAGGGAGGCTCATGTGCTGAGCTGCTGGGCTGAGACCAGCACTCTCCGAGCCCTGGCTGGCCCAGAACCCATTTGTGGGAGCAGCTCCTTCCTTGGCCAGCACGATTGGCCCACTTGTCAAGAGCCGACTTACATGAAACCCTACAAGTAGAAGCAGAGGCTCCTGCAGACGGCTGAATACTGTGGATACAGAGTTGATGTGTCCAGACTTGGCCCCCTGCTAACAGGGATGCATTTCTATCCCTCAGTCTAGTGTTTAAATTCTTTCTTTCTCCATCTCTGTCTCTGTCTTTCTTTCTCTCTCCCTTCCTCCTCAATACCCACCTTCCACTCTCTGTCTTTCTCTCTTCAGATACTCCTTAAGCATTACCATGTTCTGGTCACTAGAGAGACAACAGTGAACTAGACAGCATAGTCTGATGGGAGAGACCGACAAGTAAAATAGGTAGTAGAGTGTGGTAAGTTCTCAGATGAGGTTGAGACAGGGCCTTGGGAGCACGCTGGACGGATCAGTCATCTTTCTCTTCCTCCCACTGCCTACACCTCCTGGCTCCAGTCCCTACCTGCACCACTCTTTCTTCCACTCTGCTCATCAGGAAGGGAAATGGGAATTTTCCTGCTTTAGCTGCTGCTGACTTTTCTGGGTTGTGTGTGCAACGTGCCTGTGTTTTTCCACCTTTGATCACCGTTCTGCCAACAGATAATTTAGCAATCACATCCCAAAGTGGAAGCATGGAGTTAATGTTAAAATTAGTTTTCTTTTTTTTCTGTCTTTAAATTTCAGTGGGTGATGAGGCAGAGAGGGAGGCGGGAGGGTGAAGGGGAGCCATAAATTCTGTGGCTGGTGTAGCTGTTCTCTGAGCAGCCGGGAAGCCTCTGATGTCTCCACAGCACTTTCATTAACATTTAAATTAAGGGTTTGTTTTTCAG
Source organism: Homo sapiens (assembly GCF_000001405.40). Taxonomy (NCBI): domain Eukaryota; kingdom Metazoa; phylum Chordata; class Mammalia; order Primates; family Hominidae; genus Homo; species Homo sapiens. Next base: position 101,660,387 of record NC_000010.11, on the reverse strand, counting down.
TCTGTTTTATAGGCAGGGACCTTTCATGGCCTGTCACATGCAGCACCCACCCCCCCTCCCAACCCAACTTCCCAAGCAAGTGTGTAATTGTAGCCACTGCTGTATCCTAATCTGTGTTGCAGTCGGAGGTTCAAAGGGAATTCCTGGAGCTGGAGTTTTGGAGGTACAAGATGTAATAGTCAGGATGTCGGTGTTACTCCTCAAATGAAGGTGCTGTGTAGGAGCTCTTTCTCCTCTTATCTGACCTGTGCTTTCTCAGCTCTTCAAGGGACACACACTTCAATCTGACTCCGACCCCTCCCGCCCTTCCTTCCTTTGGGCCATGGGGCAGGTAGGAAAGGGTGCAGTCCATTCAAGTGATTTCTCCTTATATTACAAGTTAGGGCCGGGGACAGACTATTCTAAGATACAGATTTCCATGCTTATCTTCCTCCTTTTGATTATTATTATTATATTTTAGCCTCACAAATACTTCCACCTACCCCACTGACTCTTGGAGAAGTAATAAAATAAATGGGATTACCATCTGAGAATTTGTAATTACAGTAGGGTCCTTTGGTCCTAAAAAGTGTATTCTAACATGGATATGTGTATGCATACCATACATACTAGCTCTGCATGTACCTTGTTGGAAATAGCTTACTGATTGAATTTGATAAAGCTATTCTCCCAGATCTATGTATTCAGAAGAAACTCTACTACAACCTCAGGTTTCTGAGCTTCCTTTCACACAGAAATATTTGGCAGCATTTGGGGAGGTTTTGAAAAGACATCCCTGCTCTGGTCTCCTTCCCATCAGCACCCTGTTGATCTGTAGATGACAAGAATGTGTACTAGACACACATGAAGCATCTCATTGCTTCATAACCTCTGAGGGCTTAGTTTTCCCACTGCTGGTCTCTAGGTAGCTTTCTTCTCTGGACAGTGAAGAGAGGAGCATTGGGACCTTTCTCTCTTTCTGTTCAGAGGCTGAGAGTTTCCTTTCCCTTGGAGCCTGGACTTTACTGCACGAGTCACTGCATCTTTCCTCCTTCCTCCACTAAGCCACTCAAACCATCCATGACTTATCTGCAGGGTTCAAGATGGCTGAGTGTTTTGCCCTTCTATGCCAGGTAACCTTGTGAACAGGTGGACACCCTCATGCCCTGGGGTCTTGCCGAAGGGGAGTGAGGGAGGTGCTGGGGCAACCCCTCTGCAGGTGCTGCTTGGGCTCAGATTGCATGCTGGTGTCCAGGCCCCTCCTGGTGGTGATTAATCTGGGACACGGGCCGACAGAGGCCCAGCCAGGGCTGCTTTGGTCCCTCACTGTGAAGACCTTTGGCTTGGAGACTGAACTGATCTCTATAGCCTGCTTCGGCTTGGGGTTTGATCTGTCAAGGCTAAAGAGGAACCTGATGGTAGAGCGGAAACTTGTAGCCCTGTCTGACTTATGGCACTGATCCGTTCCAGTGGCCTTGTCATGATAATACTCGTATATTTAAGAAGATTTCCCCACCTGTTAGCTGTAACACTCAGATCAGTCAAAAGAGGGATCTTCATGAAAAATCTGTGCTTTTAGTTTTTTGAGCCAATGGAGCTTACTCTTGTAAGTAGACTAGGGGCTGGGTAGGGGTTTCTAATGAGAATGAGTAAAAAAGGCAATAATGAGGTTGTGGCTGGATTAGTAACAGAATGTATGTTTTTATGTGGAGGGGGTCATATCACAGGTAGAAGGATCACTCCATCCTCCTGCAATTAGGTGGCTCTCAGGCCACTTGGAGCAGATTTTCAGATTTCAGTATCTAGAATCAAGTCTTACCTTCCTCATTTTCTTTTTCATTTCAAACCATTCCCCCCTGCCACCCAGACGAAGTCTTGCACTGTTGCCCAGGCTGGAGTGCAGTGGCGCGATCTCGGCTCACTGCAACTTCCGCCTCCTGGGTTCAAGCAATTGTCCTGCCTCAGCCTCCTGAGTAGCTGGGATTACAGGCGCATGCCACCACGCCTGGCTAATTTTTGTATTTTTAGTAGAGACGGGGTTTCACCATGTTGGGCAGGCTGGTCTTGAACTCCTGACCTTATGATCCACCTGCCTTGGCCTCCCAAAGTGCTGGGATTATAGATGTGCGCCACCATGCCCGGCCTCAAACCATTTTTTTTATTTTTAAATAGGCCTCCCTCTCCCTTTCTATGTACCAGAGTCCTGGTCCCCAGGACTTCCAAGCGGCAGTACATGGTGCCAGCTATATTTCTTCTCTGAGTTCAGGACAATCACACGTGGCTCCACTTGATAATGGGCTTAAGGCCCAAGAATAGGAATTCTGTTGCCCATGACAGTTTCTCTGAATCAGTGAGTCTTAGTGAGTTTCATCATTACGGTAGTGCCATTTGGCAGTTAGAAGCTTGGGATTAAGAGCTAGGGAATTTTCCTCATACCATGGAGAAAGAGAATAGGCACCATGTTGTACACTAGTAGAATATGTTGATACTGTTGATGTGGGAAGCTGGCTATAGAGACCCTATGAATCATAAAGGTTGTGTTGATACTGAATTTTGCTTTGCTGACTAGAATTTTACACATGATGACAATAAAGAATACATGCATCAGCAGATCAATGAATATTTTTGGCTCTTCCTTCAGACTAGTACTAAAAGGTCTCTGACTACGGATTGGACATCTGCTAATCCCTGTGCCTCTCTAGCAGTTTCTTGAACAAGACTCTTTAGAAGTTTCAGATAGTGAGCTTTTTTTTTTTTTTTTTTTTTTTTGAGACAGAGTCTCGCTGTGTTGCCCAGGCTGGACTACAGTGGCGTGATGATGATCTCAGCTCACTGCAACTTCCACCTCCCCGGTTCAAGTGATTCTCTTGCCTCAGCCCCCCAAGTAGCTGGTACTACAGGCAAGCATCACCACACCCAGCTAATTTTTGTATTTTTAATAGAGATGGGGTTTCACCATGTTGGCCAGGCTGGTTTCGAACTCCTGACCTCAGGTGATGCCATCCACCTTGGCCTCCCAAAGTGTTGGGATTACAGGCATGAGCCACCGTGCCTGGCCAGATAGTGAGCTTTTGGAAGTAGGCGTTTTATTTCTTGTCTCATGTAAGAGTTATGTGCTTGTGTGCCTCAGACGAAATCCCTCTGCCTCTGGGGTGCCCTAGTAAAATGATTACCCAAGACCCTTGCCTCATTTCCAAGCTTGTTCTTACTCCTCTCTTGGGCCAGGACATTTTCCACAGGGAGTAATGGGTAACATGGTCTGTGGGATCCTGTCATATAGGCTTGGCTCAGGCCTATCTGAGGTGCTGACAAGGGCGGGAGGATTGGAGGGAGGAGGGAAGTGACTATGTGCATGCAGAAGCCATGGTAATTGCAAAGGGAATATTAGTCCAGGAGCTGCTGGCCCAGGAAATTGCTTTCTGTAGAAGCTTTCCTTTTCATGGTTTTCAATGCAAATTGAAAACATAAATGGGCACAGAAAAGTGTAGGGGGGACAGGTGGGGTGCCAGTTGGGATGTGATAACATCCAAAATCTTCAGCAGGGTCTTAATTTGCAGAAGAGAATTTCAAGTAACAAGAGAGAACCTTATAGGATATTAAAATAATGTTAGAGCATGTTTTGCTGTGACCTTCCCACCCCCATGTTTTCCATGTACTTGTGTTTAGGCTCGTCTCTGGGCCTGCTTAGCTTGCCCTGCTGCCTCTTCCTCCGCTCCTTCCCACAGCAAAGCCATAATCCAGCTTTTAGAACAATGGCCATGGTAGTCATGGCATAGTATTTTGGTTTTCACAGCAGGCTGGGAAACAGTAGCCCCATCCAAAGTCAGTGTGCTTTAGAAAATGTACACATTGGTCCTGGGGACTGGAGCCTCCATATGTGGGCTAAAGAACATGCCTCTTGAAGGCAGGAGCTTGCCTGCTTTGAGAAGGTGTTAAAGCCAAGGCTCATTTATGTGTTCTCTCTTAAGATCAGCGGGTAGGCTTGATGAAGTAGAATGTGAGGCCACCAGGCCTTTTTCCTCTCTCGATTTCCCACACCTCTAGAGAGGTGTGACTTTCTGGTTCCAGGCTGGAGACACTTATGTCTGTGTTGCCTCTGGATGCTTTGGGGATACTGGCCAATAGGATAAGCATGGGGTGACCACCACTTTGATTATGTTGGCATAGCAAGTGATCAGGTGAGAAGCTTCAGACTGGTTTCTTTCTAGCTGCTGAGCTAGACAAGAAGACACAAAAACAGGCCAAAAGGCAGTGTGGAGGGTGAGCTTTTCCAGTGTAAATATACCCAAGTAGTAGAGAATACTATGGAACTGTGGGGGCTTCTTCGCTTCCTTTGTGTGGGGTTTCAGTGCGCAGGTGACATGCATTGGCTGAAGAAAAAGCTGAGATGTGTGAGGTAAAGTGAAATGTACCCTTTCTGCCTGTCCCCACCATGAGTGTTCCTTCCTCGCTTCTTCATTGATTGGGGAATTTTGAAAGAGAAATTAGCTTGATTCTTGCCCTGGGTCCAAGCTGTGGTGCCTGGTCAGAACTTGAGTTTCAGGAGCAGTCTCCCACTAGGATGCTGTCCAGATGTAATCAGCCACTGCTTAGCACATGCTCCTCATCCCAGACTTACGGCATCATGGCCCTTCCGGGCTGGAGAGGGTCCAGTCCAGAGCACGAGACTCACTGTCTCTTTCTCCCAAGGACTCGACTCATGCAGGGTGTTTCCTTCTCCTGCTATTTTCCGCCTTGTTGCAGCTGCAGCTTTAGCTGTCCTAGAGAAACCTGGGTCTTTCCTCCTGTGCCTGAATGAGAAGAGAACAAGTGAGTGATTAGGGTGGGGTCCTATGGTAAATGACCTAAGAGAAGGGTCAGCTGGGCATGATGGTGAGATTTGTAACATTTGGCAAAGAGGAAGACACACATGTGTTAATGCCTTTGAAGTGTTCTTTCCCTGCCAGTTGGACTCTTACTAGTATCCAGGGTGAGCTGTGGTTGAGAATTTACAAAAATTAATAGGAAAAAAAACCACAAATTATTCAAAGGATTCTTCCAGTTGTTAGAAGTCTTTGGTCCGGAAAATCCTTCTTTGCAGGCTGATAAGGATGAGTTCAAGAATAAAAAGAGGAAAAGTTAGAGTTTTTAAATTGCATTAGGTTGTCAATGAGTATCAAAATTAAAACATGAAAACCTTTTGACACAGAAATTCCACTTCTAGGAATTCATTGTAAGGCAATAACCAGACAATTCTGCAAGATATATGTACAAAGACTTACATTAAGAACACATAAATAGGCCAGGCATGGTGGCACACACCTGTCATCCCAGCACTTTGGGAGGCTGAGGTAGGAGGTTCACTTGAACCCAAGAGCTCAAGACCAGCTTGGGCAACAGAGTGAGACCCCATTTCCACAAAAAAATCTAAAAACAAAATTAGCCAGGCATGGTGACATGCTCCTGTAGTCCCAGCTACTCAAGAGGCTGAGGTGGGGGGACTGCTTGAGCCCAGGAGATTGAGGCTGCAGTCAGCTGAGATCGTGCCACTGCACTCTAGCCTTGGTGACAGAGCAAGAGTCTGTCTCAAAAAAGTAACAAAACCAAAAGAAACCATAAATATCCATGAGTAGGGTTCTGATAAAATATTTTATACTATGTTCCCTCAATAAAATGCTATGTAGCCATTAAAAGGATGACACAGATATACATTTATGGAACCAAAAGATGTCATAGCAGATTGTGGAATGAAAAAAGGTCAGAAAATAGTATGACAGTTTATTTAAATATCTCTTCAGGGTTTTTTCTTATATGGTGGATTTCTGTTGATGTTTACTTACTTTTTACTTTTAATGTATTTAAATTTTTTATAATGGTCCTATTTTATAATTAGAAAAAAGAAATTACATTTAAATGTCTATTTTAATATCAGGCAGCTATGGAGAGAATACTCCCTTTTTTTCTTACATAATTTTTAAAATTAAGGATATATAGACCTACATTTACTTTCTATTTTTAAATAGCCTTATTGAAGTAGAATTTATATATCATAAAATTTACCCATTTAAAATGTACAATTTAAGTGTACAATTCCATGATTTTTAGAAAATTTATAAAGTTGTGCAACTATCACCACAATTCCATTTGAGAACATTTCTAACACTTTCAGAAGATCTTCCCTTACATTTGCTTTTGTATCATTAAACATGGTTTCATGCTTGGGACCTTTTTTGGGGAAAGAAATAAGTAAACATACTAGAATTTTTTAAAAGGATAATATAAGCTTTGGATTTTTTTTTTTTTTTTTTTTAAGACGGAGTCTCGCTCTGTCGCCGGTCTGGAGTGCAGTGGTGCAATCTCGGCTCACTGCAACTTCCGCCTCCAGGGTTCAAGTGATTCTCCTGCCTCAGCCTCCCAAGTAGCTGGGATTACAGATGCATGCCACCACACCTGGCTAATTTTTGCATTTTTAGTAGAGATGGGGTTTGACCATGTTGGCCAGGATGGTCTCGATCTCTTGACCTCGTGATCCACCTGCCTTGGCCTCCTAAAGTGCTGGGATTACAGTCGTGAGCCACTGCGCCTGGCCCCGAGTGCCTGTCTTATGGATGTATTGAATGCTGCTGTGTGCAAGATCACATGGGAAGTATGAAACACAAGAGACTGTTTGTTTTTACCGTGTAGGAGCTTATAGTGCAATTGCGGAAACAATGCATGTACTGAAACGATAATTTATTTGGTTATATATGCAGTGTAAGTGCTAGCAACTACTGGGGTTATTGACAGGAAATCAGAGGAAAGCTGTAGCCTTGTTATTAAGTCAGAAGAGCTTCATGGATGACATGGAAGTTGAAGTGGGACTTACATGATGCCTGTATTGAAATTGCATAAGGGAACTTCAAGCAAGGGGACTGGTCTGAGCAAAGGCATACAAAGAGATGGGGAAGCTAAAGGTAGGTTTGGGAGTTCAGAGTGGACAAGTCTGGCTCGCTGGAGGGGAAATTTGGAGTCTAGTTTTGGAGGGTGTTGAAGAGCAGAGTTTGACTTTAACTTGAGGAAAATAGGGAACTTTGGACCGTTTTGGGCCAGATTGAAGCAGTTAAATGGTTTATGTTGTGCTACAGCATATAGGATTCTTTGGAGGAGAGAGACAGGCTGTTCTTTTCCAGGAATACACTTTGTTAGCAGGAAGGGACCAGACTCGTAGGGACAGTGGGAAGACAACTTTCATTCAGGAAAACTATGTAGGAAAAAATCAGTAGTCAGACATGACTGCACATCAGGGAGAGAGGGAAGAGACGAGTACCTCTGTGAGCCTGATGATGGAGGAGGCACTGGGTTTGAGAAGACTGAATTTTGTTTTATGGGACAGTCAGGTGGCAATGGCCAGAGACAGCCCAGGAATGGTTGCCTGGAACTCACACGTGGGGTTGAGATGTAGAAGGCCTCAGCATAGGGACAACAGTTGAAATAATGTGAGGGATTAGCACCAAAGGACAATTCAGAAATAAAGACAGTGGAGCAAGGAGAAACAAAGAGCCAACATGTCCAATCAGAGGCAGAAGGAAAACTAGGAGCCTGGAGAAGAGTAGATCAGCCAGCCAGAGTAGATGGTGGACAAATGAGTAATTCGGGGGCAACTTACATAAATGAATTTATCTCTGCCTTGCTTATTATGCCTTTTCCCTATTCTGATTGATAGATACCACCAATAAGGTAAAAATGTATACCCCTAATGTTGATGCATGGAGATTTATAAGCATTTTCTTTTCCTTGCTTGATTTTAGCATTTTGTTTTCAAACTATAATAAATTTGCCTTTTTTTTCTAGTTCTTTCCTCTGGCTCTTGTTGTGTTTTCTATTGTTCTACCCTGTCGTTATTATTATTTTTTTCTTCTTGAGGGTTGCCTACTTTGGGCTTGGTAATTTTTCCCCCCTCAGCTCACAAAACCAGGCAGTGGGATTTGGAGGGTCAGCAACTGAGCTAGAGATGGTAAGTGACAAAGTGAGGGAATATCGTGGATCCCAGTTGTTCCTCCATGTGTACTGGTATCCAGGGCGAAGCAAGAGAGACTGATTTAGAATCAAGAAAAAAGCTACTGACCACGGATGTTGCCATTTGGAGTGGTTTAGCATCAGAGCCATAGGAGCTGCTCAGGTTCAGGGCTTGCTTGGGCAGCTATGGCTGTCTGAAAACTTTTTTTTTTTTAAAGAGATATAACTAAAAACTTTCAAGTCCTCGGATTTTGGGGGTAGTAATTCCACAGGGCTTGTCATTTGTGTTTGAAGCTGGTGGTGAGGAGGGCGGAGTGAGGAGAAGCGAGGGGGTGGAGATGGGAAGCAAAGAAGGAATCAGAGAGAGAAATTTTATTGAGGGAGAGTTTGCTGGGTTTATGGGAGGGAATCTCTCCCCTCCTCCCCATTCGGATTTGAAAGGGCCGGTGAATCTTTGATTAGGTGCAGGTCAAAAGAATTTACACATTGTGACCTTAATAACTAGAGGTGATTGGCAGGCGGGCTGCAGGGAGAGGGCCGCGGCCCCCTTTCATCTCACTTAGCACAGAGGAGAGACAATGGGCCAGCCGATTTTCCTTGTTGTCCCTTGTTTGAAAAGGTCTGGTGTCTCTACTAGGTACCTGTGACATGGGGGTCTTGATTGGGGTCTCATAAAGGCCCCTGTCAGTATGTCCAAAGGCCAAGAGTACAAAAGCAAGCAGTGGGTGGGGGTCTCAGCTGACCACTGAAGAAGGGAGGGGAGGGCCCGGGAGGCAGTGGAGGGAGAAGCAACCCCCGATGGGAGCCCTTATAGAGGGAGGGAAGGAGGGGGGCAGAGAAGGGCCATTTTTGTCCCTAACTCATCAAGCACATCTGCAGAATTGTCCAAGCTGCTGCCTCCTGGTTTCAAAAGAAAAAAATGATTGTTTGATAAACCGTCCCTGATTCACCACTTTCTCACAACGGTGGGAGACCCAGCCCTGACCTCTGTATGATTTCACGTCAGGACCAGGCTTTCTTTTCCCACCCCCAAATTGCTAGAGAAACTTTGAAATGTATCCTGTGGCTTTCTCTCCCTTCTTTCACCCCCCACCCATTTCCCACCCTCTCCACCCCACTGGCCTCTGTTTTCTCTCTGGGCGCTCCAGAGTGTAGGCGAGTAATTAGTCCCCTCTTTCTGGGGCACAATGAAGCCAGGGTGTTTGGCGGGCCCCTTCCCACCGCTCACAGAGCTGGGGCCTGGGGGGAAGGACCAGGTGGCATGTGCAGTGTGTTCCAGGCCTGTACAATCCCTGGGGGACAGAGCTGGGGGCTCAGAGACTGGTGTGCTCCTGTTTCTCGAAGGAATGTGCAGAGGCGCATGCATTAATGGTCCCCACACAATGCTTGCATTTTTTTTCCAGGCAGAGGCATCTTCCCCGTGAAAAGGCTGCCGAACTCAGGGCCCAGGCGGGAGATTTGCCGGCATAGTGGCGTTATTTCCCACCCTGCGCTTAGTCACTTGGAGCTAACATGGGAGACCAACAGGCCGCGTCTCTCGAGAGCCCGATCTTTGTATCCGATGTGTGCTCCCCCTCTGCCCTGTCAGTTTTGTGTGTTCACGGAGTGTTGATTTTAATGCGGGCCTGTGTTGGGCTGGGAGGCCAGGCTGGGGGGCCTCAAGTCTTTGTCTTGCAGGGCTTTTTCTTCTTGGAGGGTCTTCGGCCCTAGAGGCTGGTGGCAGATTTGAGAGGTAGGATGAGATGCCAACTCTGGCTGGCAAAGGATTCCCCCATCCATGTGTCTGTCACAGACCACTGTGGGGTGCCTAGAAAACAAGAGCACCTTGGGATGCTCGAGCACACACTTGCTTGGCACCCCACCACCCCTTGAGGGGGGCGGTTAGTTCTACCCCATAGGGCTGCCAGCTTGAAGTGAGTTAAACCCCCCTTGTGACTGGGTCTGGCAGGAGCACAGATTGTGAGCCTCAGGGAGCCAAAGCAGGGCCTTGCTTGCAGGGCTCTGAGGGAGGTGGGGGCAGGCAGGAGGGGTGCTAGAGCACAGGTCAGCTGCAGAGACTACTCTGCAATCATTAAGGGACAGGAGAGAATAGAGACCAGACAGAAAAGAGGCAGAGTGTCTGGGGAAGCTTCAGGAAATCACAAATGCTCATCTCAGGCAGTTGAAGGGGAATGTCCCTAGGAACTAGGGCCTAAGTGGAGGCATTTTCCCCAGTGAGGAGAACTGGACATGGTCACAGGTAGAGCCACCAAGGACCAATGAGCAGGCTGTCTTCTGTCTTTACCACTCACCTTGCTGCAGTATAGCCTTGTGCCAGGAGCTTGGGGATGGGTTCTGGGTGGGTACCTTATCTCAAACCCTGAGTCTTGCTGTGAGACAAGATGCCTATGCATGACTCAAGGAGAAGGAGACTCTGGGGAGCCTCAGCCTGGGTGTGGTCTGCTCTGCTTCTGGGGAGAGCAAAACTTCGAGTACCTGGAGTCAGGAAGTCAGTGGATGAAGGCCTCCAGGCCCCCAACCATGGCCAGGCTGTAGCTCTGGCATCCATGTGGTCCTGGGGCTGGGGGCCATCATCTGGAATCAGGCTTTTAGAAAGGGGCTGTGTCTTCACTTTCCATATGGATCGGAAGGCAGAGATGCAGGCTGGCCGCTGAGATGAGGTGGCCCTGGGGAGGCATCCCGCCAAGGTTCACCAAGCACAGGGGCTCCTCTGTGCTGCTGTTGGCATCCTTCAGACTGTCTTGGGAATTGGCGCCAGTCACACTGCCAGGCCTGACAAGGAGAAAGAAGCTGGAGCTCCAAGGTCTTTGAGGGGCCTAAATCCCAAAGGAACCCATCAGTAAGAAGCAGCTTCTGCTTTGGGTCACTCTGTTTCAGAGGACATTTCTTTCATTGGGAAATAGGCACTCCCAGCAATACCCACCCCTCCTTTTTCCTTTTACTGTTCTTTTTTTTCCTTAATATTTCCAAATGTTGTTCCTCCCTTTCCTTCTCTTCCATTTTGTGGACAGCTCATAAAAAGCCTGAGAGAAACAGAGTTTATGTGTATGGATGTGATAATGGTGGGTGGGGCATGTCAGAGATGGTTAGGCTGGGGCTCCCGGATTGTAGAAAGCACTGTGACTTCCCTGGGCTGCCCTGCCAAGGCCTGGCTGGGAGGGCAATGGCACATCATAACCTTTAAATGCAAACTTGATGGAGGAGAGAGATGAAATCATAGAAACAAATTAGATGTATCTATAGGGGGTGTTCAACTGGAGAAAATGAGCATTTCTTACTAATTGGAGTTCAGCATGCTTCATTATTAGCTTCATTACAAGAGGAAGAGTACAGCAGCCTCTTTGGGGATTCCCTGGGCTGCCTTTTTTCCTTTAAAAATATAATTGTATTTATGGTGGAGGAAGAAGCAGGAATTGCTCTTGGTAACTTTGTGGAGCACCCAGGGATTTAAAGCAGAGTTTGGAGCATGGTAGAGGAGAGGGAGAGATGGACTAGTGAGAGGGCACTTAGAAGCCTCATTCCTTGATGATAAAAAGGAGGTGGGAAAAGCTCTGGTGGGGATGGGAACCTCCCTTCTCAGACTAAGATTGAGGAATTGGGAATGACAGGAACAATACTGATCAGAAAACCTGACTTTCTGGGAGATCTGATATTTGACTATTTTAACTTTTGTATTAAAAGGGTAAAATGGTGGAATGCAGACACAGGGTAAAGGTCTGACAAAACTTGTTTTCCAGCATACACAGGATCTTCTCCTCATGGGCCGGGGAAAGGCTGGGGTGAGTGTGGCCTTAATTGGGCCTGGTTGGATGCACATTAACTTCTGTCCAGGCAAGGCGCTGGTTCTGTCCATGAAAGATTATCGACTGAGATAATGAACTTGGCTGTACAGTTCTGACTCCTTTTCCTGTTGCCACTGCTGCAGCCCCGGAGCTCATGTTCAAAGTATAATCAGTCCCCAGAAAACTCTGATCCAGGGTGCTTGCTCAAGGAAGTGACTTACCTAAGTTCTGTCTAGTCAATCAAATCATCTGGTATTTAGTGTTCTCAGGAAAGCTGAGAAAAGATACTGTTTTGTGATGGGAGAGTTTATACCCAAGAGCAGGGGGTAGAAAATCTCAATCATCTCAAATCAATGCTTGTTGTGACTTCATCAAAGGCCCAGAATTTTTGCTTTTTTCCTCCCAACCTGTCCTTTGCTTTCACTACAAGTCTATGCTTAGTCCAACCTTCCTGAGGTACCTAGGACTTTAAATATACAGGATAAAAACAGGAAAAAACAAACAAACAAAAAAACCCAAATCGCAGGATATCTTCTTCTGGTTGGTAGACCTCATCCCTAATGGAGGCCTAATCCCTTTGCCTAGTGGACAGGGACCTCCCTGATGATTGGGTGACCTGTGATTTATGAACTCACTGAGCACCTATAGGAGGCAGCTCATTTTTATCTCCCTCCCTGCAGATTCCGAGCAAGTTATCATCAGGGTCTAAGCTCTTTGGCTTTTCCACAGAGGGATAGCAGAATATTGGGGGTGGGATGGGAAGTTGGTTTTCTCTAGTAACTGGACTTGCAGGTACCTCAAGTCAGCAGCTAGCAGTTGTCTAGCACCTGGCACAGGTACTGTGGAGAAATGAAAGCCTGAAGTAAGATGGGTCACCCAGCCATTAAATCAGGAATATATACCACTGTCAAGTGTATTTGCAAATTTGTGACCTTTCTTATCATTCTTCTGAAAGGTTTGTATCCCATCCCAAGTGGCTTAGTGGGAAAGAAAGGAAGCTTCCAATGAAATGACTTTTTGGTCATTTTTTGGTGTCCTACTATTTTTCCAAAGAGAAAAATCTTCATGGTTTTACAGTTTGGGATTTCAGAAATGCAAGACAAAAACATGCCATTGGGGGAAAAAAAATCGATTCCAAAGCAAGTGTTGGTGTGGTGTGAGTGGGTGGAACTACACTTGAGGTTGGATGGGATGGGCAGGCAGCTGCCTAGGGAAGGGATTCCCAGGCTTTAGCAACTCCTTAAGTGCCTATGTGTAAAACTCTCCTACTTCAAAGAACTACCCAGCAAGTAGTTCCTCCCCTCATCTCTCTAAGGTGGTAGTCACCCAAGGAAGGTACAGGGTCAGCACTCTGAGGCCTGGTGGAAAAGAGCTGATGGGGGCAGAACGACCTGTGGGTGAGAGATCCATTCCCTAGAACTAATGAGAGGAACAGATAAATTAAGGTCACCATTGGAATCTCCTCACATTGTAGGCATCCCTGCCCAGGCCTGGGACCCAGAAAACATGATTCTTGAGAATAAGTGGGTTCTGGCAGCCTCCATTGGGAAAGCCAGACATACACATGACTAGCAGTACTGCATGGGTGTGTGAAGACTTGGGGAACTTGAGGTCCTAGAGTTTTGTGGTATCGCTGACTGAAGCCATGCTTGCACCCCATTCCTAACCACCACCACCCACCCCGCCAGGCGATAGAAAACCTCCCTCCAGCCTCTTGAGACCAACTCCGGCTCCACTGGGACTTTAAATCTCAGAAGAGGAATAATGGGTATTAGAAGCTGTGGGATCACTGTAGGCTATTTATGATCTAAGTCCTGGGTTTGAAATTAATTGGATTATTTTTTCAAACCAACTAAATACCCCAGAACCAAAATGTAAAACCCCCAAACCTTTCATCCTTCTCCCTCTCCCTGTGGCTTTATTTGCTGGGTAGTGAAAAGTGCTCTCTCCAGCCTCCTTTGGGTTACTGTGCTGAACAAAGTGAGAAACCCAGGGAAGAAGGAAGCTGGTGCCAAAAGGGCTGGCCGCTGCCCCTCCCAGCTCTGCGTCCCCTGGCCTTCCCGGCTGCCTCACAGTCTGGGCCCCAGCCCAAGCAAGCAAAGGCGCCTTGACCAGCAACAAGCCCCGGCTTTGTTGCTCCTGTGGGGGAAATGCTTTCTGGAGCCCAGGGATCTCCTCTGAGAACCACCTGTGCCTCTCGGCCTCCTGCCTAGCCTGGGCCTTCTGGCACAGGGACCCCTGCATTTCAGCCAGCAGGCTAATGGTAGGGAGTGAGGGTTGGGAGACAGCTAAGGGGGCTGTGGTCAGTTTGAGGGGGCTCAAATTCCAGTCTGCCCCTTTAAGGCCCCTGGTTGGCTCAGAATCTCCTGAGGCCCTGGCCAGGTTAAATTTGTCCTGTCTGTCATTAGCCTTGACTGTAGCTTTCTAAAGTGGTCTACAGAATAGAATAGGGACAGGGGACCCAAGGCCTCACTTCTTACCCCATACTGCAGGGGAACAGTATAGGTTCCCTTTACTAGGCCATTTCCTTGATCAAGAATCCCAATTGATGCTCTATGGCCTGGCCAGTGATGATCACAATAATGACAAGAGTGATTAGCACTTGTAGAGTGCTGATGAAGTGCCAGGCACTATGCTGACCACTTTATACCTTATTTAATCCCCCCAGATAGGTACCATCATCATCCTCAGTTTACAAAAGGAAACTGAGACCCAAGAGAGGCTAACTAAACAGCCAGAGTCACATCTCTCATAGCCAACACAGCCAGTGTTGGAGTCCTGGCATCTGACTCCAAAGGTCATGCTTTTTCACTTCCGTGCTACTCTGTCTGCTTGCCTGTCCTGTGCTGAGCTCTCTCATTTGGAATTAGAACTTGTTGATTATCTTGAATTGTTTCCAACTTTAAAAAAAATGAATTCAAGACTTGATTCTCTGGTTGGACCTTAAGCTGCCTAAGGGCAAGCCTATATGAATTTGGTTTTTCTTGAACACCCCAGCGTCTATCACAAGGCTGGCTTGGGGAACCCCTGGGTACTTATTGAAGGAATGAAGCCCTGTCTTTGTCTGTTCCCCGCTCAGGGATTGCCCAGGCAAAATCTTGTTTTGTGAAAGGGGTGATGAGTCCCAGAGCAGGACCTTCCATTTGTCCCAGGGAGGCAGCCTGTGTGTGTCTGAGGAAAAGGTGACGGGGAGAGGGTGTCCTGTACAAGTGAGACACAGGACTGACACAGGGGCACAGGAAGATGGGAAGACAGAATCCAGGCCAAATGGGACTGGGGAGCCAAGCCAGTTGTTCTGAGCAAACCGTTTCATGAATCTTCATGGGCCTCTCATCTTGTAGGCCTGCTTGTCTCAGGCAGGTTGTTGGACTGGGCTTCCCCCCAAAAAGAAGAGGCTGTTCCATGCCGCAGGGGTGTCAGGGCAGGGTCTGGCTTCACATCTGAACTGTGGGTATTGAGACTAGCCACCCTTTTCTTTGTAGATTCTGCTATAGAGAATGACTCTGAAACTCTTGCAAAGGCTTGAGGTGGGGGTGAGGGTGTGGACAGTAGTTCTTAGCAGCCAGCCCAGGCCATTGAAGGAGCAGGCTGGGGTAGCACATCATAGTGCAGTAGTTTTCATGGCTAGATCTCAATGCCGAGCAAACAGGCAAAAAGTGTGACCTGACCACCACCTACAAACCATGTGCCAAACTGCTCCTACAGCCCATGGCCATGATTGCCCCTGAATATAGCTCACCTAGGCTGTCAGAGACTCCTCTGTATGTGGTGAGGTTTTGGGTGGCAAATGGGGGTATGATCTCATTTTTGTTGGCATGACTGGAGGGCAGGGCTGTAGAGCAGTGGCCTGTGCTATGGGCAGCTCAGCTGTGTACCTTTTCATCAGTCCTGGGTTCTGCTGGATCATAATGTTATTAGCAGAGTAGCATTGGAGAGTGCCTGGTTTTGGAGTTTCTAGACAGGGCTCTGAAAGGTCTGTGGCATTTCTGGGAGAATCTTTTTCCCTGAAGCTTCCTGACTGAGTTGCCCATGAAGGCCCAAAATATGATGTGAGCTCCAGCCCCAGGCCCTCTGGAGAGAGCAGAGCAGATCCAGCACTGTGGCCACCCTGCTGCATAGCCACCTCCCTTGGCCCATGGCTGCTCAGGTTCAGTTTGCCATCTTTTTCCTATTCCTTGCTTCATAAATGCAGGGCTGTGGTGCTAAGTACAAGTCAATTGTCTTGAGTGTCTCCACTTCCCAGAAAGCTATTTGGCCTACTGACCCTGTTTGGAAGATGCAGATTGGGAGGATGACAATGTAGGTAATAGATGGCAGCACCTTCTTTCCCTTGCCCAGGCCCCAGTCCCAGCTGCCCCCACCAGTCCTGCTCTGGCTCACCACGGGGCCCAATTCAGAGTCCTCTTTTGTTTGGCTTGCACAGAGCAGCTCCAGCTCACCGTTCCCACATGCCAAAGTTTCCCCACCATTCACTGGAAAGGCTGAAAAGCCCTCAGCTAATTGAGTTGGGCTGAAAATTACCATTTCCCTGTGTTCCCCTGCTGCTGAGGACATTTGTGTCACTGCTGTATTTAGGGGGAACAAAGGCCCCCTGTGGGGAGAGCCCAGGTACGAATGTGGGATGGGGGGAATAATTGCAGTCTCTCCAGGTGAAAGCCCCTGTTAAACTTCAGTAAGTCAATTAGGCTTTGCGGGGAGGGCAGAGACCCCCACAATAAACTGTTCCCACCAAGCAATTAAAGAAAATCATTTTAGCTTTGAGGAGAGAAACTGCTTATTAGAAATTTTGTGGGCCCCCCCACTTCCCTACCCCAGGCCCCCTTAGGGATGAAACAACAAAACGCCTTCCTCAATAGAAGTGTTTCTCCTCCTTCCACTCATTGTGTGGCCTGAAAGCACTTACCGTGGGAGGGAAGAGGGAGGGACAGAGACTGGCCTAAGGGGGAGAAAACTGCAGGGGCTTAACACCTGGGCTAGTGCAAAATCACAACTGCCCAGTAAGTTTAGGTAAAGAGACCCCTGTGGGCACAGTGTGTCTACAGGATCTGTGTGGAGTTTCCTTGTGTGGGACATGTGTGCCCACAGACCGCTATCTGCTCCTTAGCACAAGTGGAGATGTAATGCAAAGCGTGCATATGCCTGCGGCATCCTGGGTGCCCTCTTACCGAAGGGAGCAAACGCGGCTGCATGTATGTGTGTGTGTGCCTTCTCAGCAAAGGATGGCAAGGTCAGGACAACCCAGAGGGCATGTACCTCTTCCCAAGGCTGTGACTAGGCCCATGTTCTCTCTCTTCCCAGGGGCCAAATCCCAGCACCTGGGAGTTGAGCCATAGCACAGCTTTCCACCTTGGACAGTTGGCAACTGAAGGCTCAATGGCCAGCAGCCACCTACTGGGCCTGGGCTAGGAGTGATGTGTGGGGAATTGAAGGGTAGATACGCTAATCATTACAATCTTGCTCCCATGTTGTTTGGATGAGGTGAGGTGTGGAGACTCAGCAGTAAAGGAATCAGTGGCCTGGGCGGACACATGCTTTCTTGGTCTCTAGTTTGGCTGATGTGGCTCATGAGAGTCTCCTGTTGGCAAAGCCCTGCCTTCTCCTATTTCTGAGGAGTAGCACAAGTTGGAAAGATAAGGTGACCTTATTTTATATTATTTGGGGAGGATGGCAGGGAGGGAAGTTGACCTGTGCATCAGTAGTCTATAATTTGGTAGTTTACAGGTATGTATGTATGTGCGTACCCCCAGATCACAGGTAGTGTAGGCATCACGCCCAGCCCTGCCCTAAATCTTGGCACTTTAAAGGAGGGCCTGGTGGCGCTGATGGTGGGCATGGCATTGATTCAGGCACTGCCCTGGCCCCAGTGCTCCCCTGTGGCTCATGATGTGTTTGGCCTTTATTCCAATGTTCCAAAGAGGTGAAATTAAACATCGAGGGGCAGACTTTTCCCAGAAAGCAAATATGCTGTGTTATTTGCCTACCAAGGAGGCTTCAGAGGTAGAATTTGGTGCCTACAGACTGGCAGTGGGGAGGTGTGTGGGCTGTTGACAAAGTCCTGAGCAGGAGGATGGAGGGGAGGTTTTATAGAGAGTAAGAGCTGCTTGGAATTTGGAAGTCCCAGAGGGGTGTTGTAGCTTGGAGAGGAGCAGGAAGGGGCAGCTCACTGTGGCAGGCTCTGCATAGTGGCTGCCTGTAAGGAGATGGGACTTCAGAGGAACCTGAGGCTCAGATACTTGTCATGTTTTTTTTTTAATTAAAAAAAAAAATAGAGATAGGGTCCCGCTATGTTGGCCAGGTTGGTCTTGAACTCTTGGCCTCAAGCAATCCTCCTGCCTCGGCTTCCCAAAGTGCTAGGATTACAGATGTGAGCCACTGTGCCTGGCCACTTGTCATGTTTTGCTTCAATTTTTAAATGTGTATATATTCATAGACATATATCCTAAACACATACACATGTGTGGACTATTTTATTTTATTTTACTTTTTTGAGATAGAGTCTCACTCTGTTGCCCAAGCTGGAGTGCAATGGCACAGTCTCGGCTCACTGCAACCTCTGCCTCTCAGGTTCAAGCATTTCTCCTGCCTCAGCCTCCCAAGCAGTTGAGATCACAGGCGTGTGCCACCACTTATGGCTAATTTTGTAATTTTAGTAGAGACGGGGTTTCACCATGTTGATAAGGCTGGTCTCAAACTCCTGACCTCAGGTGACCCACCCGCCTCAGCCTCCCAAAGTGCTGAGATTACTAGTGTGAACCACTGTGCCTGTGCCTGGCCACATGTGTGTCTATTGATATACTATACAGTGATATGTTTATAGAGTTCTTATGTAACATCTCATATATTATTTTGATACACAATAATGTGATTTTCCATAAATAAGCTTTGGTTTCCTCGTACCTAATTTCTGATTTACAACTTCAAATGTCTTTCTGATCTGGGGCCAGGTTCATTAAAAAAAAAGAGAGTGAGAGGGTTTGGGGGGACACACTTAAGGTGTATGTGTATTGTTTTGTTTTTTTTTGAGAAAAAATCTTACATGCACTATGTGAATTTTCTGCTTGGTTTCTCTTGTGTTTTGTGTTTGTGTGCACATGTCACTCAGAGGGATTCAGAAGTAGAATATTTGAGTTTGCTCCTATAGTCAGATTTATTTTTCCCTTAGTTTTTGGGTCATTTGTACCAGGTCAGGGTGGAGAAGAGATAAAAGAAGTTGTAACAAAGGAGTTGCTTGGGGTTACAAAGAAAGATCACAGTCAATTGGTTTTGATTGTGGATGTGTATTTTTAAACTTTAATTCTGAAAATTTTCAAAGATAAAGAGAAAAATAGTAAAATTAACCCCTGTGTTTTCCATCACCATCTTAATTATTTTATGCATGCTTTTTTTCCTTTTTTCCCCCTCAAAGATTCTCCTATCCAATTGTGCATGCTTTTAATTAAAATTAGATGAATACGTGGAAAATATATTTAAATTATCTATCTCTTAAATGCCTGGCATTATGGTTGTTGAAAATGGAAGGGTTGGCTGGGCGCGGTGGCTCATGCCTGTAATCCCAGCACTTTGGGAGGCCGAGGTGGGTGGATCACCTGAGGTCAGGAGTTCGACACCAGCCTGGCCAACATGGTGAAACCCCATCTCTACTAAAAATACAAAAATTAGCTGGGTGTGGTGGCGGGTGCCAGTAATCCCAGCTACTCGGGAGGCTGAGGCAGAAGAATTGCTTGAACCTGGGAGGTGGAGGTTGCAGTGAGCCAAGATCACACCATTGTACTCCAGCCTGAGCGACAGAGTGAGACTTGGTCTCAAAAAAGGCGGGGGTGGGGGAAGGAAGAGTCTAGGTTGGGCAGGGTGGCTCATACCTGTAATCCCAACACTTTGGGAGGCCGAGGCAGGTGGATCACTTGAGGCCAGGAGCGTGAGACCAGCCAGGAGTTTGAGACCATTTGAGACCAATACAGCAAAACCCAATCTCTACTTAAAAAAAAAAAAAAAAATTAGCTGGGGATGGTAGCACATGCCTGTAATCCCATCTATTTGGGAGGCTAAGACACAAGAATCGCTTGAACCCAGGAAGCAGAGGTTGCAGTGAGCCAAGATCATGCCACTGCACTCCAGCCTGGGCAACAGAGTGAGACTCTCTCTCTCAAAAAAAAAAAAAAAAAAAAAAAGAGAAAGAAAGAAAGAAAAGAAAAGAAAATGGAAGGGTTTGAGAGTAAACCAAACTCTGCCCCATTAGAATGAGTCATGTGGTTTCCAGTAGAACATTCAGTCTCATCAGTCCATAAAAAGGGATTCAAGGGACCAAATCTCTGAAGATCAGGGCCTTGTCCCTTGAAGACTAGACTCCCATCCCTCAAGCAGCATCCTTGTTATTTTCTGTTGTCCAGACCATCTCCTCACCCCCTACTGGGAGTGGGCAGGTAGATTTTTCCTGGCACTGTTCTTAGGCATTGGTATAAGAGAACACCTCATCTCCTTTCTGAAGTTCCAGGCCAGCCTGTGTGGTTCTGTTTCATCTGCTCTCCTAGAAGACCTACCAGGTATTAATTTTGTGGTTGAAGTATCTTCTTAGGCCCCAAGGTGTCCAGTAGAGGCCTGGCAAAGCCCTTTGCTCATCTCTCAGTGAGGACATTCAGTTGGGTGAGAAGCCGAGCAGTTACTGAACAGAGGCTCTATATTACTCAGGACACATTTATTGTAAGTGACAGAAACCAAATTCAAATTCACATAAATAAAACAGAATATTTGGCTCATGAAATCCAAGGGAAAAGGTGAAAAACCAAGCCAAAGGCAGAACTGAAATACACCCTTGGGACTAGCTGAACCAGAGGCCATAGTGCTGCCATGGCTTTATCCTTCTGGGGTGCTCATCTCTTTCTTTATGGTTCTTAGCTCCTTCCTTTCTCCAAGCTGACCAGCTTATTCCATGAGGCTGCCAAGTGCTCCTGAGTTTGGCAGCTCATGGCTTAAATCAGAGAGAGTGACTGGCTTCCAAAAATCCCAGGCCAGTTTTGGGTCAGCTGCGCATCTCTTGATTAATTAACTGTGGCCAGGGAGGGAAAGTCATGTAAGAACATGGTGGATCTCTCAGGAATCACATATATGGAGGGAGAATGTGGGCACACAGAACAATAGGTGTCTACTAGTTGGATAAAGGCCAAATGACTCCATGATGTCCAGTCCCAAAGTGTCTATGTGAATGGTGACTGAGCTCAGAGACCTTGGCTACCAACTCTTAAACAAAGTGAAGAGTCTGATAGGAACTGTTGTACAGCCTTTGACCTCCTCCCCCTCACATTATTACTAGTCAGCAAATAAGGATTCCTCCTTTGTAAGCTGTTGATGGTGTCCTTAGCAAAACCCGCCATATTCTAATGTGACATGCACAGAGAAAGAACCTGGTTGCAGACACCTGAGGTTGTATGAATGAGCAGTGGCCTAGCACCCTCCCTGAGGGGCAGAGAGAGACTGGAACCAAGTCCTGGGATGGCACAGGTCTGGCCTGCCCAGGCTTCCTCCAAAGGAAAATGATTAGCAAGCTGCATGATTTGGGATTAAACTGCAGGGAGTTGACACGTGCACCAGGGCTTGCTGCTGGCACTCCTCTACAAATGGAGCACTCCTTTCTTGTGAGGGATAGGCTTTACCTATTGTGTACATAGATACAGTAGCTCTTATTGTCATGGATCCTACTTCTGTAGTCCTACTGTGTATAATTCATGACGCATAGCATCTCTTTACAAACAGAGTGGTTATGAAGCAGAAGTTTGGGGGAAAGCACTGTCAGAGCTGCCGGAAAACTGGAATTCTCATAGGCAGCTGTTCCCAGGCTTTCACCACTCAGAAAGCCATCGAGGTAAAGGGTCTCTGTCAAGTCCCGGATGGAGCCAAGATATCATGTGGTTTGTGCAATAATCAGAATCACATTTAATTCAGTGTGCTACTAATATGCAACACATCTTTCAGGTAACTTCAAAATGAGTATTTTGATTACCATTCTTTTAATTTCTTAATTTCTGTTTTGTTGTTTTATACATAAGTGATACATAAATATGTTCTAATTGTAAAAATTCAAACAATTTAAAATATATAGAATAGAAAGGAAAAATCTCCTTCAGTGACCTGTGTCCCCTCCCGTTATCCTACTCTTTTTTTTTTTTTTTTGCAGGACATCCAGTATGTGTCATTCCAGATCTTTTCATTTGAAGCAAATAGCAGATATCATATAGTTTCATCAATATGTGTACATATATAGATATATGGTTCTGCTTTGTTTTAGGCTCACATTATACATTTGTTCTGCAGCTTGAATTTCTCATCTCCCTACGAGGCTTGGAGGTCCTTTCATGTCAGAGCACCCCATCCTACCATGTTCTTTTTGACTGCAGCATTCTAGTTCCACGCCTTACAAACCACAGTTTGTAACCATCCTTCTACTGATGGACACGTAGGTTATTTCCAGTGTCTTGCTGTTACAAACAGTCCTTTGGGAAACATCTGTGTACTTGCCTATTTTTACATATGGTCAGGTATCTTTCCAGGAAAGACACTTAGAAAGATCATGCTGGATTGAGGAGGAAGCGCACCAAAAAGTTTTTAGACACCACCACATTGCCTTCCAGTTAGACCGTATCAGGTTCTATACCCGCAAACAGTGTGTACAATTACCCATTTCCTCTTATCAGTACTGGGTAATATCCGTTTTTTGAAAAATTTTGCCACTCTGATAGGTAAAAAATGATATTTAATTTGGGGAGTGAGTATAAAATAGTGATTACGGGGTCGACTTTGCAGACCACACGGCTGGGGTCAAATCATCAGTCCCTTTCCTACTAGCTGTGTAATGTTGGTGAGTTACCTCTCTATTCCTCATCTTCCTTATCTCTAAAAGGAGGAGGGTAATTTTGGCTATACAAACCTCATAGTGACCTTTTTTTTTTTTTTTTTTTTTTTGAGACAGGATCTTGCTTTGTCACCCAGGCTGGAGTACAGTGCCATGATCTTGGCTCACTGCAACCTCTGCCTCCCACAATTCTCATGCCTCAGCTTCCCAAGTAGATGGGATTACAGGCATGCACCACCACACCTGGCTAATTTTTGTATTTTTAGTAGAGATGGGGTTTCACCATGTTGGCCACACTGGTCTTGAACTCCTAGCCTCAAGTGATCTGCCCGCCTTGGTCTCCCAAAGTGCTGGGATTACAGGCATGAGCCACTATGCCTGGCTCATGGTGGCTTTTTTTTTTTTTTTTTTTTTTTTTGAGACGGAGTCTCACTCTGTCGCCCAGGCTGGAGTGCAGTGGCACGATCTCGGCTCACTGCAAGCTCCGCCTCCCAGGTTCACACCATTCTCCTGCCTCAGCCTCCCAAGTAGCTGGGACTACAGGTGCCCACCACCACGCCCAGCTAATTTTTTTTTTTTTTTGTATTTTTAGTAGAGATGGGGTTTCACCATGTTAGCCAGGATGGTCTTGATCTCCTGACCTCGTGATCCGCCCGCCTCAGCCTCCCAAAGTGCTGGGATTGCAAATGTGAGCCACCGTGCCCGGCCCATGGTGGCTTTTTAAAAATGTTTTTATAACGGAAATTTTCAAAATATACAAAAGTAGAATAATTACCAACTCTTGGCTAACCTTGCTCCATTAATCCCTACACACTTTCCCGTCCCATATTATTTTGAAGCAAATATCAGACATACAATTTCATCTATAAATATTTCAGTCTGTACTCTAAAAGATAGTGATACTTTTTAAATGTAATCCTGGGCTGGGTGCAGTGGCTCATGCCTGTAATCCCAGCACTTTGGGAGGCCGAAGCAGGTGGATCACCTGAGGTCAGGAGTTCGGGACCAGCCTGACCAACATGGTGAAACCCCGTCTCTACTAAAAACACAAAAAATTAGCCAGGTGTGGTGGCAGGCACCTGTAATCCCAGCTACTCAGGAGGCTGGGGCAGAAGAATTGCTTGATTCCGGGAGGCAGAGGTTGCAGAGAGCCGAGATTGCACCATTACACTCCAGCCTGGGCAACAAGAGCGAGACTCCATCTTTAAAAAAAAAAAAAAAGATAGTAATCATAATACCATTATCATACCTAGAAAAATATTATCAAATATGTAGGAATGTCTTGAGGGTTAAGTGAACTAATTGATAGAAAGTGCTTAGAACAGCACTTGGGCACACATTAAATACTATGTGTGTTTGTAATTATCTTTGTTTTTTCTCTAATTTGCAATTCTTTTTTGTTTTTTTTTTTTCCGTTGTTTTGTTTTGTTTTTGTTTTTTGGTTCTTTTTTTGAGATGGAGTCTTGCTCTCTCACCCAGGCTGGAGTGCAGTGGCTCAATCTCAATCTTGGCTCACCACAACCTTTGCCTCCTGGGTTCAAGCAATTCTCCTGTCTCAGCCTCCTGAGTAGTTAGGTGGTGCACGCCACCACCCCCAGCTAATTTTCTTTTTTTGTATTTTTAGCAGAGATGGGGTTTCACCATGTTGGCCAGGCTGGTCTCGAACTCCTGACCTCAACTGATCCGCCCACCTCAGCCTCCCAAAATGCTGGGATTACAGGTGTGAACCACCACGCCTGGCCTAATTTGCAATTCTTACTAGAGGCTTAACATTATTTCATATGTATTTGGCCATGTATATTTTTTCATAAATTACTTGTTCAAGTTTTCACTCATTTATCTACCTTTTTGCCTGTGATTTATAAGATCGCTCTTCCCTCCGCCCGCCCCCCCAGGGTAGGGAGGAAGTGGGCTCCAAGGCAGGATGCTGGAGGGGTGCCCCTCCATCTCTCTTTTTTTTTTTTTTTCTGAGACCGGGTCTTGCTCTGTTGCCCAGGTTGGAGTACAGTGGTGTAATCATAACTCACTGCAGCCTTGACCTCCTGGGCTCAAGGGATCAGATCCTCCCACCTCACCCTCCTGTGTAATTGGAACTAAAGGTGCATGCCACCACACTCAGCTAATTTTTTTCATATTTTGTAAAGACAGGGTCTTACTTTGTTGCCCAGGCTTGTCTTGAACTCCTGGGCTCAAGCAATCTGCCTGCCTTGGCCTCCCAAAATGCTGAGATTACAGGCATGAGCCACCACTTCTGGCCTCCCATCACCTCTTTTAATATTCTCAGTATTAATCTTTTGACTATATATCAGCAGTCCCCAACATATTTGGCACCAGGGACTGGTTTCATGGAAGACAGTTTTCAATTTTTCCATAGCCTCGGGGGTGGGAGGGGGGTGAGTCAGGGTTTGGGATGATTCAAGTGCATTACATTTATTGTGTACTTTATTTCTATTATTATTATATTGTAATATATAATGAAATAATTATACAACTCACCATAATGTAGAATCAGTGGGAGCCTTGAGCTTGTTTTCATGCAACTAAATGGTCCTATCTGGGGGTGATGAGAGACAGTGACAGATCCTCAGGCATTAGATTTTCAAAAGGAGCCACAATCTAGATCCCTTGCATGTGCAGTTCACAATAGGGTTTGTGCTCCTATGAGAATCTAATGCTACCCCTGATCTAACAGGAGGTGGAACTCAAGGTGGTAATGCCAGTGATGGGAAGTGGCTGTAAATTCAGTTGAAGTTTGCTTGCCCACCACTTACCTCCTACTGTGCGTCCTGGTTGCTAACAGGCCATGGACTGGTACAGGTCTGTGGCCTGGGGGTTGGAGACCCCTGCTGTATATGGTAATTCCTTTCAGCTTGTTGTTTTTGATGTCTTCTGTTGTGTAGAAGTTTTTGTTATTTGTAGGTTAGGTCTGTCTGATCACTACCTTCATGGCTTCAGAATTTTGTGTTTATCTTAAGAATGTCTTTCCAAGATTATAAAACTATTTTCCTATATTTTTTTCTTAGACCTTTATGGGTTTTCATACAGTTTAAAAATGTTTATCTCCTTAATCCATCTGAGATTGATATCTGCTGGGAGGTAGGCTTCTAATTTTTTTTTTCAAATGTGTATTCAGTGGACCCTATACCATTTATTGATTAGTTCATTCTTTACTCTCTTAAAGACCACACTTAGGATCTATTGATTTTCTACAAGTAGATAGGTGTGGCTTTGGATTCGTTATTCTGATCCACTGATCTATTCACCTATTTCAGCATGAATATCATACAAAGTATGTTTTGATCCGGTAGAACAACTTCTTTCTTATTGTTCTTTTTCAGATATTTCTGGGTTATTCTTGTGGTTTTCCTCTTCTAGATGAATTTTAGAATCAATTGATTAAGTAAAAATCTTGTGTAGATGGGACTGTATTGAATTTATAGATTAATTGGGGGAGAACTGACAGTTTTATAATCAGGATTTCACATCTGGGAATATGATGTTTCCAAACTTATTCAACAATTCTATTTTCTTTAGTAAAGTTTTATATTTTTATATGGATCTTTTCTAGTGATTTTTGTTTATTTGTTCATTTTTCTCTTGTTTTTTTTGTTAGATTTATTCTTAGATATTCTACAGTTTTTAAATTCTTTTCATGAATGGATTTTTATTTTATTTTTATTTTATTTATTTATTTTTTGAGACGGAGTCTTGCTCTGTTACCCAGGCTGGAGTGCAGTGGTGCGATCTTGGCTCACTACAACCTCCCTCTCCCAGTTTCAAGTGATTCTCCTGCCTCAGCCTCCTGAGTAGCTGAGATTACAGGTGCCCACCACCACGCCTGGCTAATTTATATATATATATTTTTTAGTAGAGACAGGGTTTCACCATGTTGGACCAGGCTGAACTCCTGAACTTGGGTGATCCACCCCCCTCAGCCTCCTAAAGTGCTGGGATTACAGGTGTAAGCCACCACGCCCAGCCTGGATTTTTAATTACATTTTGGTTGCAATTGGTTATTGCTAGTATATAATAACAGTTTGTTATTGCTGATATATAATAACACTTGGTTATTGCTGGTATATAATAACACTTGGTTATTGCTGGTATATAATAACACTTGGTTATTGCTGGTATATAATAATAACTAACATCCGTGGGTGTGTGCTATGTGTATATACTGTTCTAAGCATCTTTTCCCATATAATCTTTTTTTATTATACTTTAAGTTCTGGGGTACATGTACAGAACGTGCGGGTTTGTTACATAGGTGTACATGTGCCATGATGGTTTGCTGTACCCATCCACCCATCATCTACATTAGGTATTTCTCCTAATGCTATCCCTCCCCTAACCCACTACCCCCTAACAGGCCCTGGTGTGTGATGTTCCCCTCCCTGTGTCCATGTGTTCTCATTGTTCAGCTCCCAGTTATGAGAACATGCAGTGTTTGGTTTTCTGTTCTTGTGTTAGTTTGCTGAGAATGATGGTTTCCAGCTTCATTGATGTCCCCTTTATAGTAGAATGATTTATAATCCTTTGGGTATATACCCAGTAATGGGATTGCTAGGTCAAATGGTATTTCTGGTTCTAGATCCTTGAGGAATCGCCACACTGTCTTCCACAATGGTTGAACTAATTTATACTTCCCATATAATTTTTATAACAAGCCAATGCCTAGGTACTATTACTATTTCTGTCTTATGAAGAAGAAACAGGGCTGTAGAGAGGTTGAATAACTCACTCTGGATCACATGATTACTAGGTGGCAGAGCCAGGGGTCCACACCTGCACCCCTTTCTACTGTTGTATGCAACATGCCAGCTACCTCATCTGACCCTGGTATTAATTGTGATAGTTTTTTGGTTGAGTCTTTTGGATTTTCTAGGCAGACAATTATATTGTCTGCAAGTAATTACCATGTATAGCTTGTCTTTTTGCATGCTTCTTGTTGGGTACCTCATTTTGTGAATATTGTATCATCATTTCTCAGGAAGTCTGAACCGGTCAGTTTTTGCTTTAGTACAGGGACACCTTGCCATTTCTTTATTTTAGGAGCACATGGAACAGTTGTTTAAGGGGCCATGTAGATGGAAATCCAGTTTAGAAACTCTTCTCCCTGCAGCTCCCAACACCTTATTAAATTCAATAGGATGAATGAACTTATGTTATTCCACTGTACTGAGAGTTTTTGTTTTTTATTTCCTTATTTTTTCCCCTCTCTATTAATTCTGTGCTCCCATTGCTCAAGTTTATAAGTTTCTGATTCTTGAGTGAATCAGAAACCTCAGGCTTCCTTTTGTCTAGCCTGGGCTAGGCTCTCCTATCCTTGGTTAGGCTGACCTTGTACCCTTCGTTAAAATAGAGAATAATCATTTTGTGTTTCTCTGTAGGCATTCTCTGGCTGTAGGAATGCACTCCTCCGCAGAAACCCTGCTTTGCTGGCCCTTATTTGTTGGAGTTGCAGTTGGGGGGCAGGGAGCAAGCAGTAAGAGCTCCAGCCTCTGGACACTATCCAGAGCCTGACCTAGGCACCTACTTGCACCATCCTGCCCTGATGCACTTGGGTTGAGAGAGGGTTGCGTGTGTGTGTGTGTGTGTAGAGAATATGTGTGGTATGTGTACTGGGAGAGGTGTCCCAGACCTCTGCCAGCTGTGGCCTAATTGGGAGAAAGAGGCCAGTGGGGCACCTCCCTTCTGATCTGGAGCTTCTTGGCCTAACCTTAAGCTACTGATCAGTCCCATCACTTCAGGGCAAGGTGTACCAGGGCCATGGTTGCTAACACTAGCTGTACCAGGTCGCTCACCTTCAGGTCTGCCTGCCCTTGGCCCTGAGTCATGGACAGGAGTGTTATGTTGTCTTTTCTCTTATAAAATGTAAATAATGGCTGGGCACGGTGGCTCACGCCTATAATCCCAGCACTTTGGGAGGCCAAGGTGGGTGGATCACAAGGTCAGGAGATCAAGACCATCCTGGCTAACACGGCGAAACCCCATCTCTACTAAAAATACAAAAAATTAGCCAGGCGTGGTGGCATGCGCCTATATTCCCAGCTACTTGGGAGGCTGAGGCAGAAGAATTGCTTGAACCTGGGAGACGGAAGTTGCAGTGAGCCGAGATTGCGCCACTGCACTCCAGCCTAGGCGACAGAGCGAGACTCTGTCTCAAAAAAAAAAAAAAAAGTAAATAATGTGTTTTTCCCTTTAAAAAACAGCACATGCTCATTAAATAATATTTGGAAAATGAAGAAAATTTAAAAGAAGAAAGAATTGCTTATCATTCTACTGCCCAGACACAATCACTTTTAACATTTTAGTTTTCTTCCACTCTTTCCTTTTCTCTGCATAGGCTCTTTTTTTTAGTAGTTGTAACAGTGCTGTTTGTACCCTGCTTTTTTCTCTTATAATAGTATATCATAAGTCTCTTGCTTGTATTATTTGGGAACATCATTTAAAAGGACTGTATAATATTCCATTAAGTAGATGGACCATCATTTATTTAACATGCTTTGGTCTTTACCCCTTGAAGGCAAGGCATATCCTCCTTTCCCTATTAACCCATTATGGTTCAGTCATCCGTGAAGTTGGCTAAGCTTTTGAATTTAAATTTTCTGTCTGCACTGTCTCTTTGAGGTAATGGTATGCCAGTTGCTGTGTGAAATGAAACTTCTTTTTATTTGCTTTAAACTTTATTAATTCAAGCTTTAGCTAGGCATCTTGTTCTTATTCGGCTTTAGTTTGATAAAAAAAAAAAGTTGTGTTTATCTTCCCCTGCCTGGTCTTGCAGCTTTGGTCCTAGGGCCTCCCTTCCTTCTTTCGAAACAGATGCCACTGTGGATGGTAGGTTCCACAAGCATGGCCCTGTCCACTCATCACAGATGTGACTCGAGCAGCTTCTGGAGCTGCGCTCTAGAGGGCATTCAGGTGGATGTTTCCCCACCTGCAAGGTGGGATGTTTGCTGGACAGATAACAAGATTTGCCTGTTTTTTTCCCCTTCCCATCACATCTATTTCCTTATCCCTTTGGTGACCCAGGGTGCCCTGTTGGCTGGATCTTAGGAACTGGTTGTCTCACACTTTCACCTGCCCCCTGCCTGTGTCTTTCCCCTTCCTGACTTCTGTTGACCTCCTGTTCCCACTCTACTGGTCTCTCCCTCACAGTGCTGTCACTGCAGCTATGCTCCTGGCTTCCCCTCACCGAGTGAGTTTTTGTGACCTTCGCACTGTATTCATGCTTTGGGACTTACTGCTGTAATGATGTCAGTGGCGGAGGTTAGCAGATGGCGGCAGCAGCAATGAGACCTGACATGTTCTAATGACTCCCTCCTTCCTACCCTTGCTGGCTGAGCCAATGGAGGGACAGAGGTTTCCTTGAGGTATTTAAGGAGGGGGCCAAGGGAAATCGGGGGGCCCCCAGGTGCCAATGAGGCCTGTGACCTTTGCTGCTATAATATCAGTGTTTCACAAGCAGGGCGGTTCGGGAGCCCACTTGCAGCCCATCAAAAATTGATTTAATTGCAATTTTTCCTCCAATTAGGAGCACTGGAGCCTGACTAATTGGAGTAATAGAGAGTAATAAGGCTCAGATAAAAAGCCTTCCTCGGCTGCCTTTGTATCTCGTGTCAGTGCCTGTCAGAGGTCAGAGAGCTTGCATATTCTATTAGGCAGCCTGGCCTTCATTTGTACAAATTAGTTTACCCAACAGTAATTAAAATGCCAATGCGGGTTGAAGAGAACTGAATACACTTGATGGGCATGTTGGTGAATGATGTGACAGCTCTGGTGGCCTCCCTTGCCAAAGTGTGTCAGCCCAGGCTCAGAGGCTGCTGGGGCCTGGGCCAGCTGGGCGGCTCTAGGCCAGCCACGGGGCACAGCTGCTGAGCACGCCACTTGTGCTGCCCTGCCTCAGAGCCACTCAGTTGCTTCTTTCTTCTTCCAGGTGGAGTCATTTGTTCATTTGTCCATTCATTCATTCATTCAATCAATAAGCATTTGAGTTTTCAATATGTGTCAGGCATTATACTAGATGCTGGAGATTCAAACAAGACTAACTCTTGAAGTGTAGCCCACATGAGAACTTCTGGGCGAGGGGTGGTATAATAACTTGGGTCTGGAATCAAGACTGACTGGGTTCCAATTCCAGTCCACTAGTTGCTACCTGTGTGAGCTAGAGCAAATTAATTACCTCCCAAAGCCTCAGTCTCCTCATGTGTAAAATAGGGAAAGTGGGGCTGGGTGCGGTGGCTCATGCGTCTAATCCCAGAACTTTGCGAGGCCAAGGTAGGTGGATCACTTGAGGTCAGGAGTTCGAGACCAGCCTGGCCAACCTGGGGAAACCCTCTCTCTACTAAAAATACAAAAATTAGCCAGGCGTGGTGGTGCGCACCTGTTAACTCAGCTACTGGGGGTGCTGAGGCAGGAGAATGGCATGAACCTGGGAGATAGAGGTTGCATGAGCTGAGATTGCACCACTGCACTCCAGCCTGGGCGACAGAGCAAGACTCTGTCTCAAAAAAAAAAAGGGAAAGTGGTACCTACTGCATAGTGTTATGAGGATTACATAGGATAATGCTTTTGAAACATGTGCTCAGCACCTGGCACATAGTAAGTGCTCAGTAAATTACTAGTGTTATTAAGAGGGCCTAAGCTAATGCAGAAGCAGGAGGAATCTACCTGCCTTTCAGGCTGTCCGTGCCCAACTAATTTCCCTTCTTACCTTGCTTTCCTCTTTTCTATGTCTTGTTATTTTTAATCTCTCAACTTGAATACACAAACTCTAACTCCCTGGCATCTTCCTCTGGTGAGACAGGCCCCTATGTCTACTTCTGGAGCCTGATGATAGTCTGCATGATGCCAGGTTTGCCTGAGCTAGGGCCAGGGGACGAGTAAGGCAGGTTGAAGATCTGGTTAATGTCTGGGACAGGGTGAGAAATTATAGAAGGCTGGCTTCTGGTAAGGGCTTTCTGTTCCAAAAAGAGCTTATGGAGTCAAAATGACTTTTAGACCCTCTAGCTAAGAGGGGATATGTGTACTTGCATGAGTGTGCCTGACTGTGTGTGTTTTGATGTTAATTTTTAGGTGTTGGTACCTCTCATCTCTTACCTGGTTGTGGTGCTTATGAGGGACTTCTCACTCTCCTGATACTGTATGCCTGTGTCATGTGTCATTCAAGTTTGAGCCTTTGGTATTTGGGAATTATTCCTTTAGGAAGCAGAGGGACCAACTTCACAGTGCACATGACTAGCTTTCCCAGCTGTGTAGGCTTTGGGCTCTGGAAGGCCCTCTTAGTTCAGTTCCACAAATTTTTATTGAGTGCCTTCTCTGGGCCAGGCACTGTGCTAGACAGTACAGTACCCAAGAGCCTCTAAAGGATTCTGATCTCAAAGGGGAGATGGGAAGATAAACCAAAAATGCCATTTGTCCCATGAGTATGGAAAGGACTAGAAGGATGGTCAGCCTACCTGGGGAGCCACCAGCTCTTGCCTCTGTCTGTTCAGCACAGATTTGATGTCCTTGTCCCTGGAATACCCCTGAGGGAAGAGATGGGACTGAGGGCAAAAGCCGTTTGAATTTTCTTTCTTTTCTGAGCCGAGCTGGGTTTTTCATCACTTTCAAACCCAAAATTGAAGTTATAGCAAAGGCCTTTAGTGGGGAAAAGTCACTGAGCAATCCCTTGGGAGGAGCCACGGAGGGAATGATACACGTTTTCATTTCATTGATCTCCAAGTATTTATTGAGAGCCTTTGACACGCCTAGCACAGGAGCCAGCACCGTGAGGGATGTGACGAGAATCTGGTTGAAGACATCTCGCGGATTCAAATCGAACAGGTTATCAGAGCACAGCATTTTGTTTGGGTTAAATCACCTGGGTTAGAGAACTGAGGCCAGTGAGACTGCCTGTGATGCACAGATCCCACCCCACCAGCCCCTTTTCAAAGCACTTTATCCCGTGAGTCTCAAGGGAGGAGTCTGAGTGTGGGGGTAACAGGTCCTGTGTGCAGCCACAGTATTTTAAGTCCATTCATGGAAGCTTGGCCTTTGCTTCATATTCACTTTCTGCACAATGGGAATAATAATATCTATCTTGTGGGCTCATTGTGAGATGTGAAGCACCCTTTGGGTGCTGGAGAGTAGTGAATTCCTTTTCTTCCTCTGCTCCTTGTATCTGTTGTACCCTGAGATTGCATGTGCGCACGCCCTTTCTAATCTTCTGACTTTGAGTGTGGCTGGTCTGTAGCTTTTGCTCATTCTTCCTAATGACCATGGGAATAAGGGAGTGGGGTGGGGGGCAAGAATGGCTGCAGGTAGTGGGGAGTAGTTGAAGGTGTGCAAAACTGTGTCTGCACCCAGCCTGACCCCCAAGAGTCCTGGGCAGGCCCCATGGTTTGGGTGTGAGTCCTGGTGAGTGTTTGCTCAAAATCTGCTTGACTATTGATGGTTTTTTACTGAGTGTTAAATTTGATTAAACTCTTAAGTCCTCCTAAGTGCCAGGAAGACACTCTGCTTTCTCTCCCTCTTTTTTCTCCTTGATTCATAGTGGTTAGGTGAGAGAAAAGGGCAGCTTTTGGAAAGAAACATTTATAGATGTCACATCTAGGCAGTTAAGAAAGCACTTCACAGGAGGCTGAGCGCCAGTGGTTCACACCTGTAATCCTAGCACTTTGGGAGGCTGAGGCAGGTGGATCAACTTGAGCCCAGGAGCTCAAGACCAGCCTGGGCAACATAGTGAGACCCCTGTCTCTATTTAAAAAAAAAAAAAAAAAAAAGGCCCTGTACAGGGTATGAAGGTGAGGGGCACTCCTCCTGGTGGCAGATGATCAGGGCCAGATGTGGGTGGGCCAGAATAGAGGAGGATAGGAGTCCCTGGGAAGGGGATTTACATCCCCACACCACCCTCATCCCTGCCACTCCCACAGCTCTGATCTCCAGCAGGATTAAAGTTGCTCCCCTCTCTATTGATTTACCTTGATGCTAATTTAGGCCTGTGGCCAGTCAGAGGCCTGCCATAGGCCTTAAGAGATGCCTGGCCGGGCGCGTTGGCTCACGCCTGTAATTCCAGCACTTTCGGAGGCCAAGGTGGGCGGATCACGAGGTCAAGAAATCGAGACCAGACTGGCGAGCATGGTGAAACCCTGTCTCTACTAAATATACAAAAATTAGCTGGGTGTGGTGGTGCATGCCCGTAGTCCCAGCAACTCGGGAGGCTGAGGCAGGGGAACTGCTTGAACCCAGGAGGTGGAGGTTGCAGTGAGCCAAGATTGCACCACTGCACTCCAGCCTGGTGACAGAGGGAGATTCCTCTCAAAAAAAAAAGAGATGCCTGTGTCTGTGCTGGCGCCCTTCACCTGGCCCCCACTCCTCAAATCTGGAGAGTCCAATTGCCTGCTCGAATGATTTCCAAGTGGCTATTATGTTTCCAGCCCAAGGTAATTGGCTTTACCAGTTATTAATGGATTACCCTAAATAGAAAAATGTTTGGGGAGGGAGGAGAGGGCAACACCTCCTGACTTTGTAGTTTGGTTCTTCAGTATCCACTGGCTGCTTCCCAGGCTGGCAGTCACTTGGGGCATGGCACAGTGACTGTTTTGGCACTCCCACTCTATAGTTTAGTGGCTGCTGGCAGCCTTGAAGAAGCTAGGATGATGGGGCATGTCCCTGGAGGAAGTCTTGGCTTGAGTCATGAAAGCCCCAGGATAGCTCGTATGGCCTTTTTATCAGCCTAGGGCTGAAGAGCAGACACCTGCCCTGCAATTTTTATTGTAAATCAGTGGTTTGGCCAGTGCCTGCCCTAACATCTCCCCCATCAGCAACTGGCAGGCCAACCTCCCCACCCCAGCCAAAGCCACTGGCTTCTCCAGGGCCCTCTCTGTGGAAATCCATCTCCTCACTGACATGCTTGGGATCAGAGGAGCCACAGGTGCTGGGCTGGGCCACAGCAGATGGGCTGTTGCCCCCACATTGCTAATGTGTTATTAGTATGTCCAGTCTTCCTTCCCCCCCATGAAAGACATGCAGGGACATGGCCCATTCCTAACACCACTGCTTTCAACTTGCTTGCTTGCTGTTTAAGTTTCAAGCCCAGGTTTCCTGAAGGCTTCCCCTCTCCACCCTACCAAATCCTCTAACAAGAGTTGTCTGGCTCATAGGTTCAAGTTCTAGGCCAGCACTACAGCCAGCCTGGCCCACTGCGTGGATCCTTTATACCAGGCTTGTGCCTCCATTTAAAGTGAGACTCTGCAGATTGTATATGTTGAGGTTTTTAGGGCTCTAAAGGGACACTCTGGGCAACAGGGTCAGCCTGCTCCTTCTCGTGTGCCTCTCGGCGTTGTTTGTTATTGGCCTCAGAGGACTCTGGCGGACTCCCATCCCACTCTCCAGAAGCCCTGGCTGCCTGGCTTCTGGGGACTCCGCCCCACCTATGTAGTAGCATATACCCATCCAAGGGATTCACTCATCTTTCATATTTTTTCCTTTTCTCATTTTGGTGCCTTTATACCTGCCCTGTGCTTATACCACATTACCAGATTCCCCCAGCTCTTAAAACCTTCAGGAATGCCCCTCAGCTGCTCCTACTTCTGACCACGGGCAGCACCTTCCAGCCCCAGCAACCTGTTCCCTGGAGCCCTTTTCTGTGCCCTGCCATTGTGCTCTTGGGATTCCTAAACAGGAGCCCGACAGGCTCGCTCTCTCCTGGGCTCAAACTTGTCACGTCTAGAGATCTGTTTTTATGGTGTGCAGAGACCACTCAACCTAGTCTGTGCAGCAGGCCCAGCTGTGGCTGAGCTCGTGGGTCTTCTGGCCAGGCACCACTGGGGGCTACACCCCTCACAGTGCTCCAAGATGTCTTCCCACAGCTCCTCTGATGGCTCCCTTGGCCACTTCTCTCATTCTGGCTTAACCCACAATCCCCTAGGGAATGAGCACGGCATTTCCCATTGTTAGCCATTTCCACCACAGGTTCTGACAAGCCAGATCTGACTTTGTTCTCCTTTTGTTTGGCAGCTCTTTTGTGACAGGGACGGCTTGTTGCGGGCACTTCTCACCCCTGAGAATCTGGGACCTCAACAGGTAAGAGATTCATGAGCCCATGCTGGCTTCCAGTCCAGGAGGTGAGGGAAAGCTTGCTGAGCCAGCCTCTGCCTCAGTTGGCTGAGTGGTCCAGGAGAAGGCTGGGAAGTGGTCTAGTAGGAGGCCTCTGCTGTGGTGCCTTCTCACATGGAATCATTCAGGGTTAGCTGGAGGAGACTGCTGAAGTAATTTATAATAGGTAAATAGTTTCATGTAGAATTTATGATAACAACAACAATTTGGATTTATGATACTCTTTCTCTGAGGAATGCCTATGTGGCTATATAAAATCCCATCTATCCCCAGAGATGATTTTGCTAAAATAAAGAAATTTTGAAGGTGGCCTACGGACCTATAAAAAGAATTATACAGAACAGTGAAAATACATGCAGGTTTTATTCACAATTCTCTGCCTTGGCAGGCTTGACATATTCCCATCTGATTATCTGCCATTCTGGTTTTTTTTTTTTTTTTAACTTTCTAATTTTGAAATAATTATAGATTCACAGGAAGTTACAAAAATAAGATGGAAAGGTGTTTGTGTAACATCTTACATAATATGTAATAATCAAACCAGGAAATAGACCCTGGTACCATCCATGGACCTTTATTCAGATTGCACTCTGTGTGTGTGTGTGTGTGTGTGTGTGTGTCTGTCTGTGTCTATGTGTGTCTAGTCCTTTGCAATTGTATCACGTGTAGATTCAGATAACCATCACCACAATTGAGGTACAGAACTGTTTGTTCCATCAGCACAAAAATTCCTCATTTACCCCTTGGTAGTCACACCCATCCTTCTCCCCTCCTCCTCTTCCCATTGTCCCTGATTCCTGGCAACTTCTTATGTGTTCTCCATCTCTATAATTTTGTCATTTTGCAAATGTTACATAAATGGAATCATACAATATGTCACTTTTTGAAACTGGCTTTTTAAAAACCCAGCATAATTCCCTTGAGACCCACAGATGTTGCTGCATGTATCAATAGTGCATTCCTCTTTATTGCTGAGTAGTATTCCATGGTATGGATATACCAAAGTTTCTTTTCCCCATTGAAGGATGTTTGGGCTGTTTTCAATTTTTTGACTATTGCAACTAAAGCTATTACAACACGTACAGGTTTTTGTGTGGGCATACATTTTCATTTCTCTGGGATAAATGCCAAGGAGTACAAATGCTGTGTTGTTTGGTAAGTGTATGCTTAGTTTTTTTACCTGCCAAGCTATTTTTTGGAGTATCTTTATCATTTTACATTCCCACCACCAATGTATGAGAGATCCAATTTCTTCACATCCTCACCAGCATTTGGTATTTCACTATTTTTTTTTCTTTTTTAAAATCTATATTTATTTATGTTTTTTAGAGATACAGGTTCTCATTATATTGCCAAGGCTGGTCTTGAACTTCTGGCCTCAAGCAATCCTCCCATCTCAGCCTCCCTAGTAGCTGGGACTACAGGTGTGTGCCACCATGCCCAGCTAATTTTTTGTGTGTTTTTTGGAGATGGGTTTGCCATCGTGCCCAGGCTAGTCCTGGGCTCAAGCGATCTGTCTGCCTAGGCCTCCCAAAGTGCTAGGATTACAGGCATGAGCCATGATGCCTGGATTCACTATTTTTAAACTATTCTAAAGGTGTTATATTTCATCATGTTTTAATTTGAATTTCCCTAATAGCTAATTATGTTAATATATTGTCATGTGTTTATTTGCCATATATTTCATATATGAATATTCTCTTTGGCGAAACGTCTGTTCATGTCTTTTGCCTGCTGGATTGTTTTCTTTTAATGGAACACTTCATGTATTTGCATGTCATTCTTGCATAAGAGCCATGCCAGTCTTCTCTGTATCATTTCCATTTTGGTATATGTGCTGCCGAGGCAAGCAGTTTGCTTTTTTTTACCATTGAGTTTTGACAGTTCTTTCTGTATTCTAGATATTAGTCCTTTGTCAAATATGTGATTTGCAAATATCTACCCCCAATCTGTAGCTTGTCTTTTTTTTTTTTTTTTTTTTTTTGAGATGAAGTCTCACTATGTCGCCCAGGCTGGAGTGCAGTGGCGTGATCTCAGCTCACTGCAAGCTCTGCCTCCTGAGTTCACGCCATTCTCCTGCCTCAGACTCCCAAGTAGCTGGGACTACAGGTACCTGCCACCACACCTGGCTAATTTTTTGTATCTTTTAGTAGAGACAGGATTTCACTGTGTTAGCCAGGATGGTCTCGATCTCCTGACCTCGTGATCAGCCTGCCTCGGCCTCCCAAAGTGCTGGGATTACAGGCGTGAGCCACCGCACCCGGCTGCTTGTCTTTTTATCCTCTTAACAGGGTCTTTTGAAGAGCAAATGTTTAAAATTTTGATGGAATCTAAATTATTGACTTTTTCTTTTATTGACTGTGCCTTTGGTGTCAAGTCTAAGAACTCTTCACCTTGCCCTAGGCCCCACATGTGGTCTGTGTCTTAAATGCCACATTTGACAGCACTGGCGAAGATGCTCTTCTCACCTGCTTCCTCAGTTGCTGTAGCTTTGTCTTCTCCATTTTTCTCCATCTCTGTAGGAAAGCATTAGCCATAGCTTTTTTTTTTTTTTTTGAAAAATCCATTCTATAGTCAGTCTTTTCAAAATTTTTAAAACAACATGAGATGTTTTAATCAATGAATCATGGTTTTTTTCCTTCAACATTCTCTTTTGATAGTCATCCAAGAACAGGGATGGGAAACTCCCTACTTCCCCAAACAACCATTCCGTCTTTTGGTAGCTCTGTGAGTGAGAATGCCCACCCTTTATCATGGATTGATTTGCTCCCTGAAGCTGTGATCCTAGACAAGAGACAAGCAAGTTGAACCTCTCTCCTGAAGAACAGACTTTTAAATATCTGAAAACCTTGGTTCTGCTCTTCCAGGGCCTCCTCTTCTTCAGGCCAAAAGTTCTAGGTCCTTCAGTTGTTTCTCATTAACATAGTAGATAAGTTAGCCATAACTTATCTGTGCCTCTTGCTGTGATCTGGGGCCCTCTGAGCTTCAGTTTCCTCATTTGTAAAGTGGAAATTAATTATCCCTACCTAACAGAACTGGTATGAACAAAATTATCGTGAAAGAGTTTCCCATACAGTGCCTGTCACCTTGGAGGCATTCAACTAATGCAAGCTGTCTCTTTCCTGCTCTTCCTTCCCACCCAAACTAGTACCTCGGAGTTTGTGGAAGCTTCTTTTTTTCTTGAGAGACAGGGACTTGCTCTGTCACCCAGGCTGGAGTGCAGTGGCATCATCACGGCTCACCGCAGCCTTGAACTCCTGGGCTCAAATGGTCCTTCTGCCTCAGCCTCCCAAGTAGTTAGGACTATAGACATGCCCCACCATGCTTGGCTAACTTTTAAATTTTTTTGTAGAGACAAGGTCTCGCTATGTTGCCCAGGCTGGTCTCGAACTCGTTGGCTCAAGTGATCCTCCCACCTTGGCCTCCCAAAGTTGTGGGATTATAGGTGTAAGCCATTGTGCCTGGCTTGTGGAGGCTTTTAATTCTTAAAATATCCGTGTCTTAGTGACTAGTGGAGGCGGAGGTGAACCTGCTGAACTCCTGGCACAGGGAAGGCTCTTGACAATGGGCTGTGGGTCACAAAGATGGGCATTCTGATGAAAGTTTTTACTTGGTTACATAGCTGGGCCTTGTGTTTGGCATCATCACCTGCCTGGGCCCAGGATGACACACAAGCCGGGTGGCGGGCTGGGTACACCACTGTGACCCAGCATCATCTCAAATGTTGGGTAATCTTTGAATGGCCTCTTCTGCCTATGGTTGCCTTGGTGAAGGGTACTCTTCGGTACAGATTTATGGTCAGGATGGAGTTCTAAGGCACCATTTATTTGACTGTTATTCTCTTATGAAACCCCTAGATCTCATTAACCCCAAACACTGGGTCTTTATTGAAACCAGAATGGACTCTAATGAGAATAGGTATGAGACAGTGATTAGCCAGGCATGGTGGCTCATGCCTGGAATCCGAGCACTTTGAGAGACTGAGGCAGTAGGATCGCTTGAGCTCAGGAGTTTGAGAGTAGCCTGGGCAATATGGTGAGACCTTGTTTCTTATCAAAAAAAAATTAAAAACAGAACAAAACAAACAACTATGGCCTCAGTTCTTCCTGGAGCCTGAGAAGAAACAGCCCTGCCCGCTCTGGCCAGCCTGTGGGCTCTGCTGCTTGTGGCAGGGTTGCCCTGGGCACCACTTGGCAGTGCCTTCTCTCCAGCCCCAGGTTCATCCACTGGGAGGAACCAGGCTTTGTTTAAACATCTGTCCTGTCCCCAGAGAAGCTTGGAGGACCAAGTGGTACAGCGATTGAGGAAAGATGCCCTGGTGGAGGCATTTGCTTTTGGTGGGAGGAAATGGATGGACAGGATGACTCTCTAGAGCTGTCTTTCCCAGAGAAGCCCAAGTAGATAATAAAGCCATGTAGAAAATAGGATTAAGGTAATGAACAGGCAGGACAAAGTTTGATCTTTCAGTAACACCAAAGCCTGACTGACAGGCCAATCCGAGAGGTGGAGCAGCATTGCCGGCAGGACTTGGGGTTGGGCGGTGAGCGGTGCTGGATGGATTCTTTGCTTTTAACCTGTCACTGCTGCAACTTGAGGAGCGCCTGGATTTTCTCTTTTATGTATGTGCTGGGGCTTGGGCAGAGAGCGGGGAGTACTGGAGGGGCAGTTTGCCCTAAGCATTGCTATACCCTGGATGATGGTGGGGGCTGGGACACATTCAAAGCTGTAGCCACCCACTGGGCACCAGCGCTCCCATCAGGGGAGCCATCACCCACGTCTATGTGTGTCTCTCAGCTACTCACCCTCAGACAGCCAATGCTGCTTCTCACAGAACCTGGACCCCTTTCAGGGTCACCATTGTTCCCTCAGCCCCTCATTCCATCAAGACCACTAGAGACTGTTCTCCTTGCAGGCTGGGCTGGAACAGGGATGGAGGGGCAGTTGCTAGCTGGAGCACACAGGTCAGAAGGCAGCCACAGGCACACAGCCGTTGCCTAAATGGCAAGGAGCTTGGCTGTCCCCTTCCCCCTTCCTCTTCTTTTTTTTTTTTTTTGAGACAGAGTCTTGCTCTATTACCCAGGGTGGAGTACAGTGGTGCTATCTCGGCTCACTGCAAACTCCGCCTCCCGGGTTCACGCCATCCTCCTGCCTCAGCCTCCCGAGTAGCTGGGACTACAGGTGCCTGCCACCGCGCCTGGCTAATTTTTTGTATTTTTAGTAGAGACAGGGTTTACACCGTCTTAGCCAGGATGGTCTCGATCTCCTGACCTCGTGATCCACCTGCCTCGGCCTCCCAAAGTGCTGGGATTACAGGTGTGAGCCACTGCGCCTGGACTTTTTCTGCCTTTCTGTCTTCTGGAACTGGGTACCATGGGGTTAGGCCCAAGGACAGAGGATTACTATCTAAACGAGAAAGAGTCCTTCACCCAACCTCAAAGTGCCAGAATATTTCTGCTTCTGATGGTAGGTGGTCTTCAAGCCCATTCCCTAACTCCCAAGTGCCAGGAATTCCGGTATCTTCATCTTGATTGACCAACCACTGAAGTATCCCTAGCTAGGCCCTGTGATCCCATCAGGCCCTGAGGAACTATGCCAAAGCCATCCTGCCCGAGCCTGGAGTTTGGAGGAATCAAGGCTCATCTTGTGTTCTCTATGTTTGAGCAGGACCCTTCCTTGGCTAGGCCCCAGGGAAGGTGCCTTGTGTTGACTGTCTGGGGCCCAGCTCCTGGCAGCTGGAAGGCCCAAGTGGGTCTGACTGGCCTGACATCACAAATACCCCCTTCCTCCATGGGCTTCCTCTTGCTGTGGGTTTTTTTTTTCTGCCAAGGGGCATTTGAGATGGACCTAGCACTGGTGCCCTGAGCACAGGGCACAGCTGGGCCCCTGATAGCCTGTGGGCAGGTGGGCTTCAGGATGGAGAGCCCTTTAATCCCAGACCTGAAGGTGTCATAGTAGGTCCAGCCACAGTCACAGCCCTAAGCCCCACTGGGATTGTGGGGTGGGGAAAGGGGTGGGGAGGTGGTTGGTGACCTGGCTGCTCCTAGGGTATTGAGTCCTTGGCCAGGTCCTGTGCTGCCCTGTGTGTGTGGCAAGCCCTGCACACATCCCATTGATTCCCCTTCCCCTTTGGGCCAGGGTCATCCCTGGTCCCATGTTACACCTCCACTTCCACCTCAAAGCTCCCAAGTTCCCCTTTTCTCAACAAAGGCAGGGGCAGAATAGGCTTCTCACCCATCCTAACAGATGCCCTAGATTTTTCTCCTCTGAGCCTGTGCTCAAGCCAACCCCATGCCCAGAATACCCCCTCTGTGCCTAATGAAACCCTGCTCGCTCTTCAATATAAACAGCACCTCCACCACGAAGCTCTCCTTGATCCTGACCCCTGTGGCTGGAGTTGGTGGCCCTTTCCACTGAACACAGTGTTGGAACACTGATAAGGGCCACCTGGTCAGCCATGGCTGTGGCCTGGTAGAACTCTCCCTCTGAGCTGGGAACTGACCTTGGTATCCTGAACTGAGCACAGGATATGAGTGAGTATCAGGGCATCTAATGACATTTGGAATAAATGGTAAGGGACATTTGGCTGGAGCCCCTTCTGTCTGGAGAAGGAAGCCGTGTCCTGCACACAGGCTGGGCCACTCTGAGAGCACTGTTAGTGCCCATCCTGCCCAGGTGTGGCTTTGTCTGCCCTGGCCCTCTGCCCCCACCTTGTGCAGGGGCCTGGCCCACAGTCAGGGTGATTACGGGAACTGCCCCTCTTTAAAGTACCTCCCTTCTCCT
Source organism: Homo sapiens (assembly GCF_000001405.40). Lineage (NCBI taxonomy): Eukaryota > Metazoa > Chordata > Mammalia > Primates > Hominidae > Homo > Homo sapiens. The sequence goes on along the minus strand of NC_000010.11, from coordinate 101,617,931 downwards.
TTGAAAGCATTACTGATAGCTTTTTTTCATTCTCTTTTTTCTTTACCTCTTTAAGGAACCCTGTAATTTCTTTCTTTCTTTCTCCCCCCTTAACTTTTTCTTTCTTGTCTCCTCTGTCCCCCTGAACTCTTTGAAATTGGCTCTCTGCCTGCTGACACCAAACTGATACTTTGCGTTTCACTTCTCCTTATCCCTTTATGGCAACAGATGTTGAAATTTTGTATCCTTTTATCTACGCGGCTGCCCCTTCCTGTAATTATGGCCCCCTTGTTAGCAGTACAAAGTGGGCTGCCTGGCCTTTGAGCCATTGTGTCTGAACACATGTGCGTGGGTGGGTGCTGGGGGTGTGTGCACACAGACACATGCATGTGAGAGGCTGTATGCTTGAGAAGGCCCTTCCTTCTCACCTGATGGGGCTGAGGCAAGTGAAGCTTCCATAGCTCCTCCATTGTTAATGTTTAGAACCTATCTGTCCCCTTGATTCTCTCACTACCTCCACCAGAGGGCAAGCCTCTGGGCATCTGTGAGGTGGAAAAGCCTGCAAAGAGCTGGAAAGGGCTGGAGGTGACCCTGGGTAACTCTTGGGGCAAGTCCTGAGGATGTTGAGGGGCCAGTGATGGAGTGGCTGCATTGTCTGTGAAGGTGGGGAGTGCCACCACCCTGAAGCATATAGATCTAAGATTTACTAGGTGCGTGACCCCTGCGCCTTCATTTTCTCATCTGTAAAATGGGGTTAAGAAACTTACCTCCAAAGCCTGTTGTGAGGATTAAATGGGCTGATACGAGTAAAACACTCAGCACGTTGCCTGGTACACAGTATGGACTCAGGATATGTGAGCTGTTGCTGCGGTGGCTACTCTGCCACCAGGTAACCTAAGCAGCCGTCTCATCTGGCTCCAGCAGACACAAAGAGAACAACAGGCCCTTCAGCTTACTTCCCTCTGTTCCCGTCATCCTGAAAGCTGCTACCAGACGGGATTTCCAGGAGCTCTGCCTTTATCATGGATTCAGGCTCTGCCTTTCCTTGCTATACGACATTGTCACTTTTTGTCTGTGACTCTTGGTTTCCTTATCTACAATCGGGGCCTGGACTAGGACAATCACTGTTTGTTCAAAAGCCTCATGGCTGTCTGCCACTCACGGAGTTTGTGCCAGGTGAGGGATGTGCACCCTAAGGCCCACTGTGGCCTGGAGGCCAGACCCTGCCAGCACACTCCCAAGCCTCCAACCAAACCAGATTGCCAGCTGCCGCCAAAACAGCCTGGTTGCCCTAGTGCTGCACCTTTGTTGTTGCTGCTCCTGCCACCTGGGCCATCTCCCTATCTTGTCATTGCCTATGACAGCCCTGTCTGTCAGTGAAGAATCAGTCAACACCCCCAGCCAGAAATGCTTGCTTTTCTTAGCTGCCCCCTTGTAGAACTTTCCGTTGTTCTCTGTGGTACCTACCAACTCACATTTTGATTTGTTAGTTGGATATATGTTGCAGACTTCTTTCTCTCCCTGGATTGAATACTCCTTGAAGGCAGGGACAAAGTCTTCTTGATCAAGTCACAGCTTACATCTCCCTGTAGTTTCCATTAAGCACAATGCTTTGTATACAGAAGATGCTCGACTGAAGGAAGGAGATAGAAGGGAGGAAAAACCTCCCATTCTCTTTGCAGCCATGTTGGGCCCAGCTTATACCTTCAAGCCATCTGTCCCCTAGGCAGCAGAGATGGAAGGTGGTCAACTCTTTTGTCACCCTTCCCTCCTCTCTCTCTCTCCAAAAGCCATTGTTGCATTTCAAGGTAGCACATGGCAGACAGGTGCACAGGTAGGCACAGACTCAAACAGATGCAGGAATGAGCATCTGGGTCTCCAGAGCATAGGTCTCTGGAGCATAGGGTCTCCAGAGAACAGCATCAGGAATTCAGTATGTTAAAAATGACTGAAAAATGGTGTGGGAGCCACGGACATGCTGAGCTGTGGGTTGGGAGGTGGAGGAGGTGGTGACTCAGGAGTGCTCTAGTACAGGCGGCTGTTGGGGAGGCTGGGAGAAGTGCAGCAGGGCACCAGGCTTCCTAGCTCTGCAGACTTGGTGGGCAGGGGTAGGGTGCCAGGGACTGCCCCCTGTGCCCAGTCCAGCTTAGCACTCAGGGCCTGTCCCTGGCGGGCTATCCAGGTTTTTAGGGCCAGCCCCTACCATCAGTTAGCTGCCCCCACAAAGATGGTGATGGGTGTCAGCATTTCATGTAAATGTCCCTCCTCTCTGACTGGCAGGAAGTTCTCTCCCTCCAGCTGCAGTAGAGTCACCTGGGCAGCAGGATGGTTTGGGCCAGGGGGCCCTGACCTCTCAGGGGTGTGGCCGCACTCTGCTTGCTTCTTCTTGTCCAGGTAGTGGGGTTCCCAGGAGCAGCCTGCACACGGTCAGAGCCAAGGAAACAGGTCTCCCCCAGGTTGCCCCTCCTCAGCCTGTGTCTCATTCATCAGGCTCACACAGATGGCCCCATCTGTCTTTATGTTTCCCTGGGTGGAGAGAGAATTGCTGGACTTGACTCGGCGGAGGCTAGGGTGTGGAGGCCCCCAGCCCTTAGTGGATCCTGGAGGCCTGGGCTTTGTCCACGGGAGTTGGAAGGGAATGGACTTTTTGTCTGGCCCTCTATAGTGACAGGCTGGCCCTTGCTCCCGTCTTGGCCTGGGGCTCTGAGCAGCAGCCCTGTTCCCACACAAGCTGTGCAACAGCCAAGGCTCTGCACCCCCCTCTCGCCCCCCACAGTGAGAGGCCGAGAAGCATTCTTAACATTCTTTCCAGAGAAAAGGGGTGAAATGTCTGAATTTGGGGGGTCACCACGTTATACAAATTGCAATCTAATCGTTTTTATAAGAACACACTTGCAGTAAGAAAAGAGCCCAGGAGGAGGGGATGAGGAGACAGACAGCTTGTTTTGTCCCCTTTTCCCCCAAAGTTTGGGGCTATTGTCGGGCCAATCTCTCCCTCTACCAGAGCAGTTGAGCTAGAGTTTTCTAGTTAAATAGGTCTTGGGGTGGGGGCCGAGAAGGGCCCACGGTGCCATTTCTGTTTGTTTTCCCAAATCAAAGCCCCAGCAGGGCTCCTGTGGCACTGCTGGGTTGCTATTAGAAGAGATGGGCCTTTTCCCAGAGCCTGGCGTGTCAGTTTATGCTCTGAACTTAACCTCACGGGCACCACACAACAGAGCCTTGAGGGTCCTGGGCCCAGGGGCAAAAGAAATTGTATCTTTTCATTGGCCCATTTAAAGTGTGTGTGGCCATTTTAGAGAACCAGAGAACAGCACAGCAGAAAGAAACTTCTCAGCCCCTGCCAGGCTGTGCGGGCAGAGCAGGGGCTCTCAGGACTTGTGCTGGCCTCCAGGGCCTGGTGCTCACTGGGCCCTTGGCTCTCCCCCCGAGGGCAGGGACCCCTTGGGCTGTCCTGTATTTCTGACTGCAGATACTTACGGCCATGACATTTTCCAGTGGTGGCATGAATGCTGGGGTAGGGGCCCAGCTTGGCAGCCCAGTCTGGGTGGGCCTTTTATACTGCTGTCCCTGTGCAGCCCCATGAGTGCCCAGCTCTCCTTCCCTCTGAACCCAGGGACCAGGGTGGGCAGGTAGAGCCATGCTGGGCTTCAGTCCTCCCAACCCCCACTGCCTTTCATCTTCTATTTCAAACAAACATGAAATTACTTCTATAGATTAAAGGGGAGAGCTCCTCAATCATTCCTTAAGGCCTCACTAATGGAGGGGGCAGGGCCCCCAAATCTGGAAGAGGGAGGAGAACTGTGGAGCCAAACAGCCCCTACCCAGCATGCACCCAGTATACCTGTGAAAGAGAGAGAATGACTCCCCTACAGGGCTCTGGCCTGCCCAGGGTGGCTGAATCTTGGCTGGTGGCCCATCTGGGAAGGCAGGGCTTCTCTGGGAGCCAAGGTTAGCAGTCTCTAAGGGATGCTGATCTGGGGAGAAGGCCTTCTGCCTGATCCCTCTCAGGAGCCCCCCAACAGACAGAGGCTTGCCATCTTCTCCCCGCAGGCCCAGCTCTGGGCTACTGAGAGGAAGACCAGAACTTCCCTGAGGAGGCTGGTAGCAGGGGTGCTGCCTTGGGGATTAATTCCCCCCTGGCAGCAGCAGTGCTCCTGGCCAGGGCCCACTGCCCAGGGCTCAAAGGGGAAAGGTGGAAGGGGCAGAAAGGAACCCCCAGTCTCCTCCTTTGATTCCTTCGGCCTTCGGGAAGATGGCAGCTCTGTTGGGGAGAAGGGAGGTTGTGGGTCAGGGTCTCAGTGAGGTGGAAGGACGAGAGCTGACATCTGCATTCAGACATGTGGCTGGCTGCCTTGTCTGCCTCAAGCCCTTTGCTGACATGCTACTTGGGCCAAAAGGGCTGGTGAGCCATGAAGTCCCCTCACTCCATGCCAGGGCCTCTTACCTGGACATCCCTGTGAAGTGTCCACGGCCTTGTTTCTCCTGTCATGGCATGGGGAAAGCCCAGCGTCTCACGGGTAAAGGAAGCTAAGGCATCAGGCCTGGAGGGCGCCCCTTTTCCTTCATTTCCCCCAGTCATTCTGTGGAAACTCCATACTTGCACCCATCCCCTGGCTGCAGGGATTAGCGGGTGCACTTGATGTTGAGGGGTAGTTGCTAGGGACAGGAGGCCCCCCTACATAGTTGCTAGGGGTCTGGCATCAGGGCAAAGGGTCTGCCCACTGCCGCGGTCACGGAGGGAATTACACAGTCACAAAGAAATTGTTCTCAGTAATCTGCTCTCGGCCCCCGGGTGGGGTGAGGGTGGGGGGAGCAGGCTGGAGCCCCACAGGCTGGGGGCTGTGATCACGGAGGCGTGCTAGCCCCGGGCTGGGGGCCAGCTAGACCAGGAACACCAGGGACAGCTCGCTAAGCTGCTTTCTCAGCGATTTTTCTCCCCAGACACAAAGGTGTTTACTTGTTTTAACATCTCCTGGGACTCCCCTTCTCCCTTTGTGTGGTCTTTATCCCCAATGAGGTTTGAGCCCCAGATTACAGGCAGGAATTAAGGCATTGGACTCAGGCAGCTCAGAACTGCATGACCTGCAGGATCAAGATGTATAAAGTAACCAAGTGTGTGTGTGTGTGTGCATGTGCATGTGAATGTGAGGGGGGCCGACCCCTTCAGCAAGCCCCCCCATTCATTGTCCTGAGGAGGAGTGGCTGGGTGGGTGGCAGCCGGCACGCAGGTGTGATGGAGGGGCTGCTGAGGGCTGGGATGCTGGGGGAGGGGTGGGGCCTGGGACTGGTTGCAGAGGCCTCATGGCAGGGGTGAGGTGGGTAGGAATTGGGCATCTCCTCCCTGAGCCCCCTTCCTTGAGTCTCATTCTAGCTGAGGAAAGAGAACATTTCCCCAAGGTCTGATGCCTTCTGAAGGTGGAACGAATGTGTATGACCCACGTGGAGCAGCCTCTCACTCCGTCCTTCCCTTCCCAGTGGGCAGCTGATGACACACTTGGGCAGTGACTTTCCCCCAGGGGCTGGGGTGCTGGATGTCATGTATGAGTCCCCTTTCACACTGCTGTCCTGTGGCTATGACACCTATGTTCGCTACTGGGACCTCCGCACCAGCGTCCGGTGAGTGTGCTGGGCAGGGAGGACAGGTGGTGGGGGCCCTGCACCAATCCTGGTCCTTCCTCCAGTCCTGGGTTGGCCCATGGGAGAGGGCACAGAGACTCCATGTCAGGGCTGGGAAGGAAGAGGCCTGCAAGGTCACTAGACTTCCTACATTTGGGCAGCCCTGGTCCCAGTGGCTTGGCTATAGCCAACAGGCCTTGGCAAAGGCAGGCGTTTCCCAGAGCCTCTGGAGCCGTCAGGGTACTGTCACTCAATATTCTCTCCCAGCCTTTCTTGAGGCCTGTGTTACTTCAACCTTTCTTGAGTCCAGTGACAAGTAGCTGGCCATGTGAAAACAGAAGTGCAGGCATAATCTGCTGTGTCGTCTGGGCCATGGCGAGAGCCCTCTACAGAAGATGCTTTCTCCCATGAAGTTCGGTTTTTGATGAATCTGATGATTTAGGCTTCTTTCTCTTCCATCCCGGAATGGCTCCTTAACGCTCCCCTCAGCCACTCTAGGCCCAAGAAAGCTGGGGTAGAGGTGGAGGGTACCCTAAACCTCCCTCTGCTTCTCCTCTTCCTGGACAGGAAATGTGTCATGGAGTGGGAGGAGCCCCACGACAGCACCCTGTACTGCCTGCAGACAGATGGCAACCACCTGCTGGCCACAGGTTCCTCCTACTACGGTGTTGTACGGCTGTGGGACCGGCGTCAAAGGGCCTGCCTGCACGTAAGTGTCCTGCCCACCTCTTCTCCAGCATGCCAGGACTCATGATTATGGGCTGCATTTGGGAGAGGGTGAGGTAGCCAAGGACGTGCCTAGAAAGGGTTGGAAGAAGCCTACAATGGCACACGTCCCTCTTCCCCTGGGCCTGGGGATCCTGGGTTAGGGCACACCCATGTCCCACTTGGAAAGCTCTTACCACTTCCTGTGCCCTCCCTTCCAGGCCTTCCCGCTGACGTCGACTCCCCTCAGCAGCCCTGTGTACTGCCTGCGTCTCACCACCAAGCATCTCTATGCTGCCCTGTCTTACAACCTCCACGTCCTGGATTTTCAAAACCCATGACCGTCAGGGCCACCCCTGCCTCTGGGCCAGGGAAACCAGCTACTCAGGGACTTCTCTTGCCTGGAGGGTGCAGTGATAGCTCCTCCTCACTGCCCCACTGTGCTCCTGGGCCTGTGACCCCAGTGCTCAGGCACCTTGCACTAGAGGCTTCTGACTCCTGGGACTTTGGAGCTTACCAGAGATGCAGTCCCTCCCAGGAACCTGTTGGAGAGGCAGGACCTGCTGCTTTAGAGTGCGGCTGAACCCGGGCCTTGCGTCCCTGTTTGGCCAGAGCAAGGATCTGGCCTGGAGAGGCCCATCCTATACCCCTTATTAGAGCCATGACAGCCTACAGAGTGAGGTGAGGTGCTCCCACCTTCCCAGATGGTTCCTTTCTGCCCCTTCCTGGAAGGAAAGGTGAGGCTGCCAATAGCCTCCTGGCACCAGCCAGACCTCACCCTTGACCAACCTCTCGGGGCTGGGGGTTCATTCCTGGGGCACTGTGGCCTGGTTTTGCTTTGAAACCAAGAAAGAGCAAAGGGAACCCAGCAGTTCTGAGTGAGTTCTGAGCCAGCCCTACCTCAGGCTGGCTGTTGAGACATGCTACAATTTTCATTTTTGTAAAAATAAAGCTTGATTGTTCACAGATCTGGTTCCTCACTGGCTGAGTAGTCCTAGCAGGCTCCAGGAGAAGGGAACAGCAGACCCAAGCTCAGGGTTGTATGTGCTGCTGAAACGACAAGACCAGCCTCATGGCTCTGTGTCCCAAAGAACAAAGGTTTCTTTTTTTCAGGAAGAGTTCCCATTGATGACCTATCCCTTACCCTTTGGGGTATGGAGGGTCACCTGTGGGTTTGGAGAGGGGACTGTGGAAAGGGTACAGGCTGCTGGAAGCTCAGTTGTTGCCTGTGGTGACCCCTACCCCAACACACACCCTTGGCAAAATTATGACCCTGATTCTGGCTTTTTACCCACAATGCCTTAACATCCTGTGTTCTACTTCCAAGGTTTCTGTTTTGTTTTTTGTTTTTGTTTTTTTGTTTTGTTTTGTTTTGAGACGGAGTCTTGCTCTGTTGCCCAAGCTAGAGTGCAGTGGCATGATCTTGGCTCACTGCAACCTCCGCCTCCCAGGTTGAAGCGATTCTCCTGCCTCAGCCTCCCGAGTAGCTGGAATTACAGGCATGCGCCACCATGGCCGGCTAATTTTTGTGTTTTTAGTAGAGACAGGGTTTCACCATGTTGGCCAGGCTGGTCTTGAACTATTGACCTCAGGTGAGCCGCCCGTCTCGTCCTCCCAAAGTGCTGGGATTAAGACGTGAGCCACTGCGCCTGGCCGGTTTCTGCATTTTTAAAACTTTTCCCTTGCCCACACATCTTCAGGAGTTTCCTCTGAGCCACTTCTGCAAGCTACGGTAGCACAGGGTCCCTCCAGCCTGGTCTTCCTCTGAGTTTGTGTAAACAGGTTGCAGGGAAAGGCCAGCCCTGCCCTGCTAGGGCCATGTGCTCCCACCCTATTCTCCCTTTTTGTGGAAAGCTTTATGTTGTAGGTCTCCGGGATAGAGAAAGGAATGTCATCACACCCTCCCGAGGGAGGCCAGTGGGGTCTGGGGCCAGGCAGCATACAGAGGGGAACAAGAGGGCAGTCCCTGTGCAGTAAGTAACTCAGAATGACTTTACTCAGGAAATATGACCATGACTCACTGGCTAGGAGTGCCCCATGCCCAGTTCTTAGAGACCCTTGATAGCTCCTAGAAGACAGGAGGCTGCCGTGGTCAAGAAGGGCCAAGCCTTGAAGTCTCACGGCACCCCCTGTGGTGGAGGTATAAGGCTCAGGGGCCAACTACTGGGTCTTGCAGTCCCCATCGTTGCTGTGGGCTGTCTTCACCTTCTTTAGTTCCTTCTGTAGCTCAGACTCGGCCACCACAACCTCCTTTGGCTTCTGGTACTGTGGATGCAGCCAGGAATAAGAAAATAATTCAGTCACTGTCCCATCTCCTTCCACACACACTTGGGGCCCCTTCTCCTTCTGATCCCCTTATTTGCACGAGAAAATTGAGGCCTGTAGGATTGAATGATTTGCTCAAGGTCATGTGCCTGAGTAGGAGCAGACCTTGGACCAGAAGAACCCAAGTTCAGCAATTTCCACCGCTTCCCTTTCACCCTCTACCCTCTTCTAGCTGTGAATTATATGGTCAGGCTCCTTCCTGAGCCCCCTCCCTGCTCTCCCCCATGCTGAATTAGAGATGCCTATTCTCCCACAAGCATACCCTAGGGCTTGGGGCTAGAACTGAGGACTCTTATGGGATGGGAAGTGGGCAGGGAAAGAGGAAGACTCTCCCTGATGCAGTGTCCAAGAAGTCTGGGTGAATCTTACAGAGATGATCAGGGTGCAGTTGGCGTGGGCAAAGCTCAGCAAGGCGTCATCCAGAGGTAGCTGGTGTCTATCTAGATCAGGAATGGAGAACTTCTTGTAGTACCTGTGGGGACACCGAGAGGCCATTGGGGCACTCGGCAAGGTGACCCAACAGCCAGGCGTCAGGCCCTCTGCTGCCTAGCTTCTACCTAGTTCTTCCACACCTTCCACACACGCAGAGAGGGAGAAGGGAAACCAGTTAGAACACCAGTATTTCAGAGCTCAGTGGCCCTGGAAAGCATAGAATGCAAGCCTTATGTCCAGTCCAGTGGCAGAAGAGCAGAACCTAGTTATAATTCTGTGATTAGACCAGGGGTTGTAGTGACTCACATCTCAGAGCTGGGTCTCCCAAAGACAGGCAGAAGAAGCCTGGAACACACAAATAGCTCAAGCAGCTTGGGACTCCTCTACCCCCAAAGCCTCATGGAGACACCAGAAAAATGGGACGTGTTCTAACAAAGGACAGAGTAAGGACATTCAGATCTGTCTCCCAAAGCTGGGGCCCTACTGTTACCATTTACATGGGAGGTCCACTGAAGGCCTCAACTACCTCTTCCTCTTTTGGGGCCTTTCAAGGCCTTGTTAGCCTGGCCTTGTAGGCCAGAGGGAAAAGTATATCTACTAGGAGAAATCTCTTTGAGAGGACGAACCATGTTACTCATCACGGAAGCTGGACCTCTGGACTACTTGGCTGGCCCCAAGTCCCTACTCCTCCATTTTTACATATCACACATGGTCCTTATCATCTGCAGGTGCCGGTTCAGCGATTAATGATGCCTTTTAATTAAAAAAAAAAATAGAACAGATGGCAACACCCAGTCTGTAATGTGTATAACTAGACTTTGCAGGAAATTTGACCCCCCTTACCTAAAAGGGAACTCGGGCTCAGAGAGATGAAATATCTTGCCTTGTTTCACGGCCAGTTGTCGGTAGGGATGGGAGTCAAGATTAGAGTAAGATTCCTTGTCCTTGGTCTGATCCTTACTACACCAAAGCACAATGAATGGCCTCCTCATCTCTAACAGTACACCAATTTGGCATTTTCCTTGGTGGAAATGTGGCTTAGGCTCTGGCCAGGGGCTGCTAGACCTGTCACTTGGGCAAGGCATCACTTTCTGCTGCAGAGGTTGTATGGGCTGTGAAGGGAAACACCTCAGGCAGGTACAAACAAACTCAAGTGAGAGGCCTGGGGAGGATGGGGCTTTTAGTACTTCAGAGGGGCCTGGTCCTTGTGGTGACAGCTACCCTGAGTCCACTTCAAAAGCCCCTATGCCCTGGGGACTCAGAGAGTTGACATCAATGCAGCACTTCTGCCCCCGTCCTCCCTGCCCAAATCCCTCCGTTCAACAGAGGCTCTCGGGGCCCCTCTCCTCCCAGGTTCCCCACTCCCCACCAAGGTACTGGGACCCATGGCAGGAAAAGAATGTTTACTTAAAGGCTGACAGTTCAAAAGGAGTGGGGGCTGGGGGATCCTAATGGCATTGCAAGTTGCTTTATTTTCCAAAGCTCTGCCCCAGGGAAAGGCGATCCATCTGCCTGCAAACCGGGGATGGAATGCCTGCCTCATCCTCTTCCTAGCCAGCTCAGGCTGAGGGCTCTTCCTGGGGCCTTTGGTCTGGCCAGCAAAGGTGGCAGACACTGATAATAGGGGAGAGTCAAAGGTTAAACAGCAGAGATTAGATGAACACAAAGACTTGTTAGGAAGTGTTAACATCTTCCCTGCAAATATACACAAAAAGCAGAACCAGGAGGGAAGCAGCCCAGCAGAACCATTCCCCCAGGCTGGGGCAGTGGGACCGGAAAATGAATCCCAGGGCTTGGCCACAACAGCAAGGACAGGATCAGAGGGAACTTTAGGTGCATAGCTTGCACCTGCTTTCCTTGAACTACTCCTACCACCAGGCAAGAGGAATGGAGGCAGAGCAGGTGGAGGCTCAGCTTGGTTTTGAGTCTCTTGTAATAGATTTAGTTTATTGGTCGAGGTTAACCAACTTCTTAGAAGCTCCCGATAGGCTCAAGGGAGTAGGGAGCATCTGCCTTTTCTCCTCCTGGGGAAGCCCACCCCCTTCTCACACCCATTCCCCCAGACATAGGGTTTTTCCATGATAGGTACTGTACTTGACTTTCTCACCAGCACCTGGACAAGAGAGAGACCCACTGTGCTTCTGGAAGGGTCATAACGTTCAGCCTCAGGCAGCTGTAGGTAGGCAGCAAACATTTATTGGGCATCAACTGTGTCCCAGACCTTGAGCTGTGAGCTGGGGATTTAAGGATGAAGAAGAGGGCGGGCCTGGTGACTCATGCCTGTAATCCCAGCACTTTGGGAGGCTGAGGTGGGAGGATCACTTGAGGCCAGGAGTTCAAGACCAGCCTGGGCAACATAGCGAGACCCTGTCTCTACAAAAAATTAAAAGAAAAGGATGAAGAAGAAACAAGGCCTCCAGATGCAGTGGCTCACTTCTGTAATCCCAGCATTTTGGGAGGCCGAGGTAGGCAGATCACTTGAGGCCAGGAGTTCAAGACCAGCCTGGCCAACATGGTGAAACCCTGTCTCTACTAAAAGCACAAAACTTAGCCAGGCGTGGTAGCAGCACCTGTAGTCCTAGCTACTTGGGAGGCTGAGGCAGGAGAGTCACTTGAACCCAGGGGGCGGAGGTTGCAGTGAGCCAAGATCGTGCCACTGCACTCCAGCCTGGGCAACAGAGCCAGACTCAATCTCAAAAAAAGGAACAAGGCCATATCCCTGCTGATCAGACCTTGTTTTGTTTCTGCTAAAAGATGAACCCTTACAGCAGGATAGTTCCCTGGCTTCCTGCAGATGCCCCGCTCTCCCCCATTCCCACCTCCCTTCAATGTTCTATTTCAGCCATACAATGAAAGATGACATTTTAAGAGCTTATTCTGTGCCAGGTTCTAAACACATTTAATTGTCAAAACAACTCTCTCAGGTTGGTTACTTCTATTATCCACTTTTAAACAAAAGGAAACTGAGGCCCAGAAAAGTTAGATATCTTGCCCAACTCACAAAGCTGGTAAACAGAGAAGCCCGTATTAAAGTGAGAATTCCCCAAATCTCCTGACACCTCCATGTCTCCACATTCTCACCACAAAGTAATAGCCCGCCATAGTCTAGATTATTTGCATTTGTCCAATGATGGGGCAGATATTGAGGTGGGAGGTGGGGATGTTCAACAATGAACAGGTTGTCTCCCCTGGGGTCCGAACACTCTGCGGGTCCCCTGGGTACTCTCTCCAACACATCAGTGGCCTTCCTTTCTGAATGTCAAAAGTCTTCAAAAGATGTATGTGGAAGTAAAGGCTTGTAGCAGAACTCCTGGCCCTGCCTTGTGACCCCGGACAGGTCACTTAATTTCTGGGCCTCAGTTTCCACATTCCTTCTTCGAATAAAAGAGCTGCACTAGATGAACTTGAAGTCAATGTCAAAGGGCCCAGAACAGGCCAACTCTGTACCTGTCTTCTCCCTGTTTGACAGACGACTCCTCCATTTTGACTATTTCAGTAATGATCTATTGCCTCCCACCACTCTCTACTGTATCCCCTCCCCAATCCAGCCTTTCAACCCAAAAGGGCACCAGAGGCCAGGCCCTCAGAGGGAGAGAGACTCTGGAGGCTGAAGGCAGGAGCAGGGCTGCTGTGGACAATCACTTGGGTCATGCCTCACATACCTCAGAGGGGGTGCCATGCACACCTGCACACCGCATGGCCAGAGGGGTCCAGAGAAGCCTCCAACCAGTCCGCCTTTAGAAAAGCAGCAAGCAAATCTTCTTAAACATCAAGGCTCTGGGCAAACTTGGCACCCCCACCCACAGTCGCCCCCTGCTAGACAGTCACAATCACACACACATACTAAAGGCTCTCGGCCCCACCAAAGAGAAGCCTGTTTAATCCAGAGTTTCTTAAATTTATTTAACCACAGAATCCTTTTTTCTAGTGAAGCCTATTAACACCTCCCACAGTGTTACTATCACCGATGTCAAATCAGCCAAGCTCTCCTCAGATTCCAATTTCCAAAGAACTGTTGAGGACCTGCTTCAGGCCAGCCGTTGTGCTGGCCTGTACATATATGATTTCATCAAATTCCCCAAAATCTGTGAAGTAGCTGTGAGTCTTCTCTGATAGATGAGGAAACCTTGCCTAAATTCTACAGCTAACAGTGGCAGAGGCCAGATTTAACCCAACAACTTCTCACTCCTGCACCCTGGCTCATTCCACCTACAGCGGCCAACTTCCAGGCTGAGGCTAGGAGCCCTCTTTCTGCACAAACGTTATCAGGAATAGATGGTCCAACACTGGGATCCTGGAAAAGCACTTTTTTCCTTCCCTGATTCATCCCTCACTAATATGTGAGGCCAAGGACATGATACACTGCAATCAATTCCTTCAAGTAAAGTCACCAACCCAGCTCTTCAGAGACAAGGCAAGTATGGGTAAAGAAACTCTGGCTTTGGTTAGTAACCACATTCCAGAATATTAGAACTGGGGCAGGTTATGGAACCTCCAGGTGAAGGAAGAGGTCAAATCAGAGAGAAATGCCATGATGTGCATTTCTGAAGTGCAGATGTCTGAGTATCAGGAGAGACAGTCACTAACTTTCAGCAAGCTGGTTCATCATGCTGACTTTATATATACATTTATATAATCATCTATAACACAAGAATAAAAGTATGGATCCTGTCCACCTCCTGACAGAATGATGATCAGAAAACAGATTTTAAATGTACTATATCCTTAAAAAGCTAAACACTGTGGAAGGGAGTAGCCATTGAGTTTTTGGCTTCTGGCCAGAGGCCACACTTCCCCACCTGCCAGAATGGCCACCCTGGTCTGGGTGTGGTGGCTCATGCTTGTAATCTCAGCACTTCAGGAGGCCAAGGCAGGAGGATCACTTGAGCCCAGGATTTTGAGAGCAGCTTGGGCAAAATGGAGAGACCCTCAACGCTATAAAAAATTGTTTAAACTTGGCCAGATTGGGTGGTATGCGCCTATAGTCCCAGCTTCTCAGGAGGATGAGGCGGGAGGATCCCTTGAGCCCAGGAGTTCAAAGCTACAGTGAGCTATGATTGCAAGAAGTGGACTCTAGCCTGGGCAATAGGGCAAGACTCCATCTCTTTTTTTTTTTTTGAGATGGAGTCTCACTCTGTCACCCAGGCTGGAGTGCAATGGCATGATCTTGGCTCACTGCAACCTCTACCTCCTGGGTTCAAGCGATTCTCCTTCCTCAGCCTCCCGAGTAGCTGGGACTACAGGCATGCACCACCACGCCTGGCTAATTTTTGTATTTTTAGAGAGACAGGGTTTCGCCATGTTGGCCAGGCTGGTCTCAAACTCCTGACCTCAGATGATCCACCTGCCTTGGCTTCCCAGAGTGCTGGGATTACAGGCGTGAGCCACCGCGCCCAGCCAAGACTCCATCTCTTAAAAAAAAAATAAATAAATAAAAATAAAAATAAAAAAGAATGTCTATGCAGGCTGTAACCCCTGATGAGAAATAAATCTCTCCCTTCCAAATTAATAATAATAATAAAGGAATACCCATTGAGTTCTATATAATTAATGGGAGTAAAGGTATAAAATACATTCTTCCAGGTAGAAGGTAAAAATGCCACTAGGTTCGGGAACGATCTGGCTAAGGGTTCAGCGGCCTCTAGGTTACCTCCCAACAGAGAGACCTGAGGAGGGCAGGGATGAGCCAGGCTGGGACACTGGACCAGAGGCTCAGTGTGGGTTCCAAAGTGGGCCCTGAAACACTCCTCTGTCCTCTATGGGAATCCAACCCTCAGCCCTGCCCCTCCAGGGGCATCACTCCCATCCCACCTGGCCTCACCCATCATTTCAAAAATGTCCAACAACCCCTGCTTGCCTTGAGAGCTAGCCTGGGCCTCCAGCCATGGAGCTCCTGGCCAACAGCGCCACCTATGGCTGGATGTGCGCAGGAGATGGGACCCAGAGGATATGCTGGCAGATGAATTTTTTGGTGAGCTAGCTAGCCTCTTTCCTCACTCCCTGGTAATCACATTTCTGTCTGATATCTGTATTCGACAGTGACCTCTGGGGGACAAAAAAGAGGCAGCAGCCAGCTTCACAAAGTGCTGGGCTGCAGATTCAAGTGCTATCAGAAGCACTTTTGTTCCCAGTTTGGACCCAAGGCCTCTTCCACCAAGGAATGCTTGCTGAAGCATGGAGTTTGTTCTCCTACAGGCAATTTCTCTGTTGTCTGAAATTGCTAAATTCCACTTTAGGCAGTGACTCCTGTTAATGATGAGAACAATAACGGGAATAAACTGCCTCTTATCTGAGGGCTTCAAAGTGCTTTATAAACACAAACCCTTATTATTATGACTTTATATTTATAGACAAGGCCCACTGCAGGGGCTGCTGGCTGCATGTACAGCAATAATCCTGAAATTAATTCATCCATCTCCACCCTTTCCCCTGTCCTCTTAACCCTGCCAAAGCAATGGGATATGGGGGTCACAAGAGGATGGCAGCACCCAGGGCTGCGATGGGGGAGTCTGGGAGCTACCCTGCTTCCCTGTGGGCCTCGTGAGCCTGAGGGAGATGGAAGGGGAGACTGGCACCACATCACCTGAGGAGATGCACAAGGAGCTGTGTCCCCATTACTGCATGTAAAGCAAGAGATGGGTGGGGGCATCCCCATGAGGCATGTTGAATGGCTTCACAGCTTGCAGACAGGTAACTTATAAAACCTCCCATCTCAATGCCCAAATCTATTTTGTGGGAGTTGTCCCTAGACTGTATTCTCTCTAGCCCAGGTCAAGATTGATTCATTTCAGGGTCATTCCCTTCAGGCCTCACACAGGGCATTGTTCTCCTGTGATCAGTCAGGGCTCCAGAAACCTAAATGAGATCAATGCATTTCCAAAATGGAAATGCACTGTGGCCACCTTCTGTCCTTTCAACCCCTGCAGTTTGCCTCCCCTCTAGGGGACCACAAAGGGAAGTTGAGTACCCCTTTTGAAGCATTATGCAAGAGACTTCCAAGCGGCCCAAGCATCTGCCCCACTGTCAGTCTGGGGAGGGATTAGGTTTACTGCTGCCCAGTCTGCTTTAAACTGCTGTCAAGTACTGCTTTAAAGGACTGTCACTCCCACTTCAGACAGGGGTGCCTTCCAAGCTATGGCTCCCTGCCAGCTCTGACAGTGATGTCACCAGGCCACCCTTACCAAGGCCTGGCTCCAGTCAGGAGACCAAGGTCATAATAACCTTTCAGCAGAACCACCTGAGACCACAAGTTAATGGTCCTGTGATTTCCCTCATCATCTCATTCATTCAACAAATATTTACTGAGCCCCTATCTATGCCAGGTACTATACTAGATACTCATTCAAGTTTCTCTTCCCCGATGGAGCTGATTACATTATTCAGGCCGGTCCTGCAGAGAGGAAGCCCTTCCAATACCTGTAAGCAGAAGGGCTTCCTCTCTGCAGGACCGGCCTGAATAATGATCCTAACGCCAGATCAAACCCCACCCTACACCCCGCTCATACACAAGCACACAGGGTGCCTTCCACGCTACTCACTTCTTGTTGGTTGTTCTGACAATGATGCAGCGCTCCTTCTGGTCCACAGAGACACTATAGACATCCTTAGGATAGGGGAGGTTTCGAATCCGCCACTGGAAACTCATCTTGGTGTCCTTGCGCATGAAGATAGGCTGCAGAAGGCAAATCCAACTCGAGGACTGTTCCTGGGGAAGGGAAGGCTCCACCCTCATCAGAGCGCTACCCCGGGGCACAACAAGACCCTCAGCTCTTCTCCACTGCTCCCCTCTGACGCTGCTATTGCTACAGCACTCCAGGCCCTGAGCCCCCGCCCTGGGACGATCAAGCCAAAATGTCTGTATTCATTCAAACAAACATTTATAGAGTGCTGTGTCCAGGTGGCACACTGGAGGCGAGGAGGTGAACAAGACATGGTCCCTGCCCTCAAGAGCCAGCAGCCCACAGCCCACCCCCACCTCAGTCCGTGCAAGACACCTGGACAGATGGACGTACATTGGCATTGCTTTCCTTGATGAGTTCAGGCCCCAGGTTCCCTGCTCCTAGGGGCGCTGGGTCTCCTACTTCAAGCTGCCACTGGCCCATGGCTCCCAGGGCACTTTTCACACGCCACTTTCTCACTGGGGAGAGAAGCAAGCATCGGGATGAGAAGCAAGCATCAGGATGAGAGTGAAGAGAGGGTCTCTGCTCTTTTCTGCTGAATCACCGGCACCACACTAGGTAACTAGCACAAGATGAAAGTGGGAGTGTTGGGCCTTTACTCTCAGCTTTGTTAATCTAAGGAGGGACCTCACAACTTCTGAAATTTCAGTAGAGCATTTCAACATTAGACAACCCTCAAAGCGCATCTCATGGGTGCTCAGGCAAAAGGAACTGGAATGAAGCTCTGAGAAGAGCCAAGTGGAGTCAAGAAACCCTCAGGTGTGGCTTCAAGCAAGGAGAAGATGTGAAGATTAGGAAAAGGGTTGTTTCTGGTAATGGAGAAAATTTGGATCCCAAAAAGGAGTTGAAGCACACTTTTTCCCTCAAAAACATGCAGAGGAAAAAATAATTAAGAGGGTGAAAGCTGTTCGGCAGGTCTGTATCATGATTCAGAAAGTCCAAATATAGAAATTCACTCTTTTCAGGTATACCTTGCTTAAAAAAAAAGAAAAAAGCAAAAACAAAAAAACGCTCCAAAGCTGCATTTAAACAAAATCGTAGGCACATGCCATATTTTAAATGCACGGTTTATAAAAGATCTAATGTGAATTTTTTGTAAAAGGGAATCCTTCTAGAATGCAAATAACCATCTCTATTTTACCTTGTTTCATAACCCAGATGCTTGCATAAGATTTTAAGGCACATATATTATGAAAATTATAAATCAAGAAACTAGTTGAATGGACTACCTGAAAACCCCTGCTGAGATTTTCATTTTCAGGAACCATGCGGTCCATCACTGCAGGGGGATCTTTTCTGAGCCATGACCTCCTATCCCCCAGTTCCTTTCCCTTCCTGCTGCATTTGGAATCCGGGGCTGCCCACTATGGTATCCTCCAGCCTGAGGAGCCCAGCTGGTGCTAAAGACCAGCAGCCTCTGTAGCTGTTTAAGGAGCTAAACAACTCAAAAAGTGCACAGTACTCAGTTACAGTTGTTTCTGTTTGTGTCTTTTTCCAGGTAGGAGTTGAGAGCTACAGTCAGGTTCTCAGCACTAGGCAGCCGGCGGTTTTACTTTAGACCTTTTGAGCAGCTGTGTCAAATCCAAACGCCCTCACCGGTATAAGTAAGGCACACAAGCTGAACACAAAAGTGTGCTGTAAAATTAGAATTTTCCCTTAAATATGTGCTTTTATAAGGTCTGCTGCATTCTGCAGTGTGATTTTATTACCTCTTAGGGCCAAAAATTCTCCCTAGAAACACATTTCCAAGTTTATAATGAAAATTAATAAGGAAGAGTAAAACTTGGAAATATGCTTTATAGGCAACTTTTTTCCCCCACAAATACTTCTCTCTTAAGTGAACGGACTGTGACCAGGAGTATATCCAAATCTATTCAGTGTTAATACCTCACTTCACTGGAAGCAGCCTTCTGGGGGCCTCTGACACAGTTGCAAACTCAGAAGTGACAAATGCCTCCGAGCAGCAGCTTATTGTGAAAAGATCCATGTACCCTACTCTATACTATAGGAAAGATCACTCTCAGATTCTCGCTCAGACTAGGTATAAAATGCTGTGTGTAGAATAAGGCAGGAAATTACTTTTTTTCTCAGGCATATTGACAATGGTATCGGGGACAACTCACACTGGACGGCAGTGTCAGAACCACATAAACACTTGGGACCATTTAGTGTAAGGGCAAACAAGCACCCTTAGACTCCAATGGTGCCACTTTATAATAGAACACAACCATCACAGATTTTAAAGGTGGAAGTTCCTTTAGAAAGCATCTACTCCAGGCCGGGCGTGGTGGCTCATGCCTGTAATCCCAGCACTTTGGGAGGCCAAGGCGGGCGGATCACCTGAGGGAGTTCGAGACCAGCCTGGCCAACATGGAGAAACCCCGTCTCTACTAAAAATAAAACATTAGCTGGGTGTGGTGGCACACGCCTGTAGTCCCAGCTACTGGGGAGGCTGAGGCAGGAGAATCGCTTGAACCTGGGAGGTGGAGGCTGTGGTGAGCTGAGATTGTGCCATTGCACTCCAGCCTGGGCAACAAGAGTGAAACTCCGTCTCAAAAAAAAAAAAAAAAAAAAAAAAAAAAAAGAAAGCATCTACCCAATGTCTGTATTTTTAAAATGAGAAATAGCATTTTTTCCCTGACTGCTCTCTTTCAACCCTTGCCACTACTCTCTAGGAAACAGACTATGAAGAATTACTGAGGCTCAAGGAGACAATCTTACAAATGCCACGGCTAAACTCCAGGTCTCCTAACTCCAAATCCAGAATTTGAATTATTAATAAAACTTTATTCTGAAAGTGTTCAATAAGCACATGTAATATTTTGAAAGGTTTCTGTTTTTTTTTAAGTAGCTCAATTTATTTTTTATATTTGGCCTTTAAAGGGTAAGCTTTGATTATCTGAAAAAGTAAATTATGAGGACTACCTCACGACCTAGGGCTGGATAAGTGAGGTGCCCCTGTAAGTCATGGGCCTTGCTAAAATGGGTGTCCTAATGCATAATAATGCACCAAGGTGGCCTGGAGGGACGACAACCACCCCAGGGTTTTCTGTGCACTTTTACTCCAAAAAATTTTGAGTTTTACACAGAAAACTTCCCAAGAAGTACTCAAAGAAGGAAGAAAGTCAGCTGCTGATTTCCTTACTTCTGACCTTAAAAACCACTCAGGGAACTTGACACCTCTGGCTGCTTCACCTTTATTTTTTGTTTAAACACCTTGAGAATTAAATTCTTTGTTAGAATGTAGAAGAAAGTCTCCTTTCCCATTCCCTCTAGAGATAAGACCCAATAAAAGATTTTGGGGAAGTCCTTCTTATTTTTCCTATGCACAAGTGCATGGGTGTGAACACACATGTACAAATGCACACTTTGTCTTGTCTTTCTTGCCCCCGTCTTTGTTTCTGAACTCAAGGACGGCTCCTGCGGCAACAGAAGACTGTTTCCATCTGCTGTCACTCTGATTTGATTATATGTTAAACCCAAACTGGTGTGAGGCAGCTTCCCGGGACGCTGTCATATCTTCCCAGCTGAGCCCCAGCCAGACCTTGGAAAAGAGACTTTCCACCCCGGTGAAGAGTCTGATGGGGAATATATAAAGGAGGTGGCGCCTGGGGGCTTTTTCCTAAATCAGCAGGAAGCAGGCTGATGTCCCAGACTGCTGAAAGGAGGCCCCATCTTTCAGGTGGGCTGGAAAGTAGAAGTCCTAAAGGCCTCTTTCCCCAAAGCTCCAAACCCTGGCCCACTTCCAATGTGGATAATTACATTCCCCTTCCCTAAATGTTCCCTGCAGCTTCAACTGGATGCAGGATTCTTCTTTTCTGCCTTAAAACACTGCAACATTGCTATGTGGCAATTAAACAGCTGCCATGTCCCATCCCAGAGGAGGCCGAAGGGAATCGAGTGGGTCATTTATAAAGCCAGTGAAGTGCTTGGGGATGAAAGTGCTCAATATCCTCCAAATGCAGCCTGGGGTGGTTAGGCTGGCGGTCAAATACCAAAGCAGATTAAGTCGGTAATCCGAATGTAATCGCTGGGGGATGGCCTGCCCTTCAGCCTCAGCCCCCTTGGACATGCTGTGTTCTTCTCAGGCTGGTTTGATGTTCCGATCATTGTTGTGGGGCCTTCAGTTTTTTCCTCTATGAATACATGCAGCAATCATTGTGGGGGGTGGGAATGAATAGCACTGAGAGGGTAGGAAAAAAACAGGACACTAACATGCTTATTAACACCGACGGGAGGAACTCTGTCCCAGACTGACGCACACCTATTGGCAATTCTTCCTCTGTAAATTACTTTGAATTTTTCTAACAGAAAACTGGTTTGGCTAATTATCAAATTTGTATACTTAGCTAGAAAAATGGAAACTATTCCTATTTATTGCCACAAAAACCATGTCCCTACTTTACTTCATAGAATGCACAAGCAAAAGCCAGCTCAACCCCTGGGATTATTTATACTTAAAAATTAATAATGGAGAGTATTTTGCCAGGGCAGCAGTGGTGGATAGGAAGAAGAGTAAGAAAAAGATCTGCTGTTCTAGAGCTGGGCCCAGTGGCTCAAGTGAGGTCCTCCTGTCTGCCCATCAGTCCACACTCAGGCCTTTCTGGGGAAAGAAAAACAGTAAGAAGAAAAGAAAGTTGGATTTAAGTGTTCTCAACTCCCAGCACTATGTTGTTGAGGACTAAAGCATGGGCTCTTAATTGGACAGAACTAGGCTTAAATCCTGGCTTAGAAACTAGCTACATAATTCTCAACAAGGTGCTTAACCTCTTTGAGCTTCCATTTTTTCCAAATGTAAAATGGAGACAAGAGTATCTACCTCATAGGGCTTTAACGAGGACGAGTAAATGAGGTAATTCACGTAGAGCACTTAGCATGGTGCCCAGTAAGAGTCACGCTATTAATATCATTATTAGGTCAACTTTAGCCAAACAGTGTTCTCCTGTGAACAGTCTTCTCCATTTCTGCTTTTAAGAAAGAGGAGTTTGGAAGCCATGGTCTATTCCCCACCTGCCACTAGGAGAAGTGACAGGTTAATAAGGGATATCAGGGCACATGGTGCTACAAATGAAGAAACCTGGACTTGTTTTTAATTTCAGTTTCATATCCAAGCACAACAAAGAGGCCTGGGTTTTATTTGTTTGTTTTTACAGCCGCAGCAGCTATAGCTGTTTTATTTGCTCTGTGTGGAGGAGTAGAGAAGTGGCACGGGGGGCTGGGAGTGAGGAGCTGCGGCTATTCTCTGGCCTGGTTATGGTGGTGGCTAGTCCACGTGACCTCTGCTTTCATAAGTTCTCCCCTGTTAGGCATTCCAAGGCTGTCATCCCCTGGGAGCACTATAAATTACAATGCATTGTGAGGATATTACTACTGTATTGGTTTCCACCGAATCAGTGTCATATGCTAAACACATCAAGATTTTTAATAGCACCAGACTAAACCAACTGGGACTGGAGCCCAAGCAGCTCATAATAAGGAGGGATCAACACTTCACTGTGCGACTGAACATGCGCAGGACAAACATTTTAAGACTGGAGACTGAGGGAATGCAAGCCCGTGTAATCCATGTTGTCGGTTCTAGACATTTATGAGCTGTCAGAAAAAAGGAAAAAGAAATTCCCTCACCAATACTACCTGTCGATCAGGCCCAGGAAGAAATTAAAGCCAAGAATAATGACAAGAAAATAAACCAGCCTGTGATTCCATCATTGGTCTTAGCATTTCAGATGGAACTTAATAAAGAGACCAACTCCCACTGCTGACAGCCTTGGGCCCTGGGTCAAAGAGCCAGCCACCTAGCTCTGGGAAGCTGGTTAATGCTGATGTGCACACCTGGGAACAGAGTGGACAAATCAAATAATTCCCAGAAATCTGAGCTGGAGCCCCTACCCATGAGCCTGTTCTTAGAGGAAAGGCGCTGCAGGAATGAAAGTGACCACGCTGCAAAATCACTGTTTTGACCCTCTTTGACTGAGATGTTCTTCAAAATAAGGACCATATTTTATAGTGTTGCCTTTGAGGCAAGCTCAGAAGCTCTGCCTCTGATACTCGCTTGCTCCTGGTGTGGCTTTAGAAAACAAAACAAACAAACAAAAAAACAAGGAAAAACAAATTGTGAAAGTCTGCCCTTATCCCTCCTAAACCTACAAGGCTCACTTCCAATACCACCTCCTCTGTAAAGTTTTTTCCCAACTGTTTCTCTACATCTTAGAATTACTCCCTCTCTCATTTGTCTGGGGTGAGGGGTGGGGATGAATTTTACTGGTCAAAAGGACTCGCATTCCACTTTTGGTGCCCAGATTATGCTCAGGAACGTTGTTGTCTCGAGGGCTTCCGTCTCTCCCAGCCTCTACATTTGATCTGGGCTCCTACCTCAAGCCTAAGGCTAGGAGTGTTCATTGTGCTTATGTCAGCCCCAAGTATTACTAAAGGCCCACTGGGAGCCTCTGTCACTTACCAAGTAGTTCACTCGTCTTCTCGTCATATTCTTCAGCCATTTCCTTGCCGTCTGGGAATAAATAGTGAACCTTCCTTCTCCCTATGCACAAAACAGAGAATGCCTTACCTCAAAGTCTCCCCTTGCCCTGTCCCTTGCAGATCAAGGGGCCTACCTGGGAAACAGTGCCAGCCTTGGGAGTACTGAGGAACCCAGCCAGGACCTCCCCAAACTCCTTGCCAACCACCACCCACCATTACTTTAAAACGTGTCCTGAGACTCTCTCCCTTTCTGAAGCTTTCCTTGAACATCTTTGCCCTGCTGTTTCCTCTACCAGCAACAGCTCCATATTTTTTCCTATCTGTGGAACTCTTCTTTGCCCTTCAAAATCCAGCTCAAATGTCACTTCCACTGGGAAGTCTTCCTCCACTATCACCTCCAGCCACTTTGGTAGGATTAATCACATCCTCATGTGTGCCTCCCTAATGTTTTACTCGTATCCATAGTGGAGCATTTACTACATACCATGATACTTTTAAAAGCATTTGTCTTCCCATGAATGACATCGTATTTATCTCTCTATGTGTTCAGGACATTGAATTGGGTTTCCTGACCAAGCACTCCCTCTAGCCATGCCAGTGCCCTGCCTTCTTCTGCATATCTCCAGGCCATTCCTATCACACAGTAACACAATGTTAAGTCCCCATGTATTTTCTTCATGGCACTTAATTTGGTTATGATTTTACATCTTTTTATGTGACTCTTTGATTACTGCCTATCTCTTCTACTAGATAGGAGGGGTTTTATCCCCATGCTATGGTTTCCTAAAGACCAAGTGTGGCTCCTGGCATATACTAGGAGCTCAACTAAATACTGATTGAAAGGATGAATAAACACTGATGCACTATCCGTTGAAAGAACAGAAGAAACTAAGGGAGGCCAGGAGTTCAAGACCAGCCTGGCCAACATGGTGAAACCCCATCTCTACTAAAAATACAAAAAAGTTAGCTGGGCATGGTGGTAGGTGCCTGTAGTCCCAGCTACTCAGGAGTCTGAGGCAGGAGAATTGCTTGAACCCGGGAGGCGGAGGTTTCAGTGAGCTGAGATTGTGCCACTGCACTCCAGCCTGGGCAACAGAGTGAGACTCTGTCTAAAAAAAAAGAAGAAGAAGAAACTAAGGGAGTCTCCTAGCCCAATTCCTCTACCCCTGGAGCATTTGCTTAAGAGTGGCTATGTAATTTCCCCTTTCTTTTTATAGGTAGGGAAGTAGATACAGGCAGACTCCTCAGTAAAACTAGTAACAGAGCACTAACATCCAGTAGACAAGTACCCTATGTATGCTTGATGAATAAGAGCCCCAAGGTGCCTTTTTCCTGTCCAATTCACTTCTCTGGGATACAGTTCCCTTGAGCCATTCCTAATCTGTATTCTGCATAAACTCACCCCTAAATTTGCAGGGCCTCTAGCAGAGCCCTAGGTAATACCACCCTTAATCATTTGGATGGCTCACAGGCATTAGAAAGGGCTCTCCTGTCAGGAGCGGGATCCAAGGTACTGCCTGGGAGGAGCTGAGGGGGTCTTGCCTGACCATCTTCTCCCCTTGGCATCCAGCCTTGAGTCCAGGCAGGATGCAGCGCTTACTAAATCCAGGCATTTCACATGTCTTATCAAATTTAATTCTCACAATAATCCTATGTGTTTTCATTACCTGTATTTCATAGATGAGGAAAAGTGAGGGTTTTTTTTTTTGACAGAGTCTCGCTCTGTCGCCAGGCTGGAGTGCAGTGGTGTGATCTCGGCTCACTGCAACCTCTGCCTCCCGGGTTTAAGCAATTCTCCTGCCTCAGCCTCCTGAGTAGCTGGGACTACAGGTGAATGCTACCACACCCAGCTAATTTTTGTATTTTTAGTAGACACAGGGCTTCACCATTTTGGCTAGGATGGTTTCAATCTCCTGAGCTCGTGATCTGCCCATCTCAGCCTCCCAAAGGGCTGGGATTACAGGCATGAGCCACCACGCCCGGCCAACTGAGGCTTTTTTTTAGAGTGTCTTGCTCTGTTGCCAAGGCTGGAGTGCAGTGGTGTGATCTCGGCTCACTGCAACCTCTGCCTCCTGGGCTCAAGTGATCCTCCACCTCAGACTCCCGAGTAGCTGGGACCATGGTTGCACACCACCATGCCCAGCTAATTTTTAAATTTCTTTGTAGAGATGGGGTCTTACTATGTTACCCAGACTGATCTCAAACTCCTGAGCTCAAGTGATCCTCCTGCCTTGGCCTCTCAAAGTGTTGAGAATACAGGTGTGAGCCACCACGCCTGGCCCTTAACTTTGTTTAAAGTGGGTTTTCCCAAACAAGTGTTTTTGTTTTTTAAGAGTGTCTGGCTATGTTCCCTAGGCTGGAGTGCAGTGGCTATTCACAGGCATGATTATAGCACACTACAGCCTCAAACTTCTGGCCTCAAGTGAGCTTCCTGCCTCAGTTTCCCCAGTAGCTGGGATTACAGGTACCCAACACAGGTGTTTAGTTTTTATAAAGCCAACTATATATTTTCTTTCTTTGTGGTTACTGCCTTAGAAGTTGCACTCAGAGCATCTTCCCTTACCCAATGATTATTCGATACTTATCTATACTTTGTTTTAATAGTATATTTATTCTAGAAATAAATGTATATATAAATTATTAAGTATATTAGTATATTTTTGTAAAAGAAAAATAACTGTGAGTGTATGCATGAAATAATATAGAAGTTTATGTATAAAAATATAAATTATGGGCTGGGCGAGGCGGCTCACGCCTGTAATCTCAGCCCTTTGGGAAGCCGATGCAGGCGGATCACCTAAGGTCTGGAGTTTGAGACCAGCCTGGTTAACATGGTGAAACCCTGTCTCTACTAAAAATTAAAAAAAAAATTAGCCGGGCTTGGTGGCGGGCGCCTATAATCCCAGCTACTCAGGAGACTGAGATAGGAGAATCGCTTGAACCCAGCAGGCAAAGGTTGCAGTGCGCCGAGATTGCGCCATTGCACTCCAGTTTGGGCAACAAGAGTGAAACTTGTCTCAAAAAAAAAAGTAAATTATGATTATCTGGGTGGTAATATTATATTTGACTTCTTTATTTTTCATATTTCCACAATGAATGTAATTATTTCTTAAAAAAACAAAAGTAAAATGGAGTCTCATTATCCAGCCCAAGATATCAATAGCCATGATTCTTGGTGGAAGGGAGTAACCTCCCCCCTACTCCCCACACCCCTCCTACACACCCAGGGGTAAATCTGCAGGTTTGACAAGGCTTAACCACATATGCAATACTGAGTTGTTTTTCAGTCTGGGGATAGGGTGGAATCTTAACAATATCATTTTGTGATGCTACTAACAAAAGAACTTAACAAAATCCTGGCTGATAAAATATTTGTTTAAAAACTTCTGTGACCAAAAACAGTGAAAGCAGGGACTCAAGTGGATATTTGTATACTCATGTTCAGAGCAGCATTATCCACAATACCCAAAAGGTGGAAGCAACCCAGGTGTCCATCAACAGATGAATAAATAAACAGAATGCAGTGTAGACATACAATGGATATCACTCAGCCTTAAAAAGGAGCAAAATTTTGACACATGCTACAATATCCATACCTCTGTGCCCACCTCTTCCAGGCACAGCCCTTGGTCCTTGCTCTATCTCCCCTAAAAACACAGGGAACATTTAGAGGTTTACTTTATGAACGATATTACAGCTGGAAAGGATCCAAACAAGTAAAGGGGCCAACTAGAGATCCTGTGGTGAATTAATGGCACAGCTGGAAGTATCCAACTGTGGCAACATGGATGAACCTTGAAGCGTTACACTAAGTGAAATACACCAGTTACAGAAAGACAAATATTGTATGATTCCACTTAGACGAGGTTCCTAGAGCAGTCAAATTCATAGACAGAAAGTAGAATGGTGGTTGCCAGGGGATGGGAGGAGGAGGGAATGAGGAGTTGGCATTTGGTGGGTACAGAATTTCACTTGAGCTGAGTGTAGTGGCACATGCCTGTAGTCCCAGCTATTCAAGAGGCTGAGGTGGGAGGACTACATGAGCCTAGGAGTTCAAGGCTGCAGTGAGCTATGATCGTACCCCACAGCCTGGGTGACAGAGCAAGACCCTGTCTCTAAAAAAAAAAAAAAAAAAAGAATTTCCGTTGAGAAAGATTAAAAAGTTCTGAAGATGGTGGTGATAGTTGCACAACAATGTGAATGTACTTAATGCCACAGAACTGTACACTTAAAAATGATTAAAATGCTAAATTCTGTTATGTATTTATTACCACAATAAAAACAAAAACCACTGTCCTATGAGAAAATGTCCTAAATCTTTAGCAAGGCATAAGAGATCTATCACAATATGTCCCAACTTATCTGTCATCTCTCTTCATTTTCCACAACTTCCCCTCATTGCTCCTTGAGAAAAGGGACCTTTTTATTCTCGCTTCCATCCTGGCACCTAGAATAGTACCTGACATAGTTATAGGTGGTTTGTTCTGACTGAGTGACTGCTTTAACATTACTAAACATTTTGTTATTCCTCTAGTAATCAGGCACGTACCTTCACACCTTCACATAGGGTCCTTATATGTGAGTTGTTCTTTGAATAGCTATCCCCTCTTCTTCACTCAGCAAACGCCTATTAATTCTTTTTTTTTTTTTTTTTTCCAGTTTTTTTGAGACAGGGTCTCGCTCTGTCGCCCAAGCTGGAGTGCACTGGCATGATCTCGGCTCACTGCTGCGTCTACCTCGCTGGCTCAAGCGATCCTCTGGCCTCAGCCACCACAAGTAGCTGGGACTACAGGCATGTGCCATGATGCACGGCTTATTTATTTTTTTGTCTGAGACACAGTCTCACTCACTCTGTCACCCAGGCTGGAATGCAGTGGTGTGATCTCAGTTCACTGCAACCTCCATCTCCCGGGTTCAAGCGATTCTCCTGCCTCAGCCTCCAGAGTAGCTGGAATTACGGGTGCGCACCACCACACCTGGCTAATTTTTTTGTATTTTTAGTAGCGATGGGGTGGTTTCATCATGTTGGCTAGGCTGGTCTCGAACTCCTGGCCTCAAGGGATCCGCCCACTCGGCCTCCCAACATGCTGGGATTACAGGCGTGAACCACCACATCCGGCCATAATTTCCGTATTTTTTGTAGAGATGAGGTTTGGCCATGTTGCCCAAGCTGGTCTCGAACTCCTGAGCTCAAATGATCCGCCCACTTTGGCCTCCCAGAGTGCTGGAATTACGGGCGTGAGCCACTGTGCCTGACCTTATTAATTCTTTAGGACCCAGAAACATCATCACTTCTGTTGGGTCTTCCTCCAAAGAGATGTCACTTACACCTTCACTCTTTCCTACCATTTTATACAAGACTACAACCTCTATTTAACGCTTCTTATTATTTAAGTACATGTTTTTCCCAACCACTCTGAGTCCTGGGACAACATATCTTTTTCTTTCTGTTCTAGTTTAGAGCTTGGCACATAGTAAAAGTCTTCCTAAATGTTGCACGAACGAGTAAATGATTTTAATTTCCACAAACTCCAGGCTTCCCTGATTGGCCCCTGCCTGTGAACATGAGTCACCAGTTGTTATCTTGAAAGCCTCAGGAACTTCAGACGCAATTCATCCTGGCTACCCAGTGGGTCCAGAAAGGACCCAAGTGCACAAAGGGGCCGGCATCGGCCAATCCTAGGGTGGGGAAAAGTTAGGTATCCATGCCCCTGTGCCCACTTCTTCCAGGCACAGCCCTTGGTTCTTGCTCTAGCTCCCCTAAAGACACAGAAAATATTTAGAAGTTCACTTAACAAAAATATTACAGCTGGAAAGGACCTCAGAGATAACAATGGTAGTCCATCCACTTCATTTTATAGATGAGGAAAGTGAGGCCCAAACAAGTAAAGGAGCCGACTGAAGCGCCCGTGGTGAATTAATGGCACAGTCGGAACTAGAGCCCAGGCCTCTCTCCTCTCTAAAGTCTAAAACATTCTTGGATTTCAGTTTCCTCTTCTGTAAAACGGGGTGAAAATTAGCCTCTCAGGACAGTGGTGAGGAGCAAATGAGATAATGAATGTAAAAGAAATTACTATATTAGCAACAGAAATCAGAGCGGAGCGAGATGGTGTAGAGGAATCTAAGGGGTGTCCGGAGACATGTGTTCCAGTCATGTCATCTCTGTGAACCTCAGTCTCCTCATCTGCAAATGCAGGACCTGGCCCGGCTGACCGCCGAGACCCTTCCAGCTCTGCCGACCCAGGCCCTGAGGCCCTTCCCGGAGGGCCGGACCCTGAGGGAAAAAAACGAAGGAGCCCGTGGGGACCCTCGAGTTACCGTCCTGCAGCAGCGCAGTCTTCTGGGCTGTCCGCAGACTCTCCAACCAGCCCGTCACCGCCATCTTTCCCCTGCTAAGCAGCACGCCCAGCCGCTGCCATGGCAACCGTTCCAGAGGGTCACTTCCGGCTGACTCGGAAGCTATTCTGGCCATTTGCCCTCCTTCCCCCCTTCGTCCGCTCTCATTGGCTCTGCTGGTAAGTGGTCTATTCCTGCCCACCCCCGGGTGACTAGCTTGGCCAGTAGTCGACCCCACCCGGGGACCGACTCTGGGGGTTGGAGAGACTCTTGGGGCCGGGGTCGGGCACTCCAGCTTTCTTCTAGCCCCGAGCTGGGATTCCCTGGCCTGCGCCAGCTGCGTACACGGCGAGTACACCGCACCTGCCCGGGACTTCACCCGCAGCTGCGAGACTCCTCCATTCCCGGAGGGCTCCCCACACCTGCTGCGGCCGTGCCCCATCTCCCCGCAGCTGCGGCGCTGAGCACCCCCATGTCGAGAGGCTGAGACCAGGACAGGTGCAGGGCGTTCCCACTCACCCCCGAAAGTCCTCCTCCTTCCTCTGCGAGTCTGTGTTGGAGGTAGAGAAATAGTATGTGGGGTTTATGTGCAGGTCCTCCCCAGGCTCCGCTCCATCCCCTAAAGCTCCATTTCCTAGCCCAGCATCCCATTTGGTAAAGCCCTTCGAAGTGGGCCGCAGCAGGGCTGTGCTGAATCTTTAGCGCAACCCCTCTGAGGAATGGTGTCGTTTCCTACTCCTCAAAAGTACCCCCGATGGCACCAGCCTTCCCCTCATTTCCCGTAATACTCCAACTTCGAAAGGCTGGGGAGTGTGAAGCTAGGCTAAACCACTGAAGTTTAACCGGGTTTGAAGAGACCCCCTCCCCCGACCCGCTTCCCCAAACTGGGCTGCTACCCCCAAAGCCTGGTCAGGAAAGACCCTACCTCCATAGGCAAAGGGGTTGGAGGGCCTCAATTCTGGATTTCCACGTGCAGCAGCCCTGACCAACGCTCCAATAGGCCGGGATCCAGCCATACTTCAATGGATCCCAGGGGTATCTTGAAGGCATTTCCCAAGCGGCAGAAAATTCATGCTGATGCATCATCAAAAGTACTTGCAAAGATTCCTAGGAGGGAAGAGGGAGAAGAAGCAGAAGGTGAGCTGACCCAGTCTCAGAACCCTCGTGTGCTTGAACCCACAGCCTTCATGTGCTTCAGCCCTACGTTGTTTATGTCCAGAATCAGATATTGGAGCTGACTCTGCCTGTCCAGGGCCTGCAGGTCTGTTTGTATCTACCTTGTGCTAAGCTTGGTCCTGGGTCTTGGACAGGCTATTTGCTGTGTTACCTTCTTTTCTACCCGAAGACCTCTATCCATCAGAAAAGACTCCCTGGGCCCTCAGGGAATGACCAGTATAATTTTTGCCCTGAGGACTGGGACAGAAACCCCCCTCCATTACCCAGGCTTGTTGTTAGTTGTTTTGCAGCCAAATTGGCAAATAAATGGCAGAGGCTTTGGAGGCAGGGTTGTCGGGTCTGTCAGACTGTAAGGGCAAGAAACGCGCTTTGTTGAAAGAATAAATGATAAAGGATTCAAAGTATGGAGAGAGGCTGGGCGCGGTGGCTCTTGCCTGTAATCTCAGCACTTTGGGAGGCCGAGGCAGGCAGATCACCTGTGCTCAGGAGTTCGAGACCAGCTTGGGCAACATGGCGAAACCCTGTCTCTACTAAAAATACAAAAAATTAGCCAGGCATGGTGGCACACGCCGGTAATCCCAGCTACTCGGGAGGCTGAGGCATGAGAATCGCTTGAACTCGGGAGATGGAGGTTGCAGTGAGCCAAGACGATGCCACTGTACTCCAGCCTGGGCGACAGAGTGAGACTGTCTCCAAACAAAAACAAAACAAAAGAAAACAAAACAAACAAACAAAAAACAAAGTAAGAAGGGAGGAGGCATTCATTAAACAAATATTTACAGGTTACTTACAATGTGCCAGACACTTCTAGATTGCACCAAGGAACAGGACGTATGAAAATCCTTGTCCCTTACATTCAAGTGCTGGCCTGTGAGAAAATTTGCTATATGTAGAAGGAAAGCTGTCTGGATGGAAGGGAAATGCTTATTTTCAGGGTAGGGGACTGTGAACACGTCATTCAGATCATGTTAGAAGTTATGTCGTGGCCAGGGGGTGGCAGATAAAAATTAAAAAGTTACAACAGTAGTCATCTGGATGTTCCTTCCACAGAGTGGCTGAGCTCCCTTCGGGCCCATGTTGTGCGCACTGGCATTGGACGAGCCCGGGCAGAACTCTTTGAGAAGCAGATTGTTCAGCATGGCGGCCAGCTATGCCCTGCCCAGGGCCCAGGTGTCACTCACATTGTGGTGGATGAAGGCATGGACTATGAGCGAGCCCTCCGCCTTCTCAGACTACCCCAGCTGCCCCCGGGTGCTCAGCTGGTGAAGTCAGCCTGGCTGAGCTTGTGCCTTCAGGAGAGGAGGCTGGTGGATGTAGCTGGATTCAGCATCTTCATCCCCAGTAGGTGGGCTGATCCCAGTCTTTTTTTCAAATGTTTTCTAGTAGCATCTTGAGCTCTTTTCTTGAATTATTAAAAATAACTATCATTAATTAAAAAATTAGCCAGGCATGGTGGGGTGTGCCTGTAGTCCCAGCTATAAGAGGTTTAGGTGGGAGGATTGATTGAGCCAGGGAGGTTAAGGCTGCAGTGAGCCTTGATCGTACCACTGTACTCCAGCCTGGGTGACAGAGCAAGACCCTGTCTCAAGAGAAACTCCAAAAACCTCAAAAAACTCGTTTTCTTAATTGGACACACTGGGAAACCAAGTATTTCAGAGTACAGAAGGACTGGGGACAGATACAGGGTGAGACCTTTGGTGTCTTAACCTCCCATCACCATCCCCACAGGTACTTGGACCATCCACAGCCCAGCAAGGCAGAGCAGGATGCTTCTATTCCTCCTGGCACCCATGAGGCCCTGCTTCAGACAGCCCTTTCTCCTCCTCCTCCTCCCACCAGGCCTGTGTCTCCTCCCCAAAAGGCAAAAGAGGCACCAAACACCCAAGCCCAGGTCAGGAGCCTCCCATCCCTCAGAACTCCCTTCCCCTAGGAAGCAGATCACAGAAATGGGGTGGGCCTGGTGGCTGTTCAGAAAGTCCCAGGCCCCTGAGAGAGGAGGGCTCTATTGTGAAGCCATTTAGCTCTTCCCAACACTCATCACTGCTGCATTTATCTAGGCCATATCTAACACATACCACTGGGGATCCTAGGGCTAGGCACTGCGTGGAGCCAAAGGGAACGTGGCCTCACACCCAAGGAGATCCAAGTCTGATGCAGAAGGCCCCGCCTCATTCTTAGGTCTGACTAGAAGACCCTCCCCCCGCACAAAGAAGATGACCCCCACCTTTAAGGATCCCTTCTCTTGGAGAACAAGAATTTATTGTTTTCTTTTCTTCTCTATCCCAAGCCCATCTCTGATGATGAAGCCAGTGATGGGGAAGAAACCCAGGTTAGTGCAGCTGATCTGGAAGCCCTCATCAGTGGCCACTACCCCACCTCCCTTGAGGGAGATTGTGAGCCTAGCCCAGCCCCTGCTGTCCTGGATAAGTGGGTCTGTGCACAGCCCTCAAGCCAGAAGGCGACCAATCACAACCTCCATATCACAGAGAAGCTGGAAGTTCTGGCCAAAGCCTACAGTGTTCAGGGAGACAAGTGGAGGGCCCTGGGCTATGCCAAGGCCATCAATGCCCTCAAGAGCTTCCATAAGCCTGTCACCTCGTACCAGGTACCCAGGGGCTAGAGTGGGAGGAGGGGTCTTTACTGGCCAGTGGTTAGTAACCCCAGTGGGGTTCAGGTACAGTGGTGAAGATTTTATGGGGTCTAGGACTTGCACAAAAGAAAAAAAAGGAAAATTGATGAAAGCAGATTGGCAAAATCTTGATAGTTGTTGAAGCTGGGAGATGTACGATACTTGGGGGTTATATGGATCTCTCTACTTTTGAATTTTTTAACATAATTAAAAGTTTTTTATTTTTAATTTTGTTTATTTATTTATTTATTCATTTATTTAGCAGAGATGGTGTTTTGCCGTGTTACCCAGGCTGGTCTTGAACTCCTGGGCTCAAGCAATCTACCCTCGGCTCAGCCCTGCAAAGTGCTGGGATTACAGCCATGAGCCCTTGTGTCCCGCCTAAAAAGTTGTTTAAAAGAAGTTTGGACTCTGAAGCCTAACAGACCAGGGTTTGAACTCTGGTTCCTGTCATTCACTAACTGTGTGACTCCAGACAAGTTACTTAAACTCTCAAAGCATCAGTTTTCTCATTAGTAAAAAGGGGCTACTATTAAATGAAATGGTCCCTGTAGCACAGGACCTGACATAGAGTAAGCCCTCAGTAAATGTTAGCTCTTGCTGTTGGAATGATGATGATGGTGGTGGTGGTGGTGGTGACTAATATCATCATTATTTTCTACTTCTTACTGCTGGTCTCCATCCTTCTGGGAACCAAAAGACAAATTACCCAGCCCTCATTCTATCCAAAATTCTCATCTTCAACTACACCCAAGCTTTACACAGCCACACAGTTGCCAAGCAGCCAGGCTGGCTTTTATGTCAGCATCTGCTAGAGGAGTCAGCTTCCTTTCCACTGGCTCTACCTCTTCCATCTCCTCACTCTTCTTTCTTGCCTCTGCCTCCTCCTCCTCTAGGAGGCCTGCAGTATCCCTGGGATTGGGAAGCGGATGGCTGAGAAAATCATAGAGATCCTGGAGAGCGGGCATTTGCGGAAGCTGGACCATATCAGTGAGAGCGTGCCTGTCTTGGAGCTCTTCTCCAACATCTGGGGAGCTGGGACCAAGACTGCCCAGATGTGGTACCAACAGGTCACACCCTGGCTCAGCCCCTACTTCAGTTTTGCTGTGTCTCAGAGTTCCTGCCCCAGATGTGTGCTGTGCTCTGCCCCAGATCCCTATGCTGTGCTCTGATGGGAATGCACCCACAGTATAGGGAGACCATTTTTCAAGCGGACCAGGACTCATATAGACCCCTCAGCTCCCAGAACAGCCTTGTTGCTTGGTATCCTTAAGAAGGAGTAGACAGGGACAAGAAGTATGTTTCTCAGTCTCCCCAGACCAGCAAGGGCCTTCCTGAGGAGGCCAGGCCTTGACACTGCGTGTCTAGAGCAGTGGTTCCCAATCCTGGCTCTGCCCACAATCACCAGGGCAGCTTGGTAAGGATGAAGATGACAAGGTCCATCCTCAGACTGATGGAATCATGAACGAGCATCTTAGGATAGTGGCAGGGCTGGATGATGGCATGTTTCCCATGCTCCCTGCCTTTCCCAAGTCCTGCTGAGTACAGACCCAACTGCCCCTAGGTTGGTCCTGCCTCTAGCCTTCCCTAGAGTCTGGGGCGATGGAAGCCTTGTGTGTGTGCTCACTCATGCCTCTTCATTGGTCCTGGATCCTTACAGCTTCCCATCTGGCTGCTTTTTTCCAGGGCTTCCGAAGTCTGGAAGACATCCGCAGCCAGGCCTCCCTGACAACCCAGCAGGCCATCGGCCTGAAGCATTACAGTGACTTCCTGGAACGTATGCCCAGGGAGGAGGCTACAGAGATTGAGCAGACAGTAAGCAGGTGTCCCAGAGCAGTGAGGACAGCCAGGTCCTGCTGTAAGGTCTTGGGTCAAAGCCAAGAACCCCCAACTCCTCAGCTGGGGAGGACAGCAGGCAGAGGAAACTGTGGATCACCAGAGGTTGAGCACAGAGCAAGTTAAGACTGAAGCTCCAGGCCCAGAGGTGGGGGTGGGGAGCTTTGGGAGGAAAGAGCTGTAACACCAGCCCTCTAGATTCTGGTTCTCAGTAGTCAGGCCTATTAGGATTGGATTCAATTCTAGACTGATTGGTGTTAGGATTGGGTTAATGTTAGGGTTAGATTACAGGTGAATTATATCTGTACTGAGGTTAGGGTGGGTCAGGGCAGAGGGTTTTAATATTTTATTTTATCTTTTTTTTTTATTTCACCAACTTCTTTGAGAACCTGATGAAAACTGTGGACTGTTTTCTCCCCAAAATGCACAAATGTGCAAAGGTTTATGTCTTTTTCCAGATGTATGGACCTTCTAAAGCCCACGCAAGGCTGGCTCAGGATTTGGGGTAGAGTTGGTGTAAAAGCACAGTGTCAGTAGGATTTGGTTTGGGGCTGGAAGAAAGCTCCATCAAGATGGAGTTAAGACCAGGCACAGTGGCTTATGCCTTTAATCCCAGCACATTGGGAGAACAGGGTGGACAGATCATCTGAGCTCAGGAGCTCGAGACCAGCCTGGCCAACGTGGTGAAACCCTGTCTCTATAAAACATACAAAAATTTCCAGCCTGGCAAACATGGCGAAACCCCGTCTCTACTAAAAATACAAAAAAGTTAGGCGGGTGCCGTGGCTCATGCCTATAATCCCAGTTTCTTGGGAGGCTGAGGTGGGAGATTTGCTTGAACCTGGGAGGCGGAGGTTGCAGCGAGCCAAGATTGTGCCACTGCACTCTAGCCTGGGCAACAGAGCAAGACTCTGTCTGAAAAAAAAAAAAAGATTGAGTTAAAGTTAGGCTTTAATTAGGCGTAGGATTTTCTTAATGTTGGTTGCTTTTAAGTTAAGATTTGTAGTTGTCCAAGAAATAAGATTTGGGTTTGGTTTAGAGTTGGGTTAGCGATTAGGTTCATGTAAAAGCTAGATTAGAGAGACACTGGACTGCATTTAGGGCTAGATGTATCATTTGTTCAATGGGCATTAGGATTAGGAGCTGCTTGTAATAGGCAAGTTTTGCTCACTTTGGTCAGGGATTCTGATAGAGTGGGATCCCATGGAGACTGGCCTAGTTTGATTGAAATCAGCCCCCAGCTCCATTCCAGGCCACAAGGCTATGAGGCCGGTATGAGATGGATGGACAGGCCTCTTTGTCTGCCCATCACCAGGCCTTGGTGCTAGTGATGACACCGTCACTCAGCCATGGTGTCCGGGCATGGAGAATGCCTCAGTCAGTACCCAGCCCATTGGAACAAAAGAGGCTTCCCACCTGGCCTCCTGTGCCCCCATTTAAGGGCTCCAGCCATAGGAGTTTTGATGGGATTACTCACGTGGACCTCCTCCTTCCATTCTCTTGGGAGGCTCAAGAAGGGAGTAAGGGGATTAGCGGAGCCCTCCTGTCAGGATACTTGAGGTGTCCGGGGCCCCAGAATTTTCAGTGTCCTGGGGTGGAGGCAGGAGGCCATCTGCATATGAAAGAACCTCAGTGTCTCAGGGGTGGAGGCTAATGGGTTTATTTTTCCTCAGAGGGACAATCCTTCAGCTGGCAGTTGCTGTCTCAGCTCCCTCCCCACCAAGAAAGGATGTGGGTGTTGGCTCAGAACTGCCCCCTCTTTGCTTTCTTTCCTCTCCTTTCCCACAGGTGCAGCTGTATTTCTGTGCTCCACTTTCTCCTGGGCCTGGGCCTGGCGCATGCTGCCAGCCACCTGCTCAGTCCTCAAACCCCAGCTCACATATTCCAAACCTTTAGCTCCAAATCAGTAGATATCTGGGGCTGCCTAGACCTGGCTGAGGGCTTTCAGCACCTGGCCCCTTGTCCTAAGTGGAGTTTCACAGACCTGGGCACGTGGGCTGGGGCAGGGGCAGAGAGAGTCTGTGTCTCCCTACTCTTAAAGAGCTCCACAGGGCAAGCTCAGTGCCCACTCTCAGAAG
This sequence comes from Homo sapiens, assembly GCF_000001405.40. Taxonomy (NCBI): domain Eukaryota; kingdom Metazoa; phylum Chordata; class Mammalia; order Primates; family Hominidae; genus Homo; species Homo sapiens. Next base: position 101,580,663 of record NC_000010.11, on the reverse strand, counting down.
CAGAGCCGGCACCTTCTCCCGTCTCTCCTCAGGCTTGCCTCCTGCACAGTGAGCTTTTTCTTCTCTCCTGTCCTAGCGAAGGGAAAGAACAGCAGCTCCTCAGGGTGGATTCCCCTGGGCTTGCAGCAGGCATCTGGAATGGGCATAAGCTGAGGGTGTGGGCCCGAGTCTGGGAAGGCCCTTGTACTGCTGTGGGAGAGGAGCTCCCCACGCACAGCCCCTCACCTGTCACCGCTCTCTTTCCCAGGTCCAGAAAGCAGCCCAGGCCTTTAACTCTGGGCTGCTGTGTGTGGCATGTGGTTCATACCGACGGGGAAAGGCGACCTGTGGTGATGTCGACGTGCTCATCACTCACCCAGATGGCCGGTCCCACCGGGGTATCTTCAGCCGCCTCCTTGACAGTCTTCGGCAGGAAGGTATAAGCTCCATCTCTGGGTGAGCAGGTTGACAGAGGGCAGCACAGGTCTGGGGGCCCCCTCAGAGGGAGAACCTCAGAAGTTCCAGTCCTGAGGCAGGAAGCAGGGGAACAGTGCTTTGCCAGCATCCCATCTCTCTATCGGGGCCGGAATCCTCTCCAGGGAGAGATGGAACAGCCCCGCCACACCTATGTGGAGGTGCTCAGTGAACCCTGCAGGCCAAGTATCTCATCTGATCTTTCTGTGACACTATGGGGGAGATGGGAATTACTATCCATGTTTTACAGAAAAGGAGAAGGGCCCAGAGAGGGTAGTGTCACCCAGCTAATACCTGGGCAAGCCCCAGCTTAGACATCAGGAGAGACCTGGGAGGATGGGACAGCCCAGGCCTGGTTCCCTGCCCTCCCAGCAGTCCCCTCTGTTGGGCCAGGGTTCCTCACAGATGACTTGGTGAGCCAAGAGGAGAATGGTCAGCAACAGAAGTACTTGGGGGTGTGCCGGCTCCCAGGGCCAGGGCGGCGGCACCGGCGCCTGGACATCATCGTGGTGCCCTATAGCGAGTTTGCCTGTGCCCTGCTCTACTTCACCGGCTCTGCACACTTCAACCGCTCCATGCGAGCCCTGGCCAAAACCAAGGGCATGAGTCTGTCAGAACATGCCCTCAGCACTGCTGTGGTCCGGAACACCCATGGCTGCAAGGTGGGGCCTGGCCGAGTGCTGCCCACTCCCACTGAGAAGGATGTCTTCAGGCTCTTAGGCCTCCCCTACCGAGAACCTGCTGAGCGGGACTGGTGACCCATGGCTGGGGGTGCTGAGGAGAGCCGAGTTGGACTGGCTACCCCTCCTGGCCACCCAGTACTCCCTCCAGCCTCAGCTGGCTGAACCTCGCCGCTCCAACCACCAGCTTCCTCAGCGAGCAGGGCCCAGGGCTCTGGGCCTGAAGCAAGAGCCAGCCCGGCTCCCAGTGTCTGCCCGGCTCCCAGTGTCTGCCCAGCCCTCTCCCAGACAGGAGCAGGCTGCCACCCCTTCTACCTCACCACTGCCCCTCGAAGAATTTTGCAAATGGCCCCTTGCCCCATTTTAAGCAGGAGCAGGTGGCTGGTTTGAAGCCCCAGGTATCCCCCTTCCCTGCTATGGGAAAGGCCAAGCTGCTGGGTGGGGACAGAAGCTGCAGGGGAGAGGGAAGCAGCCGTGCTGTCAACATCATCCGGCACCCTCTGGGGTAGGAGAACAGCCATTCCACATGTGTTCCCTCTATCCGTCCTGCTTCCTGGGCAGCTGGTGGTGCTGGGAATGGGGTGCCCCAGCCTTGGTGAGGACAGTGTTGGGAGGCCCAGGGGCCCAGTAAAGTGCATTTGACATTGAACCTGCCTGGTGTCTGAGCTGCTGCAGCCTCTGGCTACCTTGTTCCACCCAGGCAGGGACGACAGAGATGGGAACTGAAAAGAGGAGCCCAGAAAGGCTGTGTTAACTGCCCTCCAGACAGGACTGGCCTGAGTCAGCTCCTAAACTCACAGCAAGGACAGCAGTGGCTGTGACCAGGGAGAATGTTGGAGCCAGGCACCCAGAGCTCCTATCTAGTCATCAGCATCTTCTGCAGGCCCTACCTTAGACCAGGCTATCAGGGGACATGAGCAAAAGTGACAAGACTCAGGAAACCATTAGGAACAACTAAATGGTGACCGTGTACACAGGGATGGGCGGCCAGGGAAGGCTTCCCGGAGGAGGAGAGAGGCAGACTGGCAGGGAAATTGCCTCTGAGAGGAGTCAGCAGGCTCTGTTTGGGGACAATTAAGGAACAGCTTTAGAGAGGACACTGTGTGCTGGGAGTCAGGAGCAGGCTGGGCTGGCAGAGGACTGGAAGCAGAGCTTGGTTTGATAGAGCAGACAGGAGCAGGTCCCGCTGGGGAGTGCGGGATGTCTTCCTGAGGCTGTTTCACAGGGCAGGGAGACTTGGTGGGGGAGTGGGGTCATGGAAGGAGCTTCAGGCAGCCCAAGTATGAGGAGGAGTGGGCACAGAGTCAGAAGGAGACTGTATTGGAGGAGGAGCCTGGAGAGGCCCCATGCTGGGAGTTGGGTGGTGACGCGTGAGGGCAGCTTTGGCTCCACAGGGGGATCCCACCTTGAGTGTGCTGGGTGGGCTACATTTCTGTTGGTAACTTGCAGAGTCCCGGAGCCAGCCTTTGTCTGCCTGGTCTCGATCATGGGATCCTAGCAGCCTGGGAGTAGGCCCCCCAACTCAAGCTCATACCCCTGAAGTGTAAGTCAGGGGGTCTTCCCAGCACTGATCATGTTGGGAAAGGAATCAGAAGCCCACAGGACCTGGAGGGCCCTTTCGCAGCTCAGCACCAACCCAAGAGATGGCCAATCAAAAGCCCAGAAGCCTTCTAGAGGGGCGAGCCTCTCCCCTGAGAGTGTCTACTGCCAGGGACACATGGCTGCCAAGAGCCACAGTGGGGGCCTGGGTAGATAGGAGAGGGGCTGGGGAAAGCCTGGGCCCCCGGGTGTGAAGGCTTGCTTTTGGTCCCACTCTGGACTGGTCCCTCAGTGCCTGCTGCTGTCCCCAGCAAGAGTTGGAGTCAGCAGAAGTCCAAAGATGCGTGTCTGGGTCCAAATGTGGAAGTTGCTTCTCTCCTTTTGCCGCAGCCTGCTCCAGGCCCAAGGAACAGGACCTCCAGGGCTGGGGGTGGAGGGAACCAGTGTGCAGCAGGCCATAGAGTAGCTCGCCCAAGTTTTCCTACACACAGGGAGGTCCCAGAACTGCAGGGAGGGATGCCGCTTACTTCTTTGTCTGAAATCAGGGTCTGACCTCCATTCTTGACATCCCTCCCCATCTGCCTTAACTCCTTCCCCCAGGAGACTCAGAATTCAGAGACTGCCTTGAAACCATGCAGACTCTTGGTCCCACCTCCTGGCCAGGGCAACACAAAGTCGTGGGATAAAGAGGGAGCATGCCCCACCTCCAGTGACCCATCTGGGTGTCCCTTCAGCTGCCCAGTCTGACACAGAAGCCCAGGAGAAGAGCCACTGAGGCAGAGGAGCTAATGGAGGGATTTCTGAGTCTTGAGAAAGGCTGCCCAGTTTGGAGGTAAAATGAGGTGAAATGAGGTTCTCTGAGTCCAAGTAAGCAAGGAATATGAATATTGGGGGTTCCCAGGCACTTTAGCGCTGAACCAGGTTCTCGAACAGGCTTTCAGCCCAGTCTCCCATTCATCCTGAATGGAGAGAGACTCCATTTCAGGGCCCTGGTGGTAACTGGGGTCCTGTCCAGCAGCTGAGCACCCCGCACACCTACCACCCAGTCACCACCTGGCCTGGAGTAGGCAGAGAGACCCCACAAGCCTGCTCCCTGCTCCAGCCCAGTTCTTCATCACTCTGTCCCTGAGCCAGGGTTGTCCTTGGACAGGCCACGTGTGGCAGGCAGAATAATGGTCCACTGAAGATGTCCATGTCTTAATCCCTGGAACCTGTGAATATGTCACCTTAGTTGGCTAGAGGGACTTTGCAGTTGTGATGAAGCTTAAGCATTTTGAGATGAGGTGATTATGCTGAGTAATCCTGTGGGCCCAGTGTAAACATGAGTTCTTAAGAGCTACAGTCAGGGCCGGGTGTGGTGGCTGACGCCTGTAATCCCAACACTTTGCGAGGCCAAGGCGGGTTGATTGCTTGAGCCTGGGAGTTTGAGACCAGCCTGGTCAACATGGCAAAACCCCATCTCTACCAAAAAAAAAAAAAAAAAAATTCAAAAGTTAGCTAGGCATGGCCAGACCTAGTGGTGCCTATAATCCCAGCTACTTGGGAGGCTGAAGTGGGAGGATCACCTGAGCCTGGGAGGCAGAGGTGCAGAGGTTCCAATGAGCTGAGATTACACCACTGCACTCCAGCCTGAGTTGTAACAGAGTGAGACCCTGTCTCAAAAAAAAAAAAAAAAAAAAAAAAAGCTACAATCTACAATCAAAGAGAGACTTGACGAGGAAAGGTCAGAGAGATGCGAAGTTTCTGGCTTTGAAGATGGGGAAAGGTCTCCAGCCAAGTGTGAGCAGCCTCTAAGAGTCAGAGAAGCCAAGGAACAGCTTCTACTCTAGAGCCTCCAGAAGGATGGCAGCTCTGCTGATGTCTGGCCTTATCTCAGGGAGCCCTGTTGGATTTTGAGCTGGTGGAACTGTGAGATAATGACTGTGGTGTTTAAGCCAGTAAGTTGGTGTAATTTGTTAATGTGACTGCAGAAACCCAATAGACCGAGTGCGTGTTGGGCTCTCCCTGTACAAAGGCAGAGGGACAGCAAGTGTGAGCAGGCCCTGCTGTGAGGTAGAGGGCATCCTCTGAAGTGTGTGGGGAAGGGGGAGCCTCACATGAGCCCAGGGCTGCCACATGTTCAGTCTGAGCCTCCCTAATTTCAGTTTCTTCTTGACACTGTGCAAGATGCAAGTCCCCGCTGGGCTGCTCTGCCCCACCCCTACTGAGCTTGGAGCTTCATCTTTTCCCAGGGCCTGGGGTGGGGACCTCAGTCTTGACCTTAGACCTACACTAAAAGGGGAGCAAGACAGGCCCCGGCCTTTCCTCCTGGGTTCCAGCTGCTCACAAGGCAGACGTGGGCACCGGGAAAGGGGAGCGAGACAGGCCCTGGCCTTTCCTCCTGGGTTCCAGCTGCTCACAGGGCAGGTGTGGGCATGGGACAGGGGCTTCCCAGGCATCACCTGGAGTGGGCATGACAAGGTAGGCAAGTCTAGCTGTGTCCCATCCTACAGTTCCAATGGCTGGGAAAGGCAAACCCAGGCCCATTGTCTTGCTTCTCCAGGAGAATCATGGAATTACTCTCCCTTTAAATGGAATGGGATGCCTCTTGCCAGGATGGAGGACTGTGGCTTGGAGAAGACTTGGGCTCCCCAAACAGGGGCGCCCCTTTCCAGGCCCTCCCCTGTTATCTGAGGGAGTGGCCTCCCATGCAAGTTACTGCTGTTGGGGCACCTGCTGCTACCAGGCTTGCAGGCCTTGATGGGCTCAGCCGCAGGTGCCTTTGGCCTTATGTCTGCTCTGCCCTTAGTTTTCCAGAACTCTTGAGCCACTGGGGAGTACTGCTTCTGAGCTCTGGAACTGGGGAGTCCTCAGGGATGAAGTCCCAAACTGGCCTGAGGCTCTGTTCGGCAAGACCTGGTCCCCACACTGCAGGGAACATCCCTGAAGAAGGCCCCAGGCCTGGAGATGAAGCAAGGCCCCAGGGGCTGAGGGGCCATGGGTAGGGGCCCGAGGTTGCCCCTGGAGGGCAGTACGGACCCCAGGGAAGGCAGGCTACTGGCCGTTGCTTGAGTGGAGCCTCTTAGCAATGGTGGCACCTTTGCCCTGCTGGACTCAGCCTGGCCCTGATGGAGCAGGCCCAGAGCCCCAGACACAGCGCACCTCCCCCATCCTTTGCTCCGGTTCCCTCAGCTGGGTGGTTGTTGTTGTGTGTGTAGTGCCCCTGCATATGTGTGTTCATGTTCCACTGCAGGGGCATGTGTGTGCCTAATGCACATTCCCGGCCCCTGCGTCTGTGCTGTATGTTCATGATTTTGTATCTGAGTGTGTGTGTGCTCAACCCTGGGCATGTGACCGTGTGGCCCTGTCTGTTTAGGTCTTGGTGGAGGCCCTGCGTTGTTAAGGGCTCAGGCAAGGCCTTGGGTAGAAGGAGGTGGGGGGTCCCTGGAAGTCCCCAGTGGTGCTGGAGTCCCTACTGCAGGTGGAGTCCTGGCTGGGCCCCCGGACCCTGTGTCCTCGTGTCCATGGAGGAGGCCGCAGGGTGGGCCGCCTGCGTCAGCCTTGAGCGGCCATCAATAGCGCGCGGTTAATTAATTTGATGGGAACAGCAGGGACCGCCGTTTGCATTTAGTGAAGTTCCAGGAACTTCCAACCTCATCTTCATAATTGGCCTCATAAATTGTAAGAAAGAGAGAGATCAGCAAAGCGGGAGGGAGGAGGGGCTGCCCGTCCGTCCTTATTTAATTTTATTGCTGAAATTCATCTTTTTAGCCTCCTCCGCCGGAATCGGCTCTCCCTGCCGGATTTGCCTAATCATGATAAATTAATATTCATTTCCCCGCCTCTTACCCAGCTCCCGCGCTTGGATGGAGTTGGGGAGGGGCTCCTTCCAGCCCCCTCTGCTGGGCCTTGGTGGGAGCCTGGGGGAATGGGGACCCCTGAAGGGCAGCTTGTAGGCAGAACTGAAAGTGGCACCTGGGGAGGGTAGGAGGGGCCTGGGAGAAAGATGAGGAGTGAAGCAGGTGGGGCTGGATGATTGGGACTCTCAGAGGGCCTAGGATGCTGAAGTCAATGCCCCTTGTCCAGCTAGGGCCAGGTGGGAGGGGCAGGAGGAGCCTGAGAAGGCCCTTTTGGAGATGCAGAAGCTGAGATCAGGACTGATGAGATGGATCTGGGAGAGGAGCCTGGAAACCAGCTTGAGTGGAGAGGTAGGAGGGTTGTTGCCCACCCAACATGGACTTTGCCCCACCCCACTCCCAAGTACATCCAGCCCACCTTGCCCTGTGCAGGCTCCATAATAGACCCATCATGGTCTATGGGGCCTCACAGGCACTGTGGTCTCTGGCTACAGAAGCAGCCTCTCCACTTGCCCACAGCTCAGCTCAGCGGGGGAGCTGGCCGCCTTATGCTGGGCACCTTTGCTGTGCTGTGTGGCTGTCACCGATCCTGCTGTCCCTAGCAAGGCCCTGTGGGAGGTTGGGATGGGGGTGCTGCTGGAGGGCAACACAGTCCTGCTCTTCCATGGTCAGTGGGGCCCCCCAGTCAAGGGATCTGAATTCCCCATCCCCTGTGTCACAGTTAGTATTTGGGACCTGGGAGGAATTTTAGATGCCATCCAGCCCCCTTACCCCATTTATAAAAGAGGAAACTGAGGCCCAGAGATGGGATATGCCCTGGTTCAAGGTCTCTCAGAGGTCAGGAGGGCTGGACCTAGGAGTAAGGCATGCTTCCACCCCACCCCAGAAGCTAAGTGTGCTGGGCAGGATTCAAAGGATCACCCCCAGTTATCTTTGCCTTTGGATTATCTCCCGTTTGAGTGTGGGTATGACTGTGATGAGGTGTCACTCATGTGGTCATGTCACATTATACGGCAAAAGGACCTAGTCTAATCACATGAACTCTTTAAAAGCAAAGAGCTTTCTCTGGCTGGTAGCAGAAGGGCAGTCAGAGAGATTTGAAGCAGGAGAAAGGCCAGAGAGCATCCTTGAAAAGCAGCCCTGGCTGACAGCCAGCAGGGAAACAGTCCTACAGCCACAAGGAACTGAATTCCACCAGCAACAAGAATGTGTGTGGATGCAGCCTTTCCCAGAGCCACCAGCGAAGAGCCCAGGCTGGCAACACCTGGATTTCAGCCTTGTGGGACCCTAAGCAGAGAACTGGGCTGAGCCTGCTCAGACTGCTGACCTACAGCACTGTGAGATCATAAGTTGGTGTTGGTTTAAGGGGCAGAGTTTGTGATAATCTGTTATGCAGCAGTAGGAAACAGACTCATAGGGCCTAGGGGAAGGGTGTCTTAGGAAGCTCCTAGGAGGTGGGCAGGGGATGAAGTTGGGAGAGGGCTGGGTGCTCTGTCCTAATGCCATCCTTCCCCTATATTCCCACATGGTAGTAACTGACTGGACCCAAAGTCCTCACCACTCCCTACTGCTGTAACTGGGACCGAACCCTGTAAGCATTTACATTTGTGACTCTTGCCCAGGTGGAGTCTGGGCCCCTGCGTGGTAAGCAGTGAGCTTCCCTCTCACAGGAGTGGGTCCTTGACAAGAGGAGTTTCTGTGGCATTGGCTCAGGTAGAGCCTTCTAGGTTGTGGGCACTCCAGGCAGGCTAATCTGATGCCCTTTCAAACCAGAGTTCCCTTCCTCCTCCCAAACCAGAGTTTTTCAAATGTATATATTCATGGTGCCTGGATTGGTGCCAGTAAAAGATGTTTTTTGTTTGTTTGTTTTGAGATGGCGTTTCGCTCTTGTTGCCCAGGCTGGAGTGTGCAATGGCGCGATCTCAGCTGACTACAACCTCCATCTCCCGGGTTCAAGCGATTCTCCTGCCTCAGCCTCCTGTGTAGCTGGGATTACAGGTGCATGCCACCATGCCCAGCTAATTTTTGTATTTTTAGTAGAGACAGGGTTTCACCATGTTGGTCAGGCTGGTCTCGAACTCCTGACCTCATGATCTGCCCGCCTCGGCCTCCCAAAGTGCTGGGATTACAGGCGTGAGCCACCGCACCCGGCCAAAGATGTTTTTGATTCCTACTAGATAGAAGGCAACAGCTTCTATGGAGGTTGGAGAAGACCAAGGCACATTTTTCAGGTTATGAAAGGAGCCTCCAGTGAGGAGTTAGCTGTACCCTATTTCTGGTTTGTTTCAGCAGAGTTTCACCGTCATTTATTGACTCCTGAGCCTGGCCAGTCCACCCTTAACCCATTCTGCACATGGATTATATCATGTAGGCTTCCCAACAGCCCTCTGATAGTTGTATTATCCCCATTTTGCAGATGATGAAAGTGAGGCCCAGAGAGGTTCATTTACTAGTTCTAAGTCACACACCATATGAAGAACAGAGCTGGGTTTCAGCTCAGATCTGTGTGACCTGGGAAGCCCAGCTGGTTTTCCTGGCTCCTCTCTGGGACTGGTTCGATCCATCCCAAATGTAACTGGGCTTTCTGTCCTAACCTCTTTCCCTCCTTCCCCCTTATCTGAAGCAAGGAGCCTGAGCTTTTCAGTCTGTGGAGGGTTCCTGTGCTGATGTTGAAGGACACAGTCCCCGGCCCTGAAGCCTGGGGTTTGGAATCAGCAGTCGCCCGCTTGCCCTGAGGTGGGGTCTCCTGACCTCTCCACCTCCATTTGGGAATTAGTGGTGTCGAGGGCTCCAATGCCTGAGCACTCCTAAGCTACAGCCCTGCTGGAGGCAGGGGTCCGGGCTCTGTAGCTCACAGACATCCCTACGTGTCTGCCCTGTCCCCCATGGCCCCAGCGGGCCTGCACACACCTGACCCTTTCCCCTCAGCCCTTGGCCTCATGTCCCTGCACACACCCGGTCCGGCCCCACAGCCCACACATGCCTCACTTGTCCCCATGCCAACTCCACCTCAGGGCCTGATGGGGGCCTCGCCTGGCCTGAGACGTCGCCTCCCCACAGCTCCAGGCGTCCGCTGAGGAATCCTCCCTCATCATCCTGACCTTGGACCCAGCATTCTGTGGAGCACTTTGGGGCCAGTTTGAGCATAGCCTCTGGTCGAGCTACCCTCCCTACCTGTCAGCCAGACAGCACCTTGTAAGGGGATCATCCCCCGGCCTGTTCCCCTTCCTCCCGAGCTGCCTAACGGGGAGGGAGCCGAGGGCCCTCGGGCGTGGCCCCAGAGGAGAACCCAGAGGCCATGCTCTTCCCCTTCCTGCTGGCAACAGTCCTGAGCGCCAGCTTCCCACCTCAGAGACTCTGAGAACCAGGGTCCACCCACCTGAGGGCCTCCTTGGCTCTCCCTTACCTTGTGCCCACGGGAGCCTCAGGACCACCAAGCGGAGGGGCGGTCTGCAAGGAGATGTCCCCTCTCTACCTCCCTGCGAAGAATAAATTCGGGCTGCAGATGCCCCTCGGGCTCCGCAGGGAGGAGCCTCACTCGCCACTCTAGCTTCAGGCTCTGCCTTCCTGATCCTAACACCCTCCACCCTCTGGGAACAAACGGGCCTCTGGGATCCGAAATGGGAGCGGCCGCACTGAAACGGGGATGGCGGGATGGGGAGTGCTCCGTGGGGCGTCCTTGGGGACGGGTGCGGGGCCTGCCGGGCTGCGGGGCCTGGCTGGGGGCGGGGCGGGTATTGGGGGCCACGGGCGCGCTTCCTGGAAGCCGCCAGCAGAGGGCGCGCGAGGACCGGCGAAGAGGTCCGGCCGCGCGGAAGGCCTGGGTGGGGTGTGGTTGAGGGTGCGGTGGGTGCGGGGCAAGAAACCCGCGGCCGGGCTTCTCTCCGATCTCGGGCGTGAGAGTGGAGTGGGGTGGAGTGGGGTGGGGCGGAAGGGTCCCCACTGCGCTGCTGCAGCGCGAGCCCCCGCTCCTCTCTGCAGGAGGCGGCCCGAAGGGGCCTGGCGTGCCCTTCGAAGGGGGTAGAGCCTCCCCGTCACCCCGCCGGGAGCTGAGACAGCGGAGCTGGGACTGGTGACTTTGGTGCTGAATCCGGTGGGACCCCATTCCCCACACTCAACCCTGGTCAGGGCTCTGTGCCTCAGTTTCCCCGTGGGTGTGTTCTGTCCTTGATCCTGGATGTTCTAAACTGGGAGATCAGGTGGGGTGAGAACACCGAGTGGGCGGGAACCAGCACCTCCCCAGGTCCCCACCCCATCCCTCTTTCCCCGCCCACCTTGAAGGCAGAGCCTGAGAGAAGAAAGAGATGGGGAGAGGAGAAAGGCGTGAGAGACGGAGGGAGGGGCTGCCTGGAGCACCGTGGGGAAGTTGAGAAGGTTCGCGGAGGAGGGCCGGGATGCGTGGACACGAAAGCGGGCCCAGCTCCCCCGGGGAAGCTCTTCCGAGACTTGCTGAGGCCGTCTGCGCCTCCTCCCGGGCTGAGCTGGGGGCTGAGCTCTGGACTGCATCCCAGGGACCATCGCTCCGCCTGTAGCCCACCTCCAGCCGCCGTGATTTATGGCTGGGCCAGGCCCGTCGACCTTGGACGGATAACTAATGACAGGTCAATAACGCTACAGAAGAAGTGAACTGGTGAGGGGAGGAGGGACGAGGCCCATTAGCCGGCCCATCCCCTGCCTGCCGGCATCTCCCCTCTCATCCTGGTGCCTTTCACTGCAGTCCCCTTGCTGGGGGCTTCCCAAGGACCTCCTGACAGGTCTGAGAGGTGATGGTTAACACCGCTGCAATGGGGGTGGGGGTTGGGGTAGAGGCGTGACCAGAACACATTGGAGAGACCCAAAATGGGTCACAGGAAGGTGAAGGAGACAGGTGGGGGTGGTGGGGGTTCCTGGGAACACACGCCTTTTCCATTCTCATATTGGGAAGCCAGCATTGATTGAGGGGGGAGGGAGCAGTCCTTGCCGTTGGAAGGCAGGGTACCCTGGCAGAGGAACCCTGGTGCCCCCCACCCCCCTCCACCGGGCTCCCTCCCCAGGCCCCTCTCTCTGGTGTCCTCTGCCTCCTCCCACCCCAAGCTACCTGAGGTCAGAGTGTTTACTGTAGTCTTTGGGGGCCACCTCATTTCTGTGCCTGCTTGTATGTGGGTTGTACAAGGCACTGGCTGGGGTCTCAGTTCCTGTATCATCTGGTTTCTACTGGGAGTGGACCACTCCTCCTCTCAGGAGTGCCAGCCTCCCTCCCCTTGTTTGAGATCACCTGGGTCATCCCCTGGGCCCCTCATCCACTTTCAACACCGCAGGGAACCCAGAGTTGGGGGTAGGGAAGCAGCCTTCTCAAAGCCTGCCTCGATTTACTCTATCTCGGTGTCAGCAGCCAGGTGTCCGTGTGAATGCCTTTCTGCCTGCCATCCCCATTTTGCAGATGAAGAAGTTTGAGCTGAGAGAAGCCAGGGAGGAGCTGAGACTGGAATTCAGTCATAGCCTCTATTCTGTCCCACCTTCCCCCGGGTCCTGGCCTTCTCCCGCTCTCTGCTCCTCCTTAACTCCTGCCCAACTCTGCCTGCAAAGGAGACACCCAATGAGAGGGCCACTGAGGCAAGGGCATTCCGCCCCCAGGTTAGACACAGGGTAACAGAAAAGTCTTGGAGGAAGTGTGGGGCAGTGACAGTGGGATAGGGGAAGATATTCGGTCGTGCAGGTACCCTTCGTGGTGGGGACAATGGATGCCCCGTGAGTATGTATGTGGATTCATATGTGCACATGTATTCATGAATACAGTTATTCATTCAACAAACAGGTACTGAGTGGCTACCATGTGTCAGGCCCTGAGAATGTAGGGGCAACACTGGGAGCTTGCGAGTGCTGTATTCTAGCAAGGGGCGCGCGCACAGGATAGGTATGTCTGAGGGCTCTGGTGGGGCGCGGACTCACTGCAGAATAGAAGTGGACTTGGGCGCTGGCAGATGCGAGGCAGCAATTCTCACTTTGTGGACGGAGACATGGAATCTTCCCCTGTCTCCTCAACCCCCATTCCACTTCCAGCCTCTCACATACCCCCCGTCCCAAATCAAACTCACCAGCTCCTCTCCCAAACCTACTCCTGCTGGCCTGTCTTACTAGCTCAGCCTGGAAACCTCAGGATCCAGGATGGGCAACATAATCTTCAAGGCCTGGTGCAAAATGAAAACAAGGAGCTTCTTAATAAAAAATTAGAATTTCAAGACAGAGACAGTAGAATGTACAATCAGGCATGGGGCTCGTGTAAGTGCAGGGTCCTGTCAAGTCAGCCTGCCTGGCGCCTCCCGCCCGCTTACTCTCTGGTTCATTGACTTCCTGATCCTCTCCTTTCCTTTCTAGGCTAGCCCAGGCCTCACGGGTCTTAGGCTAGCCCAGGCCTCATGGGTCTCTCAGGTGGACAGGCTCCACCCTCCTCGATTGCCTCCTGGCTTCCAGCCTCCCAGTCCCAGTCTGTCTGAGAAGTCTCATTCCCACCACACTCAACCAATGCCATTCACCTGGATTCCTGTCCTCTTAGACTTCTTGTCCTCAAACACTCCCTACATTTCCCCGTTTCCATACCTTTTGTTCAGAATTCAGTTCCTCTAAAAAATTCACTCCTCCTTTAGCCACCTCCTCCAGGAAGACTGTCCTGATTTTCCAGTTGTAAATCTTATATCACAAACTATTTGGGTCAAAGCACATAGCAACTTTCTGCCTTCACTCACAGCCATTCATCTGCCCACTCCCATAAACTTAAGATTCTAGAAGACAGGGATGGTGTTACCTTCATCATTATAACTGCCCCAGCACCTAACTGACAGGTGCATGGTATGACTCAGTCAATACTTGTTGATGCAGCTGTGGGCATCTTTTACATGTGTGTGGGTGTTTAGACACCCTGAATTGTGTGCACAGAGCAGTGTGTAGGGCTTGTGTTCATGTGCAAGCATTTCTGCTTATATGTATACATATTTCCATATCTATGCATGAGCAATCATGTTAGGCGCATACATGTGTATGGACATAGTGGTTTCTGTAGGCTTGTGTAAGAATTGAAGGTACACGGGTGTGCACGGTGGTGTGTGCATGGATTTACATTGGCGGGTGTATACCCAGGTCTGGTGGCAGATGTATGTGTGTGCGTGACACAAAAGGATGTGTGCATGGTCCCATGAGGTCAGGGTTGTGCCTGAACAAGTGCTGCGGGTGCACCGTACAAGGATATAGGCGCCTGGCGCGTGTGCAGGCCATGTGTGTGCACAGCTGCACGTCCTGGCCGCAGGCAGGCCAGACGCCCGGTGAGCCCCCTGCGGCCGCTGAGCGCAGGGCTTTGTTCCTCCGCCGAGAAGGGCCGCGTGGTTTCACGGCTCCTCGGTCTGGGCGTCTTGGGCCCCGACGTGATTGGCGGCCCGGCGGCAGCGGCTGGGCTCCCTCCCGGGGCGGGCGGAGCAGGATCGGCTCCCGTTACCGGCACGGGGTGGGGGTGGGGGGGCTCCAGGCCATCCATCTTCTGTTATTACAGCGTAATGGGGCTGCTCGGGCGCCCGCCCATTTGTCATCGGCCTCGTTCGCTGATAACGGGCATTTGTCATCACTTTCCTCTGCGCCAATGTCATCAGCGCGGCTGACAGCGGGAGGGGGGGCGTGCATGAGCACAGGCGCGCACACATGCACATGGGCCTGCTGGATACATGCTCGCGCACACACACACATGCACGCGGAACCTGAGAGACACGCCGATGCTGGGGGACACATGTCCCTATGCAGGGATCAAGGTTCCCTGGAGAGGACACACATGCAGACACACACTCACAACAGCCTCGTCTGTCAAGATATTCCCAGCTGGAGATCCTCTTCCCCAGTGGAAGAGCTGTATGTAGGGGGGGCAGGGGAGAGGATATTCCTGGTTAATGGCAGCTTGCATGCAGGTGGCCCTCTGCCAGCTTCGTGTGCACACGTGTGACATCAGCCACCAACATTTACTGCGCTCCCCACAGGCTGTACAGGCCTGAATGTGACTGTGTGTTCCATTGGCAGCACAGGGACAGCCAGAGAGTCACAATCAGGCCGGGCGTGGTGGCTCACTCATCCCTGTAATCCCAGCATTTTGGGAGGCCAAGGCAGGCAGACCACAAGGTCAGGAGTTTGAGACCAGCGTGGCCAACATAGTGAAACCCCGTCTCTACTAAAAGTACAAAAAAAATTAGCTGGGCGTGGTGGTATGCGCTTGTAATCCCAGGTACTTGGGAGGCTGAGGCAGGAGAATCGCGTGAACCTGGGAGGCGGAGGTTGCAGTGAACCGAGATGGCACCATTGCACTCCAGCCCAGGTGACAGTAGGAGACTCCCATCTCAAAAAAAAAGAGTCACAATCAGGGCTCCCAGGACTCTCAGATACAAGGATGTTGGTGGAGTCTGCATGGCTGGCTGGGGGGTGGTGATGAGGTGGGGGCATGATGGCTGCTGGCTGGTGGGTGGTGGGATGACTGATCCCCACAATGCCTTCCTCCCAACCCTCCAGAGACAGTGTGGCATGGGAGTCACTCTTCCACTCCTGGCCCTATTCAGGCTCTGAGCCTAGGCTGATCTGCAGCAAGAGGGACTTAGGAAAGACTCCAGAAAGAACTTCCTGCCTGAAAGGGGTGTGAGGCAGATTAAGGACAGGGTAACACTGGTAGTCCAGGGAAGCTTGGAAGGGAAGGAACCTCCCCCACTTGTCTGTGTCCTATGCCCTCTAGGCTGGGTCAGGGGCCAGCCCACTTGGGGCACGGATATGTCTTTCTGATCCACATTCACTTCAGGATTGCAGAGGGGACTCCATTAGCGCTTATTAGAGAGAGACACCCACCCCCCCCTCTCTGGTTCCTGATTGTTTGGCACATATTATGTGCTCAATAAATTGCTGTGGAATGAATAAATGATTGAAGACAGAGTGTATGGGGGAGGTGGGAGGTCCTCCTAGTCCCTCCTAGAATGGCCACCAGCCTCTGATGGCCAAGATCTCATCTCATGCCCTCTCCCTAACTCCCCTTTTCACTCCTGCAGTCCCCCAAATTCCCCTTCTCCCCCAGCCTCTCCTCCTGGGTTGAGCGGGGAGGGCTGGGGGGAAGTTCCCCTGGCGGAGCAGGGCTCGCTTGTTCCTTGTAAATGAAGACCATAATTAACATTAAATTAAGGTAATACAAATGAAGGCAACATAGAGGCTGACAAGATGAGCGTTTGGGGAGGCAGTGGGGAGAAGTGATTCATATTTTTAATTTACTGTATGGATGGGCCGTGTGGCTGGGGAGCGGGCGGCTAGTGTGGAGGGGGTGTCGCCCCGCGATGTTTGCTGGGCTCTGAGTGAGCACACAATGACTATTAAACTCAACTGTCCATATAATGGGACAGACTCGACATGACGCCCACCGGAGCACCAGGAACCTGGCTGGCCAAGCTGTAAATCCTGACCACACCGCGCCCGCCTGCCCACCTGCCTGCCTAGCCAGCCTGGCCCAGGCCCAGGGCAGGACAGATGCAATCCCCAGGGAGCCTGAGAGGGGTCTTGGACCTGGGGAATCGAGGGGGCCAAGAGGGTCTGGGTTCTGCCCCAGAGTTGGGGGACACAGCAAAGTCAGATCCTGAATGTGCTGGGGTGAGAAGGGCCCTGGCATCCCAACCTCAGCGCAGCGCCTTGATGCCAGGATGGGGCTGGAGCTTGGGCCCCCCCACCCCACCCACATGGTCCATTCCAGGAATTGAACAGAAGACAATGATGTCCCATCCCAAAGAGGGGAATTAATCATTGTTGTCACTATCATTATCATCATCACCACTCACATTTGCCAAGCACCACCCCCGAGCACTTTCTTTTTCTTTTTTTTTTTGAGACAGGATCTCACTCTGTCGCCCAGGCTGGAGTGCAGTGGCATGATCACGGCTCACTGCAGCTTCCACCTTCCTGGGCTCAGGTGATCCTCCCGTCTCAGCCTCCCGAGTAGCCAGGACTACAGATACACACAACCAGACCCAGCATATTTTTGTATTTTTTGTAGAGACAGGTTCTTATTTTGTTGACCAGGCTGGTCTGGAACTCCTGGGTTCAAGCAATCTGTCTGCCTTGGCCTCCAATGTGCTGGGATTGCAAGGCATGAGCCACTGCGTGCAGGCCCCATCACCCCCAAGAACTGCTAATCCATTCACCTCTCCCAGCGTCCCCACGGCCATCCTATGAAGATATTATCCCTGTTTTACACATGTATAAACTGAAGCTGAGAGATGGGGAGTAACTTGATCACAAAGCTTGTAAGTGTCCACTGCCTTATGTTGAAAGAGTAAACCTCAGAGCCTGGGGCAGCCCCTGGATCCGGTAAACTCTGTGCAAGGAACAGAGGCCGGCATCCCAGTCAGCCCTCATCCATGGGACCCTGAGGCCTTAGACACGGAGCTCTCCAGGGACTTGGGGTGTGTGTGTCCACATCCACCCTCACTCCAGCCAGAAGAAAGGTGCCACCAACTCCCAGGCAGGCAAGGAGGGATTCCTGCTTACTCACTCTGCAAACGGGGCTGAAAGATGCTCGTCCCTGGGATGAGAGACGCAAGTGTAATTTAGGTTTTGATATTATGAAAGTCTCGCTGCTCTAAAACAGCAGGGCACTCGGTGCCTCATTAATAAAGGATAAACTCAGAGTCTATTTACAAGGCGCTTTTTGGGGTTATTTACTCTCCAATATACATATGTAATGTTGCCCATACTTACCGCTAGGTACGACTCTTCCTTCCAGCCTGGGCTTCCACCCTGGGAAGGGGGTCCCTGCGGGGTGGAGAGGGTTGCTGGGGAAGAGCGGGGATGCTGAAAGGCCATCCCTGGGAGTAGAGAGGCTCCATGGAAAATGACAGTCCCCATGGAGGGATGGGAGTCACAGAACTGTAGAGCTGGAAGTAGAAAGGGCAGAGGGCACAACCCATCTGCATCCCCTCCTGCCAGCTACCCTTCCTGAAGCCACTTGTGCTAGCCTGCCCTGCTGTCTCCAAGGCCAGTACCTTAAAGGTACTACAACGACCATGTATCCATAAACACTGACACAAAAGAGATGCAGTCCATGGGCTCCATGTCCCTGCTGGCATTCAAAGCTGTCTCTCCAACACCCTTCCCTCTGTGCCAGGCTGGAACTCCTGGACTCAAGCGACCCGTTCTCCTGGGTCCTCCCAACATGCTGGGATTGCAAGCATGAGCCACTGCGCCTGGACCCCTGATGATTGTTTTTTTTTTTTTTTTCCAAAGAGTCTCACTCTGTTGCCCAGGCTGGAGTGCAGTGGCATGATCTCGGCTCACGGAAACTTCCTACTCCCGGGTTCAAGAGATTCTCCTGCCTCAGCCTCCCAGGTAGCTGGGATTACAGGCGCATGCTACCACGCCCGGCTAATTTTTTGTATTTTTAGTAGACCATGTTGGCTAGGCTGGTCTTGAACTCCTGACCTCAGGTGATCTGTGCTCCCAAAGTGTTGGGATTACAGGCGTGAGCCACTGTGCCCCGGCCTCTGAGCACTTCTAATCCATTCACCTCTCCCAGTGTACTCATGACCATCCTATGAAGAAGATATTATCCCTATATCCCCATGGCAGCCTCCCTCACCAGGGCCCTGCCCTGACCAGATCATGCCCACGCTGGGAGGAGCTTCCTCAGCTTCTGAAAGGAGGCCCCCGCCGCAATTCCTATCAACAAGTATGTCCTGTGCAACTACTGTGCACCCAATCCTACGCCACCCTTGTCACAGCCCTGCCACCCCCGCCTCCCATTCTGTGCCCAACAAAGCTTGCAGTTGTTGAGGTCTTTTTCACACCAAGGTGTGAGGTCCCTCTCCCAGCTCCTTGTGGCCTCAGCTGCCCTGCACCCCCCTTCCTTTGTGGCTCCCACCTTGGCCTGCTCTGTTCACTTGGCATGCAGTGTTGCAGTGAAAATCCAGGCAGCCATCTCTTGTGGGGGAGTTCTGTTCTCATCCCCCTCTTATAAATGAGGGAACACTTAGAGGTTAGGGGACACACCCAGGTCATACAGCCAGGAGCATGCCACTTGGGGCTTTAACCCAGATTAGGGTTCTCACCTCCACAAGCCTCCTGGGCCTCCATGGCCTGTCCCGGCCCCTCTGCTTACCATAGGCCCCAACCAGCCCATGATCTCCAAACAGGTGCATGGATTTCCTCTCACTGATGGATCCATTTGCTCATGGAGTCACCAAACATCCACCACCTGCAGCTTTGGGCCTGGGCACATGGCCTGGGTGCGCATAGGCATGTGGGGGAAGGGAGGCCTCGCCTTGGTCAGAGACCCCATTTCATTCACAGGGGAGCTTGGAGTTAAGGCTGCCCACTCACCCTCCAGCTTGTGAACTGCAAGCCTTTCTTTCTGCACCTGTCAGCTCCTGTGATGAGGAGCGTGTGGCCCAGGGACGAGTCTGGGCGTGGTGATGTGGCATGTGTGTGGTGGGTGGGAGTGAGGCAATGTCAGGCTACCCCCCCGGCCTGGCCAGTTTGGACCAAGGAGACATCTGGTGGCTGTGAGATCTGCAGCCTTGCTGCAGGGAGCCCTGGGTGAAGGTATCAGGATCTGTCGAGTCCCTTGGGAGCCCCCGGAGGCCCAGAAGAACATCATCACCCTTGGGGGAGAGCTCACGGCTGCTTCTAGGCCTCAGGGCCTGGGACTCGATGGGAGAAGAGCCTGTGCTCATGTATCCTTCCCAGCCCCAAAGCTGGGGGAGAGCTGACCTGGAGGGTGCTGGACAGGGAGGATGGCAACCAGGAGGACCCATTCATCATTGTTGGTGAACAATGAGCCGTCACCACCCTAATTAAAGATGTAATTACAGCAAATACATTCTGGGCTGCGAATGAGTGACGGATGGCAGGAAGGCACCTTGTGGCCCACAGCCAGGAGACGCTGCTCCCCTAACGCTCCCCTCTCCAAGCTGGGGAACCCTTCCCTCAGCATCCCTCCAAGCAGATTATAGGGTGCCCTGGTGCCTCCAGAGAGGAAGGACTGAGGTTGGAGCTGGGGGCTGGTCAGGGGCTGGGGTCTGGGGCCTGGCTGGAGAAATGAGTGGGAAGGAGGCTGTGCAGCTGGGGTGAGAGGGCCTGGGCTGATGCCTGGGTCTCAGCCAGGAAGAAGTGGGTGTTTCTGTGTGAGCATAAGAGAGCACTAGGTGGGATTTCAAGGCACTCATGCGTGGGGGTAACTGGGCCCTTGCCAAGGCCTGGGTGGGGGTGTCTAAGAGCCAGACCTAGAGGACTCAGCCTGTGGACCAGTAACCACAGCAAGGCTCTGGTGTGCCATACTGGCTTTTTGTTCTGGTCTAGGCTTCAGAGACTCTCCTGAAGGCTGATTTGTCCTTAGCTGGGGGTCAGGATACAGGGCAAGGGTCTGGCCACCTGGAGGGAGGAGAGATGGGCTCCTGTGGCCGACCTGGCTTCTGCTGCTCTCCCCTTCAGCAGGGCAGGCCTTCAGCCACCCCTTGCTCCACAGCTCCAGCCTGGGACCACATCTGAAGTTGCAGGCATTGGTTGTCCTTGGGAGGCCTGGGGCTTGGGACACCTCTTCCTCCCCTGAGGATTCCAAGGCCTGTTTGCCCTGGGGCCCCCACCCCCACTTACCCTCAGGGGACAGGAAACACTGAGCACAGGGTCAGGTCACTCTGAGGCCAGCCTGCACTGTGAACCACTCCAGGGCCAAGACATGAAAACCTGCCCCTTGGGAGCTTGGTGGCCTCAGCCTCTTAGCCCTACCTGCTGTGGTGGCCCCTGGCCAGGTCCTTTGGGGTGTGTGGGCCAACCCCACTGGGGAAAGGGATGGGTGGGGAATGGTGGGAGCCCAGGCAGGCAGGCAGAGGGGCGGGAGGAAGGCCCCTGACAGCAGGACAAATGCTTGTAATTTTATAACCAATCGCAGTGTGTCCATGGGGGGCCGTTTGTGCCTCCACTCAGGACCAATCAGCCTGACAGAGCTATGAGTCCGCCTGAGTGAATGTGAGCAGCTCCCCCAACTACTTACTGCAATCTCATTACCCGGCCAACTCAAGACTGGCCAGAGCTGTGGGGCTGCAGGGAAGGGGGAGCCACCCAATCCAAGCAGAGCCAGGCCAGAGCCAGGGTGGGCCTGGGACCAAGAGGGCAAGGTGGGCAGGCCTTGTAGACCCAGCAGCTCAGAGGAAGGGGGAGGAAGGAGTTGGAGTCTCAGGAAACAACAAACAGTAAACACTGACTGGGTGCGGAGCATTTAGGATCCAGAGAGAGCCTAAGCCCCTGCCCTCAAGGGGCTTGCAATCTCCTCAGGGCAGATGGAAGATTACAGATAGATGGGCCCTGGGGAAAGGGCGGCTTAAGATGGAAGTGTTCAAAGTACAAAAAGGAGGCTGAAGGCAAGGAGACGGACAGCGTTCTAGAGCCAGGCTGGTACTGGGCAAGGGGCTGGAAGGCAAGAGTAGGTGAGACAGGGAAGGGGAACCAGAGACAGCTCGTGAGTGCATGTAGAGCCCGGGCAGAGAGAGACAGGGGCTGGGGAGAGAGAAATGCCCACCCACGGGAGGGAGAAGGGGGTGGCCAGGGGAGGGTTGGGCTGGCTGGTGGTGGATATTAAAGAATGGCCTTGCTGGATCTGGATATCTGGCTCTGGGGATGGCTATGTGCCCATTAGTCTCTCTAATTGTCAAAAATCTAATTTAGTGTCTGGAGCCCGGGCCGGCCTCGGGTTAAGTGGAGGGAGGCAGGCCTAGTCATAAATCTGCCCTCACGGCCGGTGCTAATTCTGCAGTTAACTGAGGGGTGAGGTGGGCACAAGATGGGACAGGCAGGGCTCTGGAGAGGGGGTGTCCCTGCATGCCAACCCCCACGTGCTAGGTCATAGCCAGGCTCTCCTCTCTTGCAGGGGGCTCATTCGGACCGTCCAGGGGAAGCGCCTCACATTCGACATGAGCTCAGGGACAGGAGTCGCTCAAGGGTCTGCATGGCCGGGATTGTAAAACTGTCAGCCCCCTCTCCTCCAGGACCCATTCAGGGTCTACGTGGGCTGTGCTCTTGTTAAACGACCAGGGACTGTCCCTCACGGGTGGGAAGGGCACATTTCCTCCATGAAATCATGAGTGTTTGTTGAGGAAAGGAGCATGAGGATTCACACTATGTGAACAAGTGACTGGTTATCCAGTGACTGCTAGGGATGGCCCCAATGATGAGGACCAGGTGACATTCACCTGAGCTGCTTGGGGAGTCATGCCCCATTCCTTAGTGGGGAGAGCACACTCCCCATTGGGCTGCCCAGCCTCTCCTTCCCTGGGCCCGGGTTCATGAGGTGCCTGGGGGTCTGGCCAGCCCCTGAGGACCGCATGCAGCCTGAGGTGGTGCTGGTGGTGGTGGGGGGTTCCAGCTTGGGTTTGGTAATCACCTTGCTCCCCTCAGAGTTGCTAATTGAAAGCAAGGGGTGTTGTAGGCGCAGCAGGAGAGGGTGGGGACTGAGAGCTTCCCTGAGAGGCTCTGCTTCCATGGGGGGACGAAAACAATTTCTCCAGGCTTCACCTCCGTCTCACCAGGCACCCACTTGGCCTCTCCTGCTGCTAACGAAGTGCCTTTAATTAGCAGCCTAATAAAGTGCTCTTAATTGGCAAGAGCCAATCAGGAAGAAGAGAGATCTCCTCCCCTTAGTCATTGCTGATGGTGGCACAGCTATAGGTTTAAAGCAGGGAGGGATTCCTGGCCCAGCCTGGGAGTAGGAAACCACGGCTATAGGGTTGAGACTTGCCAGGGCAGGCCCTAGACCACACCCTTCCTGGGGAAGAGATCTGACACAGTTTGAGGGTGAGGTCCACAAACTCTTAGGCTCAGCCTCTGCTCAGGAGCCCAGCTGGTGAGGAATATTAACTGAGCAGATACCAGTGGCCCCACAGTGGTTCCTCTGACACCTCCCTCCCTTCCTTCTCTCTCTTGGGTGCTGCCTGCCCTTAGTTGTTAGGGAGGATTCTTCAGTGTAGTTTTGGGCAATGTGGGTCCCTTTTCTTTCTCCTCAGTTTCCTCATCTGCCAAGGGTTGGGTGGACCTGATGCTCTGACATTCTTCCAGCTCTAGTAGGGAGGGTTCTGCACAGCGGCCCTGATATTGACCACAGTCTGAGATTGCTCATGGCCAGTGGTCAGTCCAGACAAGACAATGAGACTACAAGGCTGATGGAAGCCAGAGAGCCTTGGTCATGTGGAAGGGTTATTAATACAAAAAGCCCATAGATCTAAAAGAAGGATGGGTCAATTTTGACAAGGATCCTGTTTGTGACACTAGAGAGGGGAGGGGTACAGGGCCAACGGGGAGAGATAGTCCCATTCGGCCACTGCCTGCAACCTTGTACCTCTCCAGGTTTGGCTGAAGGAGGGAAGGGGGGTTTCACTCAAGAACTGCAATGTCATATCCCAGATAGTCAAGGGTGCCTTCATTCTTACAGCTTGTTGGAGCCCCTCTGGAAATTGCTCCCAGATGTGAGCTTGCTTGCCTATAAACTGATCAAATGGGATGTAGGGGAAACTCAAGTCTTTTCACAGCTGAGGGGCAGAGAAAAATGTAAATTCTGCATTCAGGTTGGGCTGTGGTTGGCTAAGGTGACCAATGCACAAATGAGACATGACTTTGGCTTCAATTTAACTCAACATGGAACAGTAGGCGTAAGCCAGGGACCCCACACTCATCCACAGCATCCAGCCCTGCTTTCTCTCAATCTTGTTTTCTCATGTCAGATTATCTGCAAAGGTATTCTATCTCTGCACTCCCTCAGTCTGTATACTGAAAAGTGTACTGCCCTTCTGGATGCTGGGGCAAGGAGACAAGACGCTTAGAAAATTCACTTTAATCTTATATTTGTAATTTACTTTTTTTCTGAACAGTTAAAAAAAACCCAAAACACACTCCATTATCATGATCCTAGGTTGTGAACATATTGGTACACTGACTACACATCACCATAACATAATCACAAAAGTCAAAGCAGTCAGTACTTAAGAGTCTAGAGAACAAAGAGGTGAACCAGCTGAAAGCTCTCGGGGAAGCTTACATGTGTTGTTAGGCCTGTCCCATCATTGGAGTGCACTGGCCATCCCTCAGATTTGTCTGGGCTGGCCTGAGTGGTCACCGCTTTGAGAAAGCTGTTAGTTTCCTTGGTGCCCAGAGGGCTAACACCCTAGTTGGCCTTTTCCTTCAGTGTCCAAGAAGGGGAAGGGTTAGGAGGGGAGGTAACACTTTAAAATACGACTTAACTGCACTGATCCTTAATAAAACACACAACCAATCAGGAGCTAAGAGCGCCAGCTGTGCTGGTTGGAAAGCACATATTTTAGATGTCATCTGCCTCCAGGACATTTTAGATCACAGGTACTCAACTTCCAACAGAAGGAGCTTCTAAAGATCAATGCATTAAGTTCCACCTGAAACCAGGCAGCCATCATCATGCTCTTTTGATTTCTCTCTTCAGCTCCAAGGATTCTGACACCACAGATGAGCTAAAGAAGCGAAACTGTTTTATTCCCCTAAGAAATGGCTCTCTTTCCGATACTATGTTGACACTGTGGTTAAAGGAGGTCTGGTCTGTTGGTGAACAACTGTGTGGAGGAAGACCAGGGAGGCTGCACCCTAAGCCTCCGGGCTGCACTAATCTGGGTTGGACTGCTCTGCTACAGACTGGAGGGTGTTGCCATCTAAGGCAAAAGGGAGATGCTGAGAAGGTCAACAGTACCAAGGTATCTAGTCCAATTATGGGAAAGAAAAAAATTGCCCTGATTATTTCCAGTATTCCCCACCCCTCCCACCTTTGTTTCCCCACACAATCAAGTGCTAAGTAAGGAGTAGACCAACTACAGCTGTTCAGACCAATGGTACCAGGAGCCGGCAAGGGAAGAGTGCATTTTTTTTTCTCTGTAGCTTTAGACTGTACAGAAGAAAAATAAAAAAGGATTGTTCTTACTCAAGCAAAAAAACCAGAATGATGTAGGGGTCTCACAGACTTTTCTAGTTCGGAAACAAGTTATGAGGGCCAGACTTTTATTACTTGTCAATAGAGATCCAAAAAGAGTCCCTGTCTCTGAAGTTAGGAGACACCAGAAAGAATTTTGCCAAGGGACATGTACAAATGGCCTTCCATCCATGATTCACATCCTTTCAAATTGCACACCAAGTTAAAGGATGTTCTCAGCAGTGAAATACACACACGTGCAGCAAGGCATGCTGGTCTTGTCCAAGTAGCTCCAGTGTGCACCAAAAGGTCACGTGTCTGTACCTCCTCATCTGCCTTTGAAGGGGTTTCAGCCTGTCTTTAAGAAAGGTTTCCTTTAGGCCCTACGTTGGAAAGTAAATTTTAGTGAGAAGAGACTAATCTACAATGGGGACACCTTCAGCTCTGTTTCTACCACTCCTTGGAATGTGCTGAGACTTTGTCTCTCTTTTCGTTTTAAAAAGGTCAAACTTTACATTTATTCTAGCCCAGTTGGGGATTAGTGATAATCAATTCCCACTGAAATCATGCAGAGATGGTAAGTGGGGTTTACCTTCTCTGGAAATGAACTTTTAACTTACCTGATTATTTCTTCTACAACAAACTGGTAAATGACCCCCAGAGCTGAGAAATGTGAACGATTCAAGTTTTTCAGACCACTTAACTTCATTCCCATTTCCATCAGCAGGAGAGAGGACAACTTGGAGAATATCCTCAACTGGGCTAATGGCTCCACATCTGCAGGGGTCGCCCCGATCTCCTTTGTGATGTACTGGACATGTCTCAAAACAGTCTTAGAAACAATATTCCTTCAACTGAACCTAGATTGGAGAGCAAAACCCTGGGCACCAATAAACATTCAACAGCTTCCACTTTGTAATAGCAGCATATGACAGAAAGGCTGGTAAAATTATGGCTATTGGGCAATATTTTGAGACAGCTCGAAACCCATGCCTTTTAAATGTCTGACCTGTGTGTTTTTCAGGGCTGACAGCCCTCTACCTTCATCTATAGCAAAATCCTTACCCAATCAAAAAGCCATTAATAGTCAACACAATAGATGACGAACCCTGATAGTGGCCAAGTAGAAAACATTTCTCTGTAGCATTTGGGTAGCTGGGAAGGGAATTACATTGAGAAAATATTTCTTAGGCTACGATGTATCATTATACTGGGAAATATTTTCTGAATATAACCTTGAACTAAAAGCTTAAAAATACTCATAAAGCAGGAAAGGTAGAATGCATATGCATAAAATGACTCTCAATATGTAGTAACAACATTCAGTGGGTACACCTTGGGAAGAGGATACCTTCTTGCCTGGGGAGACCAGCTGGGTGCACATTAATAGTATTCTGTGTGCTCCCAGGTTGGTGTGGCACAGGTACCCTTGCACCTGAAGCCCACTAGCTTGGCAGCTCACACAGCTGCCTTCCGAGTGACTGGGTTTGCCTGACCCTTGCTGAGGTCCAGCTGTTTATGCTGTTCACCAATCGCCACAGACGCTTTATTGGCTGGGGAGAGTGAAGAGCAAAATAAGGTCAGGAGGAGGAAGAAAAGGCAGTTTTTGCCCCATTAATAAACCCTGTGTGCCAAACTTCACCCTGATCCTCTCTCTTAAGCAGCTTTGCCCTTCTGCAAATACTGGGTGTGGGAGAAGCAGAAGGAAGGTTGTGCAGTGCAAGGTTGACACGGTGAGATCAATATTTGAGAGATGATATTTAACTGGCCAAAACAAAACAAAACAACAAAAAAAACAAAAACAGTGTTTTCTCCTGACCATCTCTCTTAAGCTACCTTGATCACGGTCTTGGCAAAGATACAGGCACCTGGGTATTCACAGGCCCTGATGAGGAAATCGGAGATGGAAACCATTACGCAGAATGCACCAAGCGATTGGCTCTGGCCATTTCAAATCTTTCTGTAGGCTGAGCCTTACCAGTGATTTAAGATGAAGTACAATGCTTTTTATTACACACCCAATTGTTAATGAGAGGAAATGCAATCAGCAACTCCTTTCCACACTCTACATGGAATCAAGGAGACTGCTGAGTCCAGAAAAGATGCAGCCATTGATGGAGCCCAGGAAACTTCTCCCCACCCCCTCTGCCTGCCCCCTACCACCAATCCTCCTCTTGGGTGTGGGGAAGAAAGAGAGAGAAGAGTTGCAAATATGATGAGAGTATCATGTCTGAGAATCCACTGTTGCCACAGGGTCACTTGCAGCAAAGGCCTGGGGCTGAAATCTTCACTGAACAGCATTTAACTCTTCCAAGTGTTGCATTTTCTGGCTGATCTGGCTCATGTGAGAGGAGGACACTCTCTTCGTACACTTTCTTCTCAGGTGAAGCAGACAGAGAAAAAAGGTTGAAGGGGCGTAGGGGAGTAGATGGGAAGAGGAACAGAAACAAAGAGAAGGCAGGCAGGAGGCCCAAATCTTCCAGTGTATACATTCTTGTGTTTTCTTTTTCTTGTCCCAGAGGCTATACAGAGGGAACTCTGTCTCCTCCTAAGCATATTGGGGCTGGGCTGCTCTGGCCAGGTGCTTGGCATTCCTGCAGTTAACAGGGAGACACTGGGCACTGGGCTTGAAGCTGCATCCCCCATACCCTAGAAGTGGGTCTCTCCCAGCAGGCTATACAGGGAAACTAGTTCTTCTGCTTAATGGCAAAGCAAGAGAGATTCTGGCAAAACACTAAATATATTTATAAGTCACCTTTGTCTGGAACCAATGGGAAAAAACTAGGTGCAGAGGTGAAAGGAGGAGAGGAGGGGAGGTTTAAAAGTTCCAATCATTCACAAAAGATAGAAGACATCTTCTGATAGCAGCACTGAAGCAGTCAGTTGTGCTGAGTAGACCGTCCTGGGCCGACTGCAGACCAACTGTGTCCCAACAGGAGTCTCAAAGCCCTGCTCCTCGGCTAGTCCAGGGAAACTGGGCAGTAGTTTGATTGTTACTGTTGTTGCTCATCCTGGTATTGGCAGATACGTTAAATACCGCAACTTTAATGGGTCCTGTGTGAAAACAGAGCAAATAGTCATTAGCCCCTTTTTTGATATTTCTTACTTGCTTGAAGACAAAAGAACATTCACTTAGCTGCCAATGGGGAAAAGGCTTAGGGGTCCTTCCTAATGCCTGCTCTCTGCCTATGCCATGCAGGAGCTTCTGTCAAAGGTGACCTGGCCTGATGGGGGAAGTTATACTAAAGGCAGGGCTTGCTGACATGCTCAGGGCTGTGGTGTTCAAGCAGAGTGACTCTGATGTCTTGAGGCTGAGAGTGCCCACGGTTGGCATAGCTTTCACTTGCCCTGTAGAATGGCAGGGCAGGGGTGGGGGATGGTCTGTGGGCCCTGCCTTTTGAGTGGCCATGAGCATGGCGGTGCCAGTAACAGAAGTGGGGGAATCAAGGAAAGCTGGCCTGGCTGTGTGGCTGCAGGGTACCAGCAGTGTAAAGGAGGGGACAGTGCAGTTGAGGATGTGAGCACTAGAAGTGCTCTTGCTATCTTCAAGGACAGCTGTGTGGATGGCAGCTGGAAATGTGGCCTGGAGATTAAGGCAGAGGCTTGGACTGGAGACAGAAATTTGAGTCTTCTACAATGAGATGAGATCTGAAGCCTTGGGAATAGAGAAGGCAGCCTAAGAAGGAACTCAGATAAGGAAGAAAAGCCAGAGACAGGCCGGGTGCGGTGGCTCACACCTGTAATCCCAGTAACTTTGGGAGGCCAAGGGAGGTGGATCACTTGAGCTCAGGAGTTCGAGACCAGCCTGGGCAACATGGTGAAACTCCATCTCTCCAAAAAAAAAAAAAAAATACAAACAATTAGCTGGTCATGGTGTTGTGTGCCCGCGGTACTCAGGAGGCTGAGGCAGGAGAATCACTTGAGCCCAGGAGGTGGAGGTTGCAATGAGCTGACATTGTGCCACTGCACTCCAGCTTGGGTGACAGGAGTGAAGCCCTGTTTCAAGAAATAAAATAAAATAAAATAAAATGAAATAAAATAAAATAAAATAAAAATAATAAGAAAAGCCAGAAACAGACTCTTGGGAGTGAGGGGGAAAGAAGCACAAATAATCAGAGAGTCAGGAAGAATATTAAAAATGGCAAAGTAACACGGAAGTCTAAGGAAGAGAAAATTTTGGGCAAAGGAGGGGGTAGGTATATGGAGATTGCAATATTAATACTCATGACCAGTTTTTCCTGAGGGCATATTATGTATTCGCCACTGTGCTAAGCACTAGGAATTTTCCATGCAGTATCTCCACACAGCCTTCACAGGGTTCCGTGAGGTGAGTGCTGCCCCTCACGTTACTCATCAAGAGATTCAGGGTCTGGGAAGTTACTTGTCTAAGGGCACACAGCCTGTGCGACCTGGCTGAGGAACGACGAACCGTGTCCTCTGTGAGAGAAAGAGAAGCTGAGGACAGCCCAGCTGGGCGTGAATCACTGTCCTCAGCGGAACACTGCAAAGAGAGATGCAGAAACGTGTAGCGAACATGTACTTCCGCCACGAGAACTGAGGCACACGTGGCAAATCCTGACAGCAACGCTCCTCAGCAGCTAGGGCAGCCTTCTCAAACTGGTAACAACCTAGTGTATTCGAACTGGTTAGAACAGCAGGTATGATCTGAATATACCACAATATGTATGGACCACCTGGGTATTTTAGGATCTTCCCCTGCCTGAGAGAGAGGTTGGAGACTTGAGTGGGAGGACATGTGGAGGTCAGAGGTCAAAAGACAGGTCCTCTTTTTGGAGGGTTGAGGAATAGGGATAGGGATATAAAAGCTACTTTTTATATTCCTTTTAAAATCTGCCCTTTTATTTATATGTCAGTGTGAACTTTCACCAAGAGATGTTTCCATTCACACATTAGACATCAGACTGTTTACTTGGCTTGAAAGGTCTCTATTGTAGGTATTGTTTGATCTGGGAACTTAAACATCACAGGCCTTTGGGTCATTACAGTACTTAGTTTTCAAACTGATTCAAATCTCATTTTATTTTCATAACAGTACTACTAGATAACTAGGGCAGGAATGACTAGGCTTACCACACAAGTAGGACCCTAGAATCATCTAGAACTGAGGCTGGCTACCTTGGTGAAAGGCACTGTCCACACTGTGGCAGCTTCAGCCCTGTCTCACATTGTCTGCTTCCTCGGCTTTACAGGAGTTGGTGACCCAAACGGCAGGAGAAAGTTCCATGAACTAGCAACACCTTACAGCTAATATCCCGTCTCCTACCCACAGTGTTATGTACATAATCGATTTCGATACCTGGGCAAGTATGAGGTCAGTGTATGGTTATTTATCTGGAGATGTAGGTGTATGTTCGAGAAGGGGAACGGGGGGGTTCAGCTTGGGCAGCTGGATCATTTAGGAAGTCCCAGATGAGGATTGTGTCATCATGTGAACTACTGACAATCTGGAATTCATCAAACTGTAGTCGAAAAACTCTTCCGGAATGCTCCTAAAGAAGTAGAAACAAAAAGGGTAGGAACTTGAACTACTCAAAATCAATAGGACACAAATTCAGCAACATGTCAAAAGGAGTCTACGGAAAGGCTATGGTTTGCTGTTATAAAGAGGCCAGGCGCAGTGGCTCACACCTGTAATCCCAGCACTTTGGGAGCCTGAGGCATGCGGATCACGAGGTCAGGAGATCGAGACCATCCTGGCTAACACAGTGAAACCCCATCTCTATAAAAATACAAAAAGTTAGCCGGGCTGGTGGCATGTGCCTATAGTCCCAGCTACTTGGGAGGCTGAGGCAGAAGAATTGCTTGAACCTGGGAGGTGGAGGTTGCAGTGAGCCGAGATCACTCCACTGCACTCCAGCCTGGGCAACAGAGTGAGACTCTGTCTAAAAAAAAAATAAAATAAAAATAAATAAATTAAAAAAATAGAGAAAATTTACTTTGGCTAAAGGCAGCATGGAAAAGTCAAATACTAGGCAGCTGTAAACAAAGCAATACTCTTTGGCCAAGACATGCTAAATAGCATGCTATTAATAGTTTCTCATGGCCAACCCTTTTTGGCGTAGGGTGGATGAGAGCATTCCTTACTACCTCCCTGGTTTTTATCTTCTAAGTTCCTTCTACAATCAGAGGTCAAGGATTGGTGAGCAATAAGAAGCAGTATGCTGATAAATGTTTATCAACCAAACTTTGCTACTTTGTAAAACCATCGGTAGATTTCCACGGCATTAAAAACTCCTATCATGGCCAATTATAAGCTAGTCATAGTCAACCAGCTGGCAAAATTCATGAATATCTAATAGTTGGCTCTCATAAGTGAGTATGAGCCTGTTCTAGCACACCACTGGCAGTTACCACCCTGATGAAGATGTAGAATGTTCCCAGCATACTGGAAAACAATCTCACACCCCTTACTAAACAATGTTACCTCCACTCCAATTTTATCATCATCATCTTTTTTTTTTTTTTTTTTTTTTTGAGACAGAGTCTCGCTCTTTCGCCCCTGCTGGAGTGCAGTGGTGCCATCTCAGCTCACCGCAAGCTCTGCCTCCCGGGTTCACGCCGTTCTCCTGCCTCAGCCTCCCGAGTAGCTGGGACTACAGGCGCCTGCCACCACACCTGGCTAATTTTTTGTATTTTTAGTAGAGACGGGGTTTCATCGTGTTAGCCAGGATGGTCTTGATCTCCTGACCTCGTGATCCACCCGCCTCGGCCTCCCAAAGTGCTGGGATTACAGGTGTCATCATCATCATTTTTTTTAGAGACAGAGTCTTGTTTTGTCACCTAGGCTAGAATGCGGTAGTGTGATCATAGCTCACTGTAACCTCAAACTCCTGGGCTCAAGTGATTTTCCTGCTTAAGCCTCCCAAGTAGTGAGGACTATAGACTCATGCCACCACACCTGGCTTTTTTTTTTTTTTTTTGTAGAGATTAGGTCTTTTTGTTGCCCAGGCTGGTCTTGAACTCAAGACCAAGCAGTCCTTCTGCCTTGGCCTCCCAAAGCTCTGAGATTATAGGTGTGGGCCACTGTGCCTGGCCCAATGCTGTTATTGTTATTAATTTGTTTAGTCTCTTACTGAATTTCATATAAATATAATCATATAGTATGTATTCTTTTGTGTCTGGCTTTTTTTTTTTTGAGACAGAGTCTCGCTCTGTCGCCCAGGGTGGAGTGCAGTGGCGCGATCTTGGCTCACTGCAACCTCCGCCTCCTGGGTTCAAGCGATTCTCCTGCCTCAGTCTCCTGAGTACCTGGGATTACAGGCACATGCCACCACACCCAGCTAATTTTTGTATTTTTAGTAGAGACGGGGTTTCACCATGTTGGCCAGGATGGTCTCGATCTCCTGACCTCGTGATCTGCCCACCTCGGCCTCCCAAAGTGTTGGGATTACAGGCCTTAGCTACTGTGCCCAGCCATGCCTGGTTTTTCTTTTTTGGAGATGGAGTCTTGCTCTGTCGCTCAGGCTGGAGTGCAGTGGTGCAATCTCGGCTCACTGCAACTTCCGCCTCCCAGGTTCAAGCGATTCTCCTGCCTCAGCCTCCCAAGTAGCTGGGACTACAGATGCCCCCCGCCATGCTTGGCTAATTTTTTGTATTTTAGTAAAGACAGGATTCCACCGTGTTGCCCAGGCTGGTCTCCAACTGCTGAGCTCAGGCAATCTGCCGGCCTCAGCCTCCCAAAGTGCTGGGATTACAGACATGAGCCACTGAGCCCAGCTCATGCCTGGCTTCTTTTAGTCAACATTATAAGATTCTTCTATGTTGCTGCATGTAAAACAGTAGTTCATTCTTTTTTATTACTGGTTGATATTCCACTGTATGAATATACTACAATCCATCTATTCTCTTGTTGGTGGACATAGGGGCTGATTATAGTTTATGGCTATTATAAAACAAAGCTGCTAGGAACATTTATGTACGTGTCTTTTGCTGAATATATGCACCCATTTCAACTAGGAGTAGACTTGCTGGGCCACGGGGTAGGTGTATGTTTGGCTTTAGAAGATACTATGAAACAATTTTTTAAAAGTCATGCCAATTTATACTCACACCAACAGTTTATCAGAGTTTGTTACTCCACATCTTCACCAAAAATTGATATTACCAATCTTTTACATTTATTTTGGTAGGTTTGTAGTAGTATTTTACTATAATTTTAATTTGCATTTTTCTTTATGAAGTTGAGGAAAAGCCTCTCTATCCCTTGTTTGCTGAGAGTTTTTATCATGAATGGGTGTTGGATTTTGTCAAATGCTTTTACTGCATCCATTGATATAAGCATGTGATTTGTCTTCTATAGCCCCCTGATGTGATGGATTACACTGATTGATTTCTGAATGCTGAACCAGCCTTGCATACCTGGCATAAATCTCACTTGGTCACAGTGTATAATTCTTTTCATACATTGTTGGATTTAATTTGCTAATATTTTGTCGAGATTTTTTAAAAAATTTCAGAGTTACTACATTTTATTGGCACATTATTACATTTTAAAATATTTTAGAAATCATGAAATTGCTAAACATAAGGGCAATAATAAGACCATACATGGCCGGGTGCAGTGGCTCACGCCTATAATCCCAGATCTTTGGGAGGTTGAGGCAGGTGGATCATGAGGTCCGGAGTTTGAGACCAGCCTGGCCAACAAGCAGAAACCCAGTCTCTACTAAAAATACAAAGATCAGCTGAGCGTGGTGGCAGGCACCCGTAATCCCAGCTACTCAGGAGGCTGTGACAGGAGAATAGCTTGCACCCAGGAGGTGGAGGTTGCAGTGAGCCGAGATTGCGCCATTGCACTACTCCAGCCTGGGTAACAAGAGTGAGACTCCGTCTCAAAAAAAAAAAAAAAAAAAAAAAAAAGAAAAACCATATATTTACTTATTTATTTTGAGATGGAGTTTCGTTCTTGTCACCCAGGCTAGAAATGGTGTGATCTTGGCTCACTGCAACCTCCGCCTCCCGGGTTCAAGCATGAATCAAATAGTTTAAAATACAGATGCTCCTCAAATTACAATGGGTTACATCCTGATGAACCTGTTGTAAATGAAACTATCCTAAGCTGAAAATGCATTTGATCTGCCTAACCTATTGAACTTCATAGCTTAGCCATTATTAGTCTGTATTTTTCTTTTCCTATATTGTGTTTGTCTGGTTTTGGTTTTAGGGTAATGCTTCATAGATGAGTTAGTAAGTTATTCATTCTGTTTTTATCTTATAGAAGAGATAACAGAAAATTGATATAACTTCTTCAAATGTTTGGTAGAATTCACCAGTGGATCTGCCTAGGCTTAGTTTCTCTGTTTGGAAAGATAATTATTAAGTATTGATTCTGTGAAGATCTGGGATCTCTTTCATTTCTGATATTAGTACATTATGTCTTCTTTGTTTTTCATAGTCTGGCTAGAGACTCATCCATTTTATTGATCCTTTCAAAGAACTAGCTTTTGGTCTTGATGTAATCCATTGATTTCCTGTTTTCAATTTCACTGATTTCTGGTCTAGTTTTTGTTATTTCTTTTCTTCTACTTACTTTGAATTTAATTTGCTCTTTTCTTAGTTGGCTCTAGTAGAAGCTTAGACTATTGATTTTAGACCTTTTCTAAGATATGCATTCAGTGCTATAAATTTCCCTCTAAGCACTGCTTTCACTGCATCCCACAAATTTTGATAGCTGTGTTTTCATTTTTATTTACTTCAAAATACTTTTCAAAACATCACATGTTCCCCATAAATATATAAACCTACTATGTACCCACAAAAATGAAAAGTAAAAATTAAAAAAAAATACATTTCAATTTATCTTGCAATTTCTTCTTGACCTACGTGTTATTTAGAGGTGTGTTGTTTAATCTCCACATATTTTGGGATTTTTCAGCTATCTTTCCATTAGTGAATACCACTGTAATCTGAGAGCATATGCTGTATGATTTCTACTCTTGTAAATTTTTTAAGGTACCTTTTATGGCCCTGACTGTGGTCTGCCTTGGTGTAATTTCCTTGGGAGCTTGAGAAGAATGTGTATTCTGCTGCTGTTGGATGAAGCATTCTATAGTTGTCAATTATATCCACTTGATTGATGGTACTGCTAAATTCAACTATGTTCTTACTGAATTGGCTGCCTGCCAGATCTGTCCATTACTGATAGGGGGTGCTGAAGTCTCCAACTATAACAGTGGATGCATCTATTTTTTCCTTGCAGTTCTATGGTTTTTTGCCTCATATGTTTTGATGCTCTGTTGTTAGGTGTGTACACATTAAGGATTGTTAGGTCTTCTTGGAGAACTGGCCCCTTTATCCTTATACAACACTTCTCTTTATCCCTGATAATATTCTTTGCTCTGAGGTTTGCTCTCTCTCTAATTAATACAGCTACCCCAACTTTCTTCTGACTAGTGTTAGAATGGTCCATCAGGGCTAGGGGTGCCATAACAAAGTATGGCATACACTAGGGGGCTCAAAAAATAGAAATTAATTTCCCTACAGTCTGGAGACTAGAATTCTAAGATCAAAGTGTTGGCAGGGTTGGTTTCATTCTGATGCTTCTTCCTTTGACTTGTAGATGGTCATCTTCTCCCTTTATCTTCACATGGTCTCTGTGTGTCCCAATCTCCTCTTGTTTTAAGGACACCAGTCATATTGGATTAGGGCCTACTCCAATGACTTCATTTAACCTTATTTACCTCTTGAAAGCTCCTATAACTCCAAATACAGTCACATTCTGAGGTACTGGTGGTTAAGACATCATATAAATTTTAGGGGAACACAATTCAGCCTATAACATGTGTTATATCTTTCGCTAACCATTTACTTTTAAGGTGTATGTGTCTTTATAGTTAAAGTAGCTTTCTTGTAGACAACATAAGTTTAGCCTTCTTCTTCAAATTGCTCTGACAATTTCTATTTTTTTAATGTGAAGTAGGAAAAATACAAACAAAACCACACCAAGACACATCATAAGCAAATTGCTGAAAACTAATGATAAAGAGAAAATCTTAAAAGCACCCAGAGGAAAAAGATACAGAATGGAGATGAGTGACTTCCAACTTCTAGTCAGAAACCAAGCCAGAAGAAAATGGAATGACATCATTAAAGTGCTGAAAGACACTGTCAATCTAGCTTTTTTTCTTTTTTTTTTTTTGAGACAGGGTCTCATTCTCACCCAAGCTGGAGTGCAGTGGCATATCTGTGGCTTACTGCAGCCTCAATCTCCTGGACTCATATGATCCTCACACCTCAGCCACCCAAAAGTTGTTGCACTGGGCACGTGCCACCATGCCCAGCTAATCTTTGTATTTTTGAAGAGAAGGGGTTGCCATGTTGCCAGGCTGGTCTTGAACTCCTGAGTTCAAGCAATCCACCGCCTCAGACTCCCAAAGTGCTGGGATTACAGGTGTGAGACACCATGCCTGGCCTATATAGAATTATTTAGCCAGCAAAAATATCTTTCAAAAATGAAGGCAAAACGAAAACTTTTTCAGAGCCAGGCGCAGTGGCTTGCACCTGTAATAATCTCAGCTACTCAGGAGGTTGTGAGGCAAGAGGATTATGTGAGGCCAGGAGTTCAAGACCAGTCTGGGCAACACAATGAGACCCTATCTCTAAAAAAATAAAGAAAATTAGCCAGATATGGTGGCACAAGCCTGTAGTCAGCTATGTGGGAAGCTGTCAGGAGGACTGCTTGAGACTAGAAGTCCAAGGCTGCAGTGAGCTATGATCATGCCACTGCATTCCAGCCTGGGATATAGAATGAGACCCCATCCCTTAAAAAAAAAAAAAAAAAACTTTCCCAAGTAAACAACAAGTGAAAGTATTTGTCACCAGTGTACCTGCATACATGAAATGTTAAAGTAAGTTCTTTAAGCAAAAGGAAAATGTATCAGATGGAAATAGAATTTATACAAAGGAATGGGAGGCAATAGAAAAGGTAAACGTGTGGGTAAAAATAAACTCTCTTTTTTCCATTAAAAAATTTCTTTAAAAGGCCAGCTGCGGTGGCTCATGCCTGTAATCCCAGCACTTTGGGAACCTGAGGCGGGCGGATCACGAGGTCAGGAGATCGAGACCATCTTGGCTAACATGGTGAAATCCCATCTCTATTAAAACTACAAAAAATTAGCTGGGTGTGGTGGCGGGCGCCTGTAGTCCCAGCTACTCTGGAGGCTGAGGCAGGAGAATTGCTTGAACCTGGGAGGCGGAGGTTGCAGTGAGCCAAGATCACGCCAGTGCACTCCAGCCTGGGTGACAGAGCAAGACTCCGTCTCAAACAAACAAACAAAAAAATCTTAAAAGATGGTTGATTGTTTAAAGCAAAAATAACAAGTGCTGTGGGGATGATAACATATTTAGAAGTAAAATCTGTAGCAACAATAGCATAAAGGATGGGGGTGAAAAATGAACATATAGTGTTTTAAGTTTCCTACATTATACATGAAGTGGTACAATATCATCTGATAGTAGACTGCAATAAATTAGAGATAACTATTGTAAACCCTAGGTCCCTCCTCACCAAATTAGTGAGATATAACTAAGAACCCATAATAGGAGCTAAACTGAGATAAAAAAGAAAAAAAAAAGAGCATGAAAACAGGAGGTAACAAACAAAAGCAAAAAATGGAAAATAAATAGCAACATGATAGATTTAAATCCAAACATACAAAAATTACATAAATGGTCTAAACATGACAAAGGCAGAGATGGTCAGGCTGGATTAAGAAAAAAAAAAAACAAAAAAAAACATGGCCCAACTATATGCTGAATATGAGAAATTCATTTTAAATATAAAGACACAGGCATATTAAAAGTAAAAGAATATAGTAAGATACACCACACAGACACTAATCATAAAAAAGCAGAATGTTTACATATAATATCAAAGTATTAATTTCCCAAAACAAAGAATACTATAAACATCAAAGAAGGACATTTCATAATGTTAAAAAGTCAGTTAATCACTAAGACAAAAATCCTAAGCACGCAGGTACCCAATAATAGAGCTTAAAAATACAAGAAGTGGCTGGGTGCGGTGGCTCACGCCTGTAATCCCAACACTTTGGGAGGCCGAGGTGTGTGGATCACCTGAGGTCAGGAGTTCGAGACCAGCCTGCCCAACATGGCAAAATCCTGTCTCTACTGAAAATACAAAAAATTAGCCAGGTGTGGTGGCAGGTGCCTGTAATGCCAGCTACTTGGGAGGCTGAGGCAGGAGAATGGCTTGAACCCAGGAGGCAGAGGTTGCAGTGAGCCGACATCGTGCCACTGCACTCCAGCCTGGGTGACAAGAGAGAAACTCCGTCTCAAAAACAACGACAACAACAAAAAAAACCATGAAGCAGGCCAGGTGCCATGGCTCATGCCTGTGATCCCAGTACTTTGTCGAGGTTGAGCCCAGGAGTTCCAGACCAGCCTGGGCAATGTGGCAAAACCCCATCTCTAAAAAAAAATACAAAAAAATTAGCTGGACGTGGTGGCGCACGCCTGTGGTCCCAGCTACTCAGGAGGCTCAGGTGGGTGGATTGACAGAGCCTGGGAGGTTGAGGCTGCAGTGAGTCATGGGTGTGCCACTGCATTCCAGCCTGGGCGGCATAGTGATACCCTGTCTCAAACAAAAACCACGAAGCAAAAGCTGTCACAACTGTAAGGAGAAATAGACAAATTCAAAACTATAGTGGGAGACATAAAAATTCCTCTCTCAATAATTGGTAAGGACGAATAGAAAAATCACTAAGGATACAGAAGACCTGAATATTATAAACCAACTTGACTTAATTGACATTTTTTGGGATGTGGCTAAAGTAGTGATTAGAATTACTTCTAATAACATTTATAGCTTCAACTGATTATATTTAAAAAAAGGTTCAAAGTCAATGATCTTAGTTTCTACCTTAAGAAGCTAGAAAAATAAAAAAAAAAAATCAATGAAACCAAAAAAGGAAACAGGACTATGCTCCTAACAGGCATTAAAAGGATAATAAGGGAATATGATAACTTTATTTCAATAAATTTCATAATTTAGATAAAACGGCCAAACTGCTTGGAAGACAAAAGTATTAAAGTGGACTTCAAAAGAAATATTAAATCTGAAGAGTGCTGTATTTATTAAAGAAACTGAAGTTGTAATTAAAACTTTCCACAAAGAAAATTCCAGGTCTAGATGCTTCACTAGTGAATTCTATCAAGCATTTAAAGAAGCATAATATCACATATGCAAACTCTTAGAAAATAGATGAGGGAACACTTCAAAATTTTATAAGGCCAACATTATCATGACAGTCAACCAGAGACACAGAAAATAAAGCAACAAACCAATATCCCTTACAAACACAGATACACACACACACAAAAATCCTTAAAAAGATATTAGCAAGGTGAATCCAACAACACATAAAAAGAATTATACCTCATGAACAAGTGGTGTTTATACCAGCAATGCAAAGGATTTAAAGCTAAAAAAAATTCAATGTAATATACCAATTAACAGAATAAAAGTGAAAAACCATATGATTATCTCAATGGATGTAGATAAAGCATTTCACAAAATCCAACATGTGTTCCTCATTAAAACTCTCAGCAATCTAGGAACAGAAGGGAACTGCCTAATCCCCTGATAATGGGTCACTATGAAAAACCCTAGGCCGGGCGCGGTGGTTCACGCCTGTAATCCCAGCACTTTGGGAGGCTGAGGTGGCTGGATCACGAGGTCAGGAGATCGAGACCATCCTGGCTAACATGATGAAACCCCGTCTCTACTAAAAAATACAAAAAATCAGCCGGGCATGGTGGCACGTGCCTGTAGTCCCAGCTACTCAGGAAGCTGAGGCAGGAGAATGGCGTGAACCCAGGAGGCAGAGCTTGCAGTGCGCTGAGATCGCGCCACTGCACTCCAGCCTGGGTGAAAGAGCGAGACTCCGTCTCAAAAAAAAAAAAGAGAAAAACCCTATAGCTGACATACATCTATATATACACATATGTGAAACGGTGAAAGACTGAATGCCTTTCGCCTAAGATCATGAACAAAAAAGGGACATTCACTCTTACCAATTGTTTTTAACATTGTACTGGAGGTCTTAGCCAGTGCAATTAAGAAAAAAAAAAAAGAGGGAGAGAGAAATAAAAGATACATAGATTGGGAAATAAGTAAAAGTATATTTCTATGTATTTGCAATGAACAATCAGAAACCAAGGTTTAAAAATACCTTTTCCAATAGCATTAAAAATACAAAATATTTAGGGATAACTGTGACAAAAAGATGTGCAAAACCTTTATACTAAAAGCTACAACGTGGCTGAGAAAGTTAAAAAGACCTAAACAAATGGAGAGATAAAGACTCAATATTGTTCAGAAGTCAATATTCTCCAAACTGATCTACAGTCAACACAAGTCCAACAAAAAACCCAGCAGATGGAGTGGCTCAGGCCTATAATCCAAGCACTTTGGATGTCTGAGGTAGGAGTACTATTTGAGGCCAGGAGTTTGAGACCAGTCTGGGCAACACACTGAGACCCCATACCTATTTATTTATTAAAAAATTAAAAAACATTCCCAGCAGACTTTTTTGGTTGAACTTGGCAAACTGATTTTAAAATTAACATGAAAAATCAAAGGCCCCAAAAAACTTTGAAAAAGACAAAGCTGAAGGACTCACATTACTTGACTTCAAGAGTTGGTAAAAAGCTGCAGTAATCAAAATAAAATTATACTGGAATCAAGACAGACAAAAATCAATGGAACAGAACAGATTCCCAAAGAAGACTCACACATATATGGTCAATTCATTTTTGACAAAGCTGCAAAAGCATTTCGAAAGGACAGTCTTTTGAATAAATGGTGCTGGAACAACTGGATATTCATGTGTAAAAAAGCCCAACCCTTTGATCTACACCTTGTACCATATGCAAAGATTAACTCAAAATGGATCATAGACCAAAATACAAACTGAAAATTATAAAACTTAGAGAAGAAAACACAGGGAAAAATCCTTGTGACTCTGGATTAGTCAAAGGTTTTTCTGAGATACAACAGCAAGTAACATAGGCCATAATAGAAAAAGTCAATGCAGTAGACTTAAAATTAAGAACCGCTTTTTGAAAGACACTTTTAAGAAAACAAAGAAACAAATTTTATGAACGTGGAGAAAATACTTGTGAATTACATCTGATAATGCATTTGTAACTTATAATATATAAAAGAATCTCAAAACTCAATAACCACTCAATTAAAAAATGGGAAAAG
This sequence comes from Homo sapiens, assembly GCF_000001405.40. Lineage (NCBI taxonomy): Eukaryota > Metazoa > Chordata > Mammalia > Primates > Hominidae > Homo > Homo sapiens. The sequence continues at coordinate 101,539,959 of NC_000010.11, read as the reverse complement.
ATTTGAACACACTTCACCAAAGGAGATATACAGATGGCAAAGAATAGATGCTTGACATTATTAATCATTAGAGATACACGAATTAAACCACAATGAGAATGACTAAATTACAGACTGTGCTCAGTACTGGCAAGAATGTGGAGTAACTGGAACTCTCATACACTGCTATATACTATAATGTAAAAGGGTAAACCACTTTGAAAAACAGTTTGGCAGTTTCTAAAAATTTTAAACATACACTTACCATATGACCTAGTCATCTGCTCCTAGGTATTTACCTCAGAGAAATAAAAGCAAAAAGCATACATTCATCCCAAGACTTCTACATAAATGTTTATAGAAACTTTGTTAATAGCCAAAAACGAGAAACAATCAGTGAATGGGTATAACCATACAATAGAATACTACTCAGCAAATTTTCAAAAGAAATGAAATATTGATATACATCAGCAACATGTAGTGCCACTTCACTATAGCCTGGGTGACAGAGGAAGACCCTGTCTTATACATACACACATAAATCCAACAAGGAAGACAAGAAATGTAACCTCTTTCTCTTCTCCAGAGCCAAGAATGCCTAAATGATGACAGTCAGGATTTAGAACACTGGGCTTCAAATGCTTGCTCTCATCTTTTCTCCGAGTGGTGTCTGTCCACCCTGTTGCTCCAACTAATTTTCTAATGGAAGCAGCATTTATCAATCTGGGCCCTTGGCTAACAACATGATAAATAATTTAGTGCATTCCTCCTTTTGAATCACTTTTTTCCCCAAATGTCAAAAGGGGGTATATGGGGAACAAAAAAGATGGGCTCAAGTTGCTGGAGGCACTACCTCATGAATAGGCTGCAGAACTAAGGGGTTGACCAGGGGGATTCATGCAGATTCCCAGGGCAGTTTTTTTTTTTTTTTAAGACAGAGTTTCGCTCTTGTTGCCCAGGCTGGAGTGCAAGCATGATCTTGGTTCACTGCAACCTCCGCCTCTCAGGTTCAAGTGATTCTCCTGCCTCAGCCTCCTGAGTAGCTAGGATTACAGGCACCTGCCACCATGCTTGGCTAATTTTTTTTTTATTTTTAGCAGAGATGGGGTTTCACCGTGTTGGTCAAGCTGGTCTTGAACTCCTGATCTCAGGTGATCCATCTGCCTTGACCTCCCAAAGTGCTGGGATAATAGGCATGAGCCACCGCACCCGGCCCCCAGGGCACTTTTTGAAGGCACAGGTGTACAGGTCCTCAGATTTTGGACAGGTTCCAATTTGAATAATTATATTCTCTCTCCCTTAGTACCCCCTGCTGTTTCTGGTGGATACAGAATTCTTATTCACTCCCTGCACTAAACTGTTGTGTAGAGTTGCTGTGCAGCTGTTAAACAGCTGCCACATTTCTCTCCATATATAGTCTCTAAAGCATTTTTGGATGAAAGGAATTATATAAACATATTTTATTGTCATGTACTGGTTGCCTTACCACTTAGTTGTAGGTTTTGTGAGGTTGTAACTATTAAATTCAAATCCATATTCCACAGCACATCAACGTTTAATTTCTTCCCCCACCTGCTCTCCAATGCTCTCTAAACAGCAAGGCTCTTACCACAAGGGTCCGTAGACAGAGTGTCCCTGCAGGAGCACGGGGGTCCAAAGCAGCCACAAGATCCCACACTTTAATTTTTCTAAAGATCAAAAAGGGGACAAAAATGTTAGTTAAAAGCAAATGTAAGAGAAGGCAGGGAAGAATAGCAGAAATTCATGGCAATAAATATGGATGGTGAGTATAGTTCAAATGTACGTGATTAACCTACAAATGAGAAACAGGCTAGCTTTAACCAAACTGAAGACAGTTAACAGTAAAGTTATACCATACTTTGGGATCAAGAGGAGATCTTGTACATTAGACCTTTTAATGATATTACACAGACCTAGAAATCTACAACTGTGAAGCATCCTCTTCCTGGGCACTTCTAAGAGTGGCCCAGGTCACATGTACTGAGGGACTGGGGTCCATGTAAGAGCAATGGAGTTTATATAAGCAAGCCCTCATCTTTTGATTTAAATAAGATAAGTGTAGCTCTTCCAAAAATCTTTTAATAGGCCATGTTTCCTCAAGGTACATAGCAGACAAATTCCAAGACAGGTGGGTACAGATCAAAGCCAGGACAATAAGAAAATATTGTCTTGACCAAGCTGGAACATGTCACCACACTCTGAACAATTTCCCAAGGTTGTAACAGTGATGGCTGTCCCAAAGCAGAAGAAGTGAGCAGTCTACACTTCCTGCTGCTTGCATTGGCTAATGAATGTATCAGTGTAGTTAACTCATGAACTAAAATAATGTTGTTAGTTTCTGATATTTAAAAAGCTGCCAAAATCAGGCAGATTGACAAAAAGAAATGATAAGAGTTCTTCCTAAGTGAATAACTATTTTTTTTTCTTTTTTTGAGACGGAGTCTCGCTCTGTTGCCCAGGCTGGAGTGTGGTGGCGCAATCTTGGCTCACTGCAACCTCTGCCTCCCTGGTTCAAGCAATTCTCCTGCCTCAGCCTCCTAAGTAGCTGGGATTACAGGCGCCCGCAACCACACCTGGCTAATTTTTGTACTTTTAGTAGAGACTGGGTTTTGCCATGTTGGCCAGGCTGGTCTCGAACTACTGACCTCAAATGATCCACCTGTCTCGGTCTCCCAAAGTGCTGGGATTAAATGCATGAGCCATTGTGCCCAGACTACTTTTGTTTGAATTTACTCTGTGTTTAGGATTGGTGGACATGGGGTCCATTCACAAAATTAATGGATTCCATAACCACTAGAAATTAGAAGAAAATAAAGATGACTAAACTCATAAATGAAATGCTAGGATGACAAGTGATGACAAGAGAACTGTACTCTTAAAAATTACTCAAAGAGATAAAAAACCCAAGAAATCAAAATTCAAGATCTTACCACACTAAGTCCCCAAATACTGCCCTCTAGTGTTTCTGTTTTGTTAACAGGTTACCCTTTTACATGGGTAGCCTGTTAACACTGGGTTTTTCTTGTTCTTTGCTTTACAGGGCAAAACAGTCAAATACATAACCAAATAACCAAAATATGAATGACAACCATGTGCAAACAAGTATAATAAAATGAATGGGAAGAATATTTCAGGACACTAAACCAAGGAGAGGTAAATACACGGATTAAAGAAATATGGTATCAGATATTTTGTGTAAAATCTATAAGCTTTTAGAAACAAGGAATGGTTATGTTTAACACCATAAACATAAGGAAGGATTAAGACGTAGATTTTCTCTTTTTTACACTCTGTTAGCACACTCACCCATCATAGGCCCCACTGACTATCCTCTTGTTATCAAATCGAATACAACGCACCAATTCCTCATGGCCTTCTAACACTCGTAAACATGCACCACATTCTATGTCCCATAATCTGGAAGAGAAAATTAAGTCAGGTGAATTTTCACGTATTCTTTTCTAAGCCTGGAATGTTATAACAATACACCTCATATGCCTTCTAAAAATTCATAAAATAAAATCAATCACCACCCACACAGATATGTACTGCTTTCAATGTAATTTATTTCCTTTCTGCTATATAACTCACACAGAAATATGTAGGTTTAAGTTCAAATGTAAAATGTATTTTCAAAGCACAGGGCTTTACATAATTCTGTAAACAGGTTCTTCCAGGCATAAAAACGAATTCAATGCACGCAGTTGCCTGAGAAGGAAATGACCAAGCTAAGAAAGCAGTTTCCTGAAGTCACCAAACTGAAAGAGATACAGATTATCAGTGATGTCCTGTTCTCACAAAGCACCTCCCCCTCTGCCACGGCAGACACTTCTTTCACCACTGTCCAGGACAGCTCTTCTCAGAGAATAGAAATGCAAAGTCAGTTCTCAAGAACTTTTGTGTACTAATTATAAAAACTGTACGTTTTCAGAGCAATTCAAGTGATTTCTAGGAATAATTTCCTTAGATATAACAAACAGTAGCTCTTTTTTAATGGCCTTTTCATCCTTTTAATACTTCACTGAAGGGAGAGGATGGATAAATCTTCCAAATTATAATCATATCTATGTCATTCATCTTTGTGAAGGGAAAACCCCAAAAAGGACTTCCAACTGTGAAATCTTCATAATTTCAAAGACAGGTAACTCTCTGGCCAATTATGTAATGCTAAGACAAAAATTACATAATTTCTAGTAAGGAAACAAATCTTTCTTTTCATTTCTTAAAAACAATGGCAAAGAAAAGGCTGTTAGCTGTTTATTAGCACTTTTCAACGGTAGACAGGAGAAATTTAAAAAGAAGGGCAACAAAAGGCTTTGCTGTGCTGCTTCTCTGCCTGGGGCAAACTTCTGACCTGTAAGAAGCTACAGAAAGGAAAAACAGTTGATTATAAACATAACAAAATTGAAGACTTGTATGATCTGTGCATTAATAATGAATGGGAGCATAATATTGATCCCTTATGATACAAGGCACTTGCTGCTCACCTGATAGTGTTGTCAGATGAGCCACTCACTACCAGCCTGTCCCTGTACTGCAAACAGGCAATGCCTCGTTTGTGTCCATTTAAGGTCCTTACAAATTCACAAGTACTTGTGTTCCATACCTGAAAAAGAAAATGGCATTGAGCAGTTGATTTGGTGCTTTTATTGGTAAAATCTATGGCAAATGGAGTCTTAGAGAAGCAGAAAACAGGACTGAACCATTAGAGGGAAGTCTTCTCAAACAAATAAAACAAAGGACAATTTAAATTCATGGTAACAGAGGCTAATTTGCAGTTGGCTGTTACCACATGAGAATTCCTCAGATTGATTTACTCTTCTAGGGTTAGTCTCTTCTCACACTCACCACTATTTATAGGAATAAAATATCTAGGATAAATTGTCACACAACGTCTCACTTATTACACCTTTTCACTTGTAGACTAGTCTCTGAATTAAATATTACATTTTTCTGTAGCAACGTTTAAATATGAAATTGCCCTTGATCAAATTTTCATATGAATTCCCCCATTCTAAGTTGGAAACTTACTGAAAAATGCCTTATTACCTTTATAGTTCTATCCCCAGATGCAGAAACAATGTACTTGTCATCAAAGTCTACAACATTGACAGCAGCTCGGTGTCCGACCAGCACCCTCCGGAGGGTAATGTCAGTTGGGGAGGCCATATCCCATACAGCAATGGAACGATCTTTGGAGCAGGTCACCATCATGCCATTATTGAAACGCAAGTGCAGAACTGCTTCACAATGGTGAATCAACGTGTTTAGCATTTCACCTGTATTTACATCCCACACTCTGGAAGTGATAGATGAGATTTAGATGGTACTCAAGCTACAATCTGTTACCTATATTTGACCATCATGCGCCCTTCCACCCCTTATATTTAGAGAGAGGGCCAGACTGGGAGAGTGGGAGAAGGAAGGGGATGGGATGCTGCCAGTGTGTCCTTAAGACATACTGCTTGAAATATGGGCAAGTTGTGGAGGGCAAGGATGAAGTGGCAGCCACTGTCACCTAATAATTTGGCCCAGACTTGAAGACTGTAAAACTTCTCACATTCAATTTGATACCATTAGTAAGATACATTTTAAATGAGGAATCTGATTAATAACAATAGCATTAGTGCCCATTCCAATGATAGCCCTCAGGAGCCAGAAATGAAATAGGCCAAGATGCTTCTGTCACATACTTAGTAATGTGAATTTGAGTTTGATTACCCTGGATCTCAGGTTTTATCATAAAGGTCAAAGGCCAAGATAACCATGACTCTAATTCTAAGCCCCCATTTCTGTGTTCTGAAGTGGGTAGGGGTTTAAAATAGACCCCCCATTGTAAATATGGGCTTCACAGCAGAGTGTGGGGCCCTTGGATAGCTTGAGAATTTTGTGTGATTATATATTTTGATTATTCTATTTTTGTGTATTTACTTAAGGTTTTATAACATGTTATTTCCTTTTTTCCAGTTTAGCCCCCTTTTATAGAATATCATTTTTTCTTTATCTTATAAATGATGTTAGCACCTGCAGTGTTTTAGATTCTGTGGGGCACTCACTCCACAAGCACCAATAAATGTTAAATGTCAGTAACTACAAGGGCCAAGTTTGCTATGCCTTGCTATGCCTTTAAGTCAAAAGACAAAAAACAGGAACCGTCTTTTCTATTCACAGAGGATAACTTGGAATGGTAAACATTTAACTTCAGAGTATCTAACAATGCACTTAACCGCTTTTTTCCTAGGTCTATTTTTTTTTTAAAGTTACTTTTGATGCATTATGTTTGCTAAATCCTTTAGCTTACGGCAAAATTCCTAACAGAGGTTCCCAGCAGTGCTGCTGGTACCCAGAACTCAAGCTATCCTGGACTCCAGCAGTATAATGGCTGTGTCATCAAATCACTAATGCCTCTGGAAATTGAGGGCCCCTACCTGAGTGAAGCTTGCAATTAAAAACTGCAGGGATGGCAGGGGAGGGGCTGGCAAAGAGAGCACAGCTCACCTGTACATGTTTCAAAGGAGATAATACAGACCTGCACTACAGTTACCACTACCTGAAAGGAAGGCTTCATTGCATTCATATCATTCCCCCGTGAGGTGGTTTTTGTAAGGAATGCAAAGTTTACCATAAGGATAAGAAAAGTTTCTGTAATAGATGATCCTCCAAATTAAAATAGAATGTGTAGTTTCTTCAATGTGCGAAAATGTAAACTTACCTCAAGCATTTCTAAATCAAGTTTTCTAGTTCTAGACTGACAGAAATGATGGGGACCTGGTGGTTTATTCTTCTTTAGTTTCAGAACTGTGCCGATATATACAAAATTACTATCTATGACAAAGAACAGAGCAGAGCTGATATTTCAGAGTTCAAAAAAGCATTTGAAATTTTCTACCTGACCGTGGAATCCGATGATCCTGTTATGATCACTCTCTCATCATACTGGAGACAGAGGACTGAACCTGTATGGCCTGTGAGAATTCGCTTGCATTCCAATGTGTTTTTATCCCAGATCTAGGATGGCAAATAAGATCCTTTTGATCAATGTGATGATGGGGTGCTGTGGAGACTTGTTGGTCCTATTACGTGTCTGATCCCCCAAAATAATCAAAGCCCAGAGTAGTGTGGAATGCATTTTCTATAGGTATAGCTAAGCGCGCGCGCGCGCACACGCGCACACACACACACACACACACACACACACACACACACACATATAGCTTCAGTACTAATGCAAACTTTTATCCTTTTCATTAAGGAACAGGGTAGTCTATAATTATGTGATGGCCAAAAGAGTAACAGCCCATTCAGTGCATTTCAAGAAGAGAATTTAACCCTAGGACTACCCGTTTGTATAGTGGGGAAGCTGATGTCTGTCCTTTAAGGAAATGATTTTGGCTTTGGGACTGGAAACAATCTAAAATCTTCACTTACTTTCTAGAAATAATGCTTAGAGTTTATGCTTTAGACTGCGCTATGAATGTGGTCACTCTTGCTCCCTCTGCTACCTTTCTACAACTGAATAGACCTCACCTTGATTGTGTTGTCTCGAAGGCCGCTTACTATTTTCTGATCATCATACTGTAAACAGTAAACTCCTTTGCTTGTTTCACTTCGGCAGTGAATTCTCTGTAAACTATGTCTTCCACATCTCCAATTAGATTCTATTGTCTGAGAAGAAGGAATGGGAAAGAGGCAGTGTTAGGAAACACCTAGAATCAAACTCTTTTTAGGCTTTAATGACAATCAATGGCTCAATGCTTTACTCTATGGGATATACACAACTTAGGGAAAACTAAAAAATGTCTTTAAAAGGCTACTATCTATATTTATAAAATATTCTTCCTTTTGCAAGGTAATTAAAGGTTGTTTCCTAGAACTTCCCTGCCTATAATTTGTTCAATTAAATAATAAATCTGGTGGAAAGAGACTACTCATCAAGAGAAGAAAAGCTACGAACTACGTGAGGTTATACACTCAGTGCTCTTACATATGTGATGGCCATTGCTACTGATTGCTACTGATGAACTTCTAAGGAGGTTCAATTCAGAAGATATTTAAATATGAGCTTATGAGTACAAGTTTACCAGTCACACTGCTATGTATGAAGGGATCAATCTCTTTAACTCTCTCATCTACTTATTAGTAAACCATTTTTTAAAGCTTTAAAATTTTGCCTAGCAATTTATTTTACCTACCCTACTCGCCTGTAAAGAGATTGATTTTCTTTTCCTTTTCTTTTTTTTTGATGGAGTCTCGCTCTGTCGTTCAGGAGGGAGTGCAGTGGTGCGATCTTGGCTCACTGCAACATGTGCCTCCCAGGTTCAAGTGATTCTCCTATCTCAGCCTCCTGAGTAGCTGGAATTACAGGTGTGTGCCACCATGCCTGGCTAATTTTTGTATTTTTAGTAGAGACAGGGGTCTCACCATGTTAGCCAGGCTGGTCTCAAACTCCTGACCTCAGCCTCCAAAAATGCTGGGATTACAGGTGTGAGCCACCATGGCCAGCTAAGAGATTGATTCCCAACTCATGTCAATAAACCTTAATGGGCTTGCTGTAACCATACTGTGACTGAAGAATGCTGATAATTCTGTGCCCTTGGGCAATACCCCAAAATACATAGATTCTTACCTCAATGTCTTGTATAATTTTAGGATAAAGTGCTCTATAAAAAGAGTTGGGAGGAGCATTCCCGTCAGGAGGTTTGTTTTTGAATAAATACTGTCCCCTAAAAAATAACAAATATTTCCCAGTGAAAATCATGACATTATATATTTAAATACATATATATTTTGAGACAGAGTCTCGCTCTGTTGCCCAGGCTGGAGTGCAGCAGTGTGATGTTGGCTCACTGCAACCTCCGCTTCCTGGGTTCAAGTGATTCTCCTGCCTCAGCCTCCTGAGTAGCTGTGATTACAGTCATCTGCCACCATGCTGGCTAATTTTTGTATTTTAGTAGAGATGGGGTTTCACCATGTTGGTCAGGCTGGTCTTGAACTCCTGGCCTCAAATGACCCGCCTGCTTGGCCTCCCAAAGTGCTGGGATTACAGGCGTGAGCCATCACACCCGGCCGACATTATATATTTATAAGGAACTTCATATATTTTGAAAGTGTTTTCACGGTTACCATTCCATATACTCTCCATAGCTGTCTGCGGAGGAGCAAAGGTAAGCCTGATTTCAGGAGTCCCATGTCAAAGAGTAACCTTCTGGGCTCTAAAGAATCTGACCAACACTGATTTGCTTTTGGGTAAAACATGATTATTTCCAGTGTAGAACATCGGAGTACCAAGCCTTTAGGAATATTATAATATCAGTAAACAAATGGAATATGTACAATCAGAATTCATCTATTGCTCTATTAAGACTACTGCTTAGATTCACTGGCCTCATCTTTTGGAAATTTTGTTAGTAATGGTAACTATTACCTTTGAACTAGCACATGCCCTATAGGTTTTTTTTTTTTTCCCTTTTACTGTGTCAGTGGTCCCCAGCATTGTAGACAGCAGCAATGCCTCTGGCATGGAGATCACTTTTGCTAGGTCTTTATTTGTACAGGGTAAGGTGTGGTGGCTGCTCAGTCACCCAGGCTGCTGCTAATCAGTGCAACTATGCTTTGAAAGGAGCAATTCAGTTCATTTCATCAGAAAACAAAAGGATCACAGGTGTGTCCAGCAGCAGCTAGGGAAGAAGAAAAAAAAGAAATGCCTAAGAGCACTGCTATCAAGTCTAAGGCATGAAACTGACTTTCACAGGTGTGTTCCTGGCTGTGTACATACACATGTACTTAACTGCCTTCCCTGATTCCAGTGAGCAACATTTGTTAGTATCTCCTTCCTTATGACAGCACATCTCTGGAATACTCGTATCCCAAGCTAGATCTTTGCTACAAAAAAAAAATCAGTAAATGGCAATCACTTCCTGCTGGGTAAAAAATTTAATTCCTCATCCGGAAGTTAAGAACCCACCAAACACGGTGTGGAAGCTAGTAAACCCCACTATGGGTGTACTAACTGCTGTTCTCACTGGCACCGTGCCTTGCAAAGTGGAGAGAGGCAGAAATGCCTCTGAGTGTAATCCTGGCACCAGAGAAATCATGTTTTCTCTGGGCCAGTCATCCACTCCTCCCTCTATAGCTCCATTACAATATAATTAATTGTTTGGTGTCTCCAGGAGTGTTTCTCCCCTGCCCTCTCCCTGTTATATACCCTGAAAATTAGTTGAGAAAATTTCCTATCAGGAAGGTAGATGGCTCTAACTTCTGTGTTAATACAGAAAAGAAAATCTGAAATAGAGAAGTGAAAATAATACTTATAAAAAGGGGGATTAATGAAACATGATACACCAGCATAAACAAAAGGGGAAACAAGATGCGTTATGAAAGAATTCCAGATTAATGGTACATTTCTCTGTACAATATTATTCTACAAACACTTTGCAGGCAAATAATAGATTTTGAATGTGAAGATTTTAAGTCTGACTCCTGAGCCCACCCACATTCTTAACTACTTTATTGTTTCTCAATGCCCACCATTCCTGAGATTCCTGTCTTCTTTTAATCTCTAGCACTCCAAGACTTTCTTCCTATGCAATGATACTATCTACATTCTAAGGAAAGAGAACTCACATAAGCTTCTGATCTTGTTTTCCACCTCACTGCATTTACCATGTCTTGGTAAAGTATCTGAATTTCTTCAAATCAAAGTGTTACAGAAAGAGGTGGCTAGGTACTGAAAACTGGCTTCTGTCTTTATGTTTTAAGTCAAAACCTTTTATGATGGAAGATCTTTGAAAACAGGGACTACTTCTATGTGAAATGCCTAGTACCTACAAGAATGTGAGTACATGATAAACGTTAAATATTAAATTCAGAATGTTATCATAAAATGTGATCTGCTGATTAAGAAAATTGACTTTTCCCAAGTGGTCTTTTATTATACTTTTAAGAGTTACCATTACTGAGCAGACAGCATATTCAGTATTATTCAAGAGAGAAAACTACAGAGTTCATGTCCCAGGGGAAGACTGTCAAATCCATCTAGATATAAAATACAACATCAAATACCAAGTTAAAACTTAGAGATAAAAGCTTTATTAGAAAACTGTATTTACTTACTATTTTTGGTTAGTAGAAATGGAAGAACCTTTCAAAGCTAGCATATGGGGAAAAGTATAACACAGAAAGACTTTATTGACGTATTAGGCTTGGTAAGACAACTTGAAAGAAGAAAATGAGAAACTGATGGAGTAAATTTTTTTTTAAAAAAGGGAAGAAAACTGACACAGGAATAAAGTCAACATGTAAAAACAGAAGCAGCAACAAGAAAGTCGAGGGAATAATGGAGGAAGTTGACACGGGATGTATAAGTATTTGGAATTTCATGGGTTTATCATGGGATTAAGAGGATAAACATGCCCAAAGACAAGGGGATATAGTCAGAACTCTGAAGGATACTCAAAAGAGCGGGAATGGGTTTCTGTGGATAAAGAGATAGGGGAAAAAAGTGGTAATTAGTGCTGGATCCTGGATTACTTCACCTACCCTTTAGAAAGGCTCAAAAGCCATCTTCTCAATGATTGTTTTTTCTTTGTAACTAACATAAAAGATCTTGCCATTTAGTGCCAATCCCAAGCAAAACTGTGGAGCCTTTTACCTTTGGCATTTTCACATCCATCTGCCAAGAACTGCCCACTTACTTCTTGATCTTTCTGCCTTCAAAAAAGGACTCAGTAAACTCCCAATTTATGATGAAGGTTTACTGTCATTTACAGTCCAAATGGGAACACAATGTATTTTAACAGGTAACAGAACCTTTATAGCTAAAGGAATGAATCTCCTTAACTGAAATTTCAGGAGTTATTTGGAGACGAGATTCTTTTTTTCTGAGGGATACAGAAATCTTCTCAGCTGCCCTAAAATTTTCTCATGTAAGCAACTGCCTGCTGTATCCCCAAGGCTGGTCCCAGCACTCTTAGCAAAATGATGGACCCCGAATACCATATAACTCCATTTTTATTTGCTTTGTTGTACTATTAAAGAGTTTATTTCCAAAGTATGAAGTAGGTTATGAAAGATTTCTATTTTTCTATGTAGCGAAATAAGAATTAAAAAACATATTTGAGAAGTAGTAATAATATTCTTTTGTGTGTGTGTGTGTGTGTGTGTGTATGTGAGAGAGAGAGAGAGAGAGAGAGAGAGAGACAGAGAAAGAGACAGGGTCTTGCTCTGTTGCCCAGGCTGGAGTGCAGTGGCATGACCACAGCTCACTGCAGCCTCAACTTCCCAGACTCAAGCCATCCTCCCACCTTAGCCTCCTGAGTGGCTGGGATTACAGGCATGCGCCACCAGGCCCAGCTAATTTTTTGATTTTTTTGTAGAGATGAGGTCTCAATATGTTGCCCAGCCTGGTATCAAACTCCTGGGCTCAAACGATCCTCTTGCCTTGGCCTCCAAAACTGTTGGGATTACAGGCGTGAGCCACCCCACCCGGCCAACAATATTCTTTGTTACACAGCCTAAAAATTGCCTAGTTTTTTTGTTCCTTTAATTCAATTTGAGAGAAAAATTTAAACAGTCTTCCTAATAGCCAGAATGATAAAAATCTGAGGCATTTGGTATAATATTTATAGGTCATTGTATTTATTATGTGTTAATAAATTTCAAAGATAGAAAAAAAGAAAGAGAGCCAACTACTTTTTCATGAAAATTCAAAGGAAAGCTGGCCCATGAATATTTATCTTTTAAAAGTGTTCTCTACTTTTAACTGTTTTCCTCTTTATGATCCAAGATAAACAACTGATAAAATTAATTTGGAAGGACATCACTAAGCACACACATGCCTATTATAATTTTTTCTGTCAATGAGAATATTTAATATGTCACCTTTATTTGTGAACTATTACTACGTAGCTTTCCTATAGTGACATTCTAGAGACATACTCTGAGAGAAAAGTATTTAAAGAAAGATATCTTTCAGAAGTTCTAATGAAATAGTACTGTTAAGAGAACAACAAAAAAATTAGTGAAGTCTCTTAGACTGCTAACTATATGATGCTTTGGGGAATTCGGAATTAAGTCAGAAAATCTTGAAAAACAGAAGTCTTAAGAAGAAACAATGATTTATACTTAATTTCATTTTCACTTTTTCTGATGGCTAGAGTTCTTATTCCACTTGGGCTTAAAAATAATTTTTGATTACAAAGGTGACAAAACACCAGAGGCATAAGATAAAGGCAAGAAATTTTCTGAAAGAAACCTAGGGTTCATGCGATTCTCCTGCCTCAGCCTCTACAGTAGCTGGGATTACAGGTGCACGCCACCATACTCGGCTAAATTTTGTATTTTTAGTAGAGTTGGGGTTTCGCCACGTTGGCCAGGCTGGTCTCAAACTCCTGGCCTCGAGTGATCTGCCCACCTTGGCCTCCGAAAGTGCTGGGATTGCAGGCGTGAACGCACTGTGCCCAGCCACAGGATACCAACTTCTGCCCAGATAACAGAATGTTTTAAACAGGAGGGCTGATCAGCTTTCCATTATTTTTTGCAAAGCAGTATTAATACAATATCATGTCATTTTGTGAGTGACAGGTAAGAAGAAAAACTGCTGAGTATATGAACATTTGTTCTCTGTTACATTTTAAGCTAGAAATCAACAAAATCACCATATTAAATGAGAAGTGGTCTCATTGGCTCCCCAAAAATCTTTCAGTGACTGTGAATGGCCAGGTCCTGAAGCCGTATAAGAGTAAGAAAAGTTAAAGGCTCACCATCCTCTTCGTTCTGCCAGGCCTCTCCACAGAGAATCTGTCCTGACCATTCTCTCGATAAGCTTCTTCCACAGCATGCCATCAGAGGTCACTCGGTACCATTCCTTGCACACAAGTTCAGCAGCACATAGTGATTTGGCATCCAGGTATGACAGAATGTTCTCAGCAATATGATCCAATCCCCGAGCTTTCAGTAGGGGGAGGAGGCAAAGAAAAAGAACACAGAAGGTGGCGAATGATTTTTTACAAAAGGTCCTTTAAAACAGAACAGCATTTGTTCTGCTATGAAGGCACATCATTGTCCCTAGTGTGGTCCAGTTTCTTTTTCAAACAGAGGCTTGGGTAAAATGAGTGTCAATAATTTTTCCATAAGGTTACAGAAATGAACAGTATTTTCCATCTTCCTTTAGATAAGGAAGTTAAAGCTAACAACCAGCAAACCCCCCAAGACATTAAAAATAAAAAGGATTCCAGAAAACAATTCACATCTATCTATATGGATTTCAGCACTAGGGGATGTTCTATGGATGGCATCTCAAACTCTATGATTCAGACCCCCCCAAATCTCTATATTAGGTCCATTTCTCATTCTGTTTCTATTACTGCTGTAGTTCCAAAGCTGTTCGGTAAAAGAAATGTCCTTTAAATGTACTAGGGGAGAGGCACTAAGTCAGAATGTGCTGGGTTATAGAATTTTGGGCATGCAGAAAGGAGAGAAGAAGGAAATACAGAATGGCATGGAAATATCCCAAGAGAAAGACAGAGATGTATGTTTAAGTTCAAGAATGGGTTTAATTTCAGATTTAAAAAAACTATATTTGAGAGTAGCTGCTGCTATAAAACCTAAATGACAGTTGGGCAAAAATGAAAAAAAATTCCAGACCAAAAGATAACTTGGTTAGCATTTCAGAGAATATTTTGTAGGAGGTGCAGAGGAAAACAGTGGAGAACAGATCTTGGGGAGTGTAAACCAGAAGGGCTTCCCAATTAAAGTTCTCCACCACCCAAATCTGTACTGAGGTCTCAGAAGAAAAGATCCTATAAAATAGGATGATCTCACTAAAAAAACTTCTTTTGCCTGCTGTTCTACATTTACAACTGAGATAAAAACATTCAAAGTTATTTCTGTTTACAAAGTACATATCAGAGGTTTTCTACAGACTTAAATAGTTCAGAAGGATTCCTTCATACTCTCACTCCCGTAGGCACAAACTTAACAAGAAAGAGAACATGGCATTTCATTTTGGGCCTTTCCCCTGAATCATATCATTTTAATTATAAAGATTGTATGGATATCAGTCACACTTTTCAGCAGACTTGAGAAAGAAAGCATTAAATGGATTTTGTTTGGCTGGCATCACATGTTCGTATGTAAGCATAAGCAGATGGAGACATGCATTACCCAATTCTTATTAAAGGAACATGAACAAAAGCCAATTAAAGATATAATAATTAGTTCTTCATGTTAAATACAGTAATGGTACAATTTATATTAAAACTTTCTACACCATCAGAAATTTCCAAAATGCAGTCCTGTGTTTTTAATGGGTGCCATCAAATTGTTCCTGATCATTTCACCATGTACCTATAAATAAGTCTTTGGAAGTAATTTCACCTAACACTCCAAACAAACCCATTACATTAATGGACTACAGGCACTTTTTGAAGTAGTTTGGTTTACTAAACATAGCCAGATGGTATATAGGTTTATAAGTTTAAATGGCCATAAAGCATTAGATTGATGATTTAATACCTCATAGAGTGGTCAGTGGATACAAACCAGGGATCAATATTAGGTAAAGGATACACAGGTCTAATCAACTCCTGTTCAATTCTTAGTGGTATAAGCTTGAGATAGTAACATGTCTCAGTGACTGGGGAGAACAAAGTAATGAGGTACACACAGACTGTTTTGTACAAAGAAAACTATTTGCCTATGGCTAAAACAAAATCCAATGAGTAAAGAGGGGGCAAAAATCTATTCTGTTTAACAAAAGATATAGGTAAAATTCAGTTTTTATAGTGGTTATTCCTAAGATATAAATAGGTACTTCTTTTGTTTTAAACAGCAACTTAAATTCCTAGTTTAGAAAAACAAAAATTTTAAAAAGGTATAATTGGCAAATATAAAACAAAGTAGTATTAATAGTTGGGAGGCTATGAGCTGGTATATTTTTATTAGGGGATAGTTTGGCACCATGTATTAAAAGCCTTAAAATGTTCACATTCCTTAATATATAGTGATTCTATGTCTGTATTTTTTCCCCTAGGATTCCTACAAGATTAATGTATAAAAATTCATCATCATATGGTTTATAATATGAAAAAATTTTGAAACTACCTAAATGTTCAATAAAGGGGTTAAATAATATGTGCTTCAACCATTGTGAAGAATATTATGCAACAACTGAAAAGTATGTTTTGAGAACACAAATTTAGAAAAATACATTAAGAGAATGTATTAAGAAAAAATGGTCACAAAACATTTATGATCAAAGCTTTATAGGCAAATACACATACGTAGAGAAAACAGGCTACCTGCCAAAATATTAATAACTTAGCAAATCAGTAGTTCTTTCTGAATGGTGGGGTTCTAGGAAATGTTTTTAAATATTTTCTAAGTTTCCTATAACTTCTATAATTGGAAAACAACAACCAAAACCCCTCCCCTAACAAGGTAATGATATTTAATATAAGATTCATTCATGCTGGTATGATTTTTTTCTCTTAAAATAAACTTTGAATACACAAGACTCCTATTTTCCTGAAATAGCATTCCCCCCAAATACTGACACCTTGGCAGTGTTCTTGTCTGCCCTTAAGCATTCAGAAAAACCACAGCATCCTCCAAAAAAATGATTTTATGTATCATTTTATATTTATTTAACACCACAACAAGGCTTATGAGATATCCTTCTTTCTAAAAACTTCAACTAAAAACGTTTCTTAGTCATCTGTAGAATTTATTTATCTATTTATTTATTTATTTATTTTCTGAGATGGAGTCTCGCCCTGTCGCCCAGTCTGGAATGCAGGGGTGTGATCTCAGCTGACTGCAACCTCTGCCTCCTGGGTTCAAGCGATTCTCCTGCCCCAGTCTCCCAAGTAGCTGAGATAACAGGTGTGTGCTACTACACCCAGCTAATTTTTGTATTTTTAGTAGAGACAGGGTTTCACTATGTTGGTCATGCTGGTCTCGAACTCTTGACCTCGTGATCCATCCACTTCGGCCTCCCAAAGTGCTGGAATTACAGGCCTGAGCCACCGTGCCCAACCCATCTGTAGAATTTAAATATTCTGTTGATATATTCTCATAGAAATACAAATCCAAGTACATAAACATGAACTAAGACGTGTTATTATAAAAGACACATCTTACACCAGGTAACACCTCAGAAAAGATTTTATTTGGACCTATGTATGGGTAAAAATAGGTTGAATAGAAGGGCATGAGTAAGAAGATAGGTAAAAGGAGTCTTGGCTGGGTACGGTGGCTCACACCTGTAATCCCAACACTTTGGGAGGCCAAGGCGGGTGAATCATTTGAGGTCAAGAGTTTGAGACCAGCCTGGCCAATATGGTGAAACCCCGCCTCTACTAAAAATACAAAAATTAGCCAGGCATGGTGGTAGGTGCCTGTAGTCCCAGCTACTCGGGAGGCTGAGGCAGGAGAATTGCTTGAATCTGGGAGGCAGAGGTTGCAATGAGCCGAGATCGCGCCACTGCACTCCAGCCTGGGTGACAAGAGTGAGACTTTGTCTCAAAAAAAAAAAAAAAAAAAAAAAAAAAAGGAGTCTTTATTTCTAGAGTTTTTTTTTTTTTGTTTTTTTTTGTTTTTTTTTTTTTTAAAGCTTTATACCAGCTGGGCGTGGTGGCTCACGCCTGTAATCCCAGCACTTTGGGAGGCCGAGGCAGGTGGACCACGAGGTCAGGAGATCCAGACCATCCTGGCTAACATGGTGAAACCCCATCTCTACTAAAAATACAAAAAATTAGCCCAGTGTGGTGGCGGGCGCCTGTAGTCCCAGCTACTCAGAAGGCTGAGGCAGGAGAATGGCGTTAAGCCGGGAGGTGGAGCTTGCAGTGTTGCAGTGAGCTGAGATCACACCACTGCATTCCAGCCTGGGCGACAGGGCAAGACTCCATCTCAAAAAAAAAAAAAAAAAAAAAAAAAAAAAAAAAAAAGCTTTATATCAAAAAGGTACAGTTAAGGAACTTAATTTGTAAAAATCAAGCCAATAAAGACTTTTAAAGAGAGATATATAGCTGGAGATCTAGTTCTCTTATCATCATAGCAAATTAATGGTTTACAAACACTTGTAGACATACCTGGCAGAGCAGTTATGAAATCTCTCTGCAACATAGGTTTAAGATACGAGTTTATGTGCCCATGTTGGTAATGACACATTTGGGATATAAGATGTTCCACAAATTCCACTTGATCTGACTCTGACCACTGCTCAAAGTATTTGACACACAGTTCCTTTTCCTTTTCATAGCTTGCTGAGAGTTTCCGTTGCTTGGGCACAATCATACTGGAAGTGCCATTGGCAAGTTTTGTCTGTAGAAGGGGGTTAAAAGAAACATAAAATGATTAGTATTGAAAATGAGGGAAATATATATGATTTTCTGGTATGGCATGCTATATTATGTCTACATGATTGAGCCCACTCTGTTATTCTATTAGCAATTACGTGGAAAACCACAGAAATACCATAGAAAGTTGGTAAATCAGCTATAATACTAGAAGACTAAGCATCCATTTCCAAAAGTTTGCAGAAGACATTCTTAATATTTGAAGATACACAAATAAAAACCAAAAGCTGAAAGCATGTTATTACTAGCAAGCCAAAAATCTAATTTGCTTTTTCTTGTATACAACAGTTGTTGGACATTTATACAATTACTTGCTCACAACTTTTTTTTGAGACAAGGTCTCACTCTGTCACCCAGGCTGGAGTGCAGTGGTGAGATCATAGCTCACTGCAGCCTCCAGCTCCTGGGCTCAAGCGATCCTCCCACCTTAGCCTCCAGAGTAGCTGGGACTATATAGGTACACACTATCATGTCCTGCTAATTTTTAACATTTTTTTTTGTAGAGATGGAGTCTTCTTTTGTTGCCCAGGCTGGTCTCAAACTCCTGGCTTCAAGCAATTTTCCTGCCTTGGCTTTCCAAAGTGCTGGGATTAACAGGTGTGAGCTATTGTGCTCCGTCATCACAACTTTTTTTTTGTTTTTGGAGACAGTCTTGCTCTGTCGCCCAGGCTGGAGTGCACTGGCATGATCTTGGCTCACTGCAACTTCCACCTCCCAGGCGGAGAATCAAGCGATTCTCCTGCCTCAGCCTCCCAAGTATTGGGACTACAGGTGCCCACCACCACGCCTGGCTAAGTTTTATATTTTTAGTAGAGACAGGGTTTCATCATGTTGGACAGGCTGGTCTTGAACTCCTGACATCAAATGATCTGCCCACTTCAGCCTCCCAAAGTACTGGGATTACAGGCATGAGCCACCGTGCCCGGCCAACAACTTGGTTTTTAATTGTCAAATAAGAAGTTCCTCATGAAAAGAAACCAATGAATATTCTGAGACTCTGTGGTACCTTTTTGGACATAAAGCTAAAATAACACTCATATGCTCAATTTACCTTTTTCCATAACATAAAATATTCCGTATTTCCCATGAAGTCTTTTTTATTAATTGATTCATTCAATAAGTATTTACTGAACCTCTATAATGTGCCAAACACTGTCCTTGGTACTAGGAATATAACAGTGAACAAAAATGACAGTCTCTAACATCACTAACATATACTCTTAGTGTGAAAGGCACATTAAAAACAGAAGCAGCCAGGTGCAGTAGCTTATACCTGTAATCCCAGCATTTTGGGAGGCAAAGGTGAGGAGAACACACCTGTAATCCCAGCTACTCAGGAGGCTGAGGCAGGAGAATCGCTTGAACCCAGGAGGCAGAGGTTGCAGTGAGCTGAGATTGCACCACTTCCCTCCAGCCTGGGCAACAGGGCGAGACTCTGTCCCCCCAAACAAACAAACAAACAAACAAAATACAAGCAAATACTTAGAAAATATAATGTAGGTAGTGCTATGAAGAAAAAGCAGGATAAGGGGACAGGAAAAAAGTATGTTATTGTGGTAGGCAAAATTCTAAGATGGTCCCCAAGATTCTTTTTTGTTTGTTTGTTTTGAGACAGAGTTTCAGTCTTGTTGCCCACACTGGAGTGCAATAGCGTGATCTCGGCTCACTGCAACCTCTGCCTCCCGGGTTCAAGTGATTCTCCTGCTTCAGCCTCCTGAGTAGCTGGGATTACAGGTGCACAACCCCATGCCCAGCTAATTCTGTATTTTTAGTAAAGACGGGGTTTCTCCATGTTGGTCAGGCTGTTCTCGAACTCCCAACCTCAGGTGAGCTGCCCGCCTTGGCCTCCCAAAGTGCTGGGATCACAGGCGTGAGCCACTGCACCTGGCTGGTCCCCAAGACTCTTGGCCCCTGGTGTACACATACCTTCTCTGAGTTATTCAAACAGTAATGTAGGTATTGCTGTCATTAAAAGAGGGATCCAAATCAGCTGACCTTAAGATAAGGAGATTACTCAGGTGGATCTGACCTAATCGTATGAGGCTTTACAAGCACAGAGTTTGCTTCAACGGGTTACAGAAGAGGAAGGGGGACAGCTGGCAAGGAATGTGGTCAGTCTCTAGCTGCTGAAAGGAGCCCCCAGCTGACAGCCAGTAAGAAAATGGGGGCCTCAGTCCTACAACAGCAAGGAACTGAATTCTGCCTACTACAAGAATGAGCTGAGGGCCGGGTGTGGTGGCTCATGTCTGTAATCCCAGCACTTTGGGAGGATGAGGTGGGTGGATCACCTAAGGTCAGGAGTTTGACAACAGCCTGGCCAACATCGTGAAACCCTATCTCTACTAAAAATACAAAAAATTAGCCAGGTGTGGTGGCGGGTGCCTGTAATCCCAGCTACTTGGGAGGCTGAGGCAGGAGAATCACTTGAACCCAGGAGGTGGAGATTGCAGTGAGGAGAGATCACGCCATTGCACTCCAGCCTGGGCAACGAGAGCGAAACTCCATCTCAAAAAAAAAAAAAAAAAAAAAGCTGAGAAGAGGATTTTCCCTCTGAGCTTCCAGATGAGAACTCAGTCCAGCCCAACACCTTGATTGATTTAAGCCTTGAGATGCTCTCAGCAGAGAACCCAGCCACTATGTGCCACACTTCTGACCCTCAGAACTACACACAGAATTAATAAATACGTATTGTTTTAACTTGCTAAGTTTGTGGTGATTAGGCAGCAATTAACAAAAAACTAATAGGATTATTTAAGTGGTTAGAGATCATTTCCTGAAAAAGGTGACATTTTAACTCAGACATGAAGGAAATGAGGACTAGACAGCGAGGAAGAATGGTCTAGGCAATGGAAATTTTGAGACCCTAGGTCCTGGGTGGCAGTCGGCCTGGGATGTTCAAGGAACAAGAGGGCCTGGTGTGGCTGGAACAGAGTGAGCAAGGAAAAGTTAAGGCTGGAGAAGTAGCCAGGGTCAAATCATCCTGGTCATTCCGGTGGTGGTAACTAATCTCCACAGATTGGCCCCAGCAACTCCAGCCCTCCCTCTACATGAATGCTACTCCTCCCATCAAAAGGCGGAGATTATGTCCTATTCTGTGAATCTGGGCTTTGACTAAGAGAATGGGGAGAAAGTTGCATTCCATTCTGGGACTTCTAAGCCCAGGCAACTTCTGCTTACTCCTTAGAGCGCTGAGCTACCATGTAAGAAACTCAGGCTAATCTGAGAAAGAGACAGGTATGGAGGATGAGAAGCCATACAGAGGGGCCACATGGGCAAACACCCAGAAGCATAATAGCGACACAATCTGACACCGTTTAAAAGGACCACTGCTATGTGGTCCTTTAAAACTATATGGGACATAAATAGAAGGAGGCCAATTAAGACACTACTTCGGCCGGGCGCGGTGGCTCACGCCTGTAATCCCAGCACTTTGGGAGGCCGAGGCGGGCGGATCACGAGGTCAGGAGATCGAGACCATCCCGGCTAAAACGGTGAAACCCCGTCTCTACTAAAAATACAAAAAATTAGCCGGGCGTAGTGGCGGGCGCCTGTAGTCCCAGCTACTTGGGAGGCTGAGGCAGGAGAATGGCGTGAACCCGGGAGGCGGAGCTTGCAGTGAGCCGAGATCCCGCCACTGCACTCCAGCCTGGGCGACAGAGCGAGACTCCGTCTCAAAAAAAAAAAAAAAAAAAAAGACACTACTTCAACAGTCCATGGAAGACAGAACAATCTCTTGGACCACAGTGGTAGCTATGGAGGTGGTGAGAAATAATTGGGATTCAGTGTATATTCTGAAGACAGATCCTACTGAATTTGCTGATCGACTGGATATGAGTATGAGAAAAAAGGAGACAAAATCACACCCAAGTTTGAAGCTGGGGGACACTGGGAAAAGATTCAGAAATCAATAGAAACTTTTGCTACTCTGAAGAAAGTATTTCTTTAAAGGATAATCACAAATGGGTACAACTGGGTACTTTTCAAAGTAATTTGATGGATCTTTGGCATATTTACTTAAGGCAACCCAAATGTGGCAGAAAGACCCATGTTACCATAGAGTTCATCCCTGCTCAGACATACTCAATGTGGAACATGCTATAAAACTGTACCACATTTAGATAATTCATTTCAAGGCTCAGGCTTGCCTTATTTTCTTTTATTTATTTACTTTTATTTTTAGAAACAGGGTCTTGTTCTGTCACTCAGGCTAGAGTGCAGTGGTGTGATCATAGCTCACTGCAGCCCTGAACTCTTGAGGCTTGCTTATTTTCTAGATGTTAAATCCTATACACAGGGCTCTTTACAAAGTAAAGATACACAGCTGAAAGCATATTTTCAAGAATGGCATTAGGCCATTTTATATACACAGAAGGAGCTGACACCTGTAATCCTGGTGTGTTGAGGTGGATGTTTTCTAGCATAAATGCCACTGTTGCCTATGATACAGACTAAAAATGATTACTAAGAACCTTGTTGGACACAGGCCTTGGGGGAGTTTAGGGCTGCTTTTTGTGTAAGTTATTAGTTTGTATCTCAGAAATGAAAACTCATGAAATGTGAAGATTTAGAGAACTAACACACAGGCAGGCTTATAAGCTTGACTAAATGCCACTTCTAATCCCAATAATGAAAACCTCCCAAACTCTATCATTTTTTATATATTTGCCTTTTAAAATGCACCCTTTGTCTTTTAAAAGGTGGAAATGGACATGAGTTGGGTGCTACTGGAGTACTGTTTTCTGGATAAAGACCAGAATGCCAGTAACAGAGAAGAACAATCAGCAGCTTAATGAAATTATTCCACTTATACATTAAATAAACGAGATATTGCTATAATCATAAGGAGTCATGCTTTGATCAGTGGCTATCAGACTGTTAGGTAAAACTGCCTAAGGATTTAAAAAGTCTGGGTATCCTACTGCAGAAGCTAAAGATAAGACTTTGTGATACTTTCAATGATCAAGTCATAAGTGGGAATTACACATTTGGTTATTAGACATAAAGTATAAACTGAGATTTCACGTATTTATCAACTGTTCTGGGCTATTCTAGCTGGTATACATTTTAGTCACCACCCCTCAAAACGAGTATTTTTTTGATGAGGCAGAAAGACACATACCTGAGATCCATTAACAAATGGGTTACTCTCAACCACTACCCCATACTGTATTGTTTTAAAAGCTTTGGCCCTGGAGTAAAAAGACCTGGTTTCAAATTCTAGCTCTTCAATTTAGCAGCTGTGTGACATGGAATAAATAACTTGATCCTTCTGAGTCTAATTCTCTCATCTATAAAACTGGGAAAATAATATAATAGGTTCTATTTCATTGGGTTTTTGTAAGGAACAAATTAAAAAACCCTCATGAAAAGCATGCTTAGCACACCACCTAGCATACAGTCAAGTGTTCCGTCAATCAACACTCTTAATGAGCTTATAACACTGTTGGAGCTGAGCCTTCCCTCTCTTTTTGAAAGTACATTCTTCTTTTTCACTATATATTTTTTCTATTTTAATTTTCATTAAAGTATAACATAAATAGAAATGCTTAATCTTAAATGTACTCAACTAATTTTCACAAGGTGAACATACTCACATAACCAACACCCAGATCAAGAAACAGATCATCACGAGACTCACTAGCCCCCTTTGTGTCCCTTTTCAGGTCACTAGTCACCCTGAGAGTGACTCCTACACCTATTAAAAAAGAATACATTTTTTGAAAACCATCCACCTATACAATTTGTAGTACCATAAAAACATAAAATTCTCAGAAATAAATTTGATAAAGTTTAGCCTGGGAGCAGTGGCTCACGCCTATAATCCAAGCACTTTGGGAGGCAGAGATGGGCGGATCACGAGGTCAGGAGATCAAGACCATCCTGGCTAACAAGGTGAAACCTCGTCTCTACTAAAAGTACAAAAAATTAGCCGGGCGTGGTGGTACATGCCTGTAGCCCTAGCTACTCTGGAGGCTGAGGCAGGAGAATCACTTGAACCCGGGAGGTGGAGATTGCAGTGAGCTGAGATCACGCCACTGCACTCTAGCCTGGGATACAGAGCTAGACTCCATCTCAAAAAAAAAAAAAATGGATAAAATTTGTGTAATACTTATAAATTGAAAACTATAAAACATTGCTGAGGGAAATTTTAAAAAGACTTAAATAAATGGAGAGATACACTGTATTCAGAAATTGGATCTATTAAGATGTTTATTCTTTCCAAATCAACCTATAGAGTTAGTGCAATATCAAAGTCTCAGCAGGCAAATTAACTCGCTGATTCTAAAATTTGTAAAGAAAAGCAAAGGACCTAAACTTAACCAAAATATTCCTGAAAATAAAAAAAACGGTTAGGTGTGGTGGCTCACACCTGTAATCCCAGCACTTTGGGAGTCTGAGGTGAGTGGATCACTTGAAGTCAGGAGTTTGAGACCAGCCTGGCTGACAGGGTAAAACCCTGTCTCTACTAAAAATACAAAAATTTGCCGGGTGTGGTGGTGCATGCCTGTAATCCCAGCTACCCTGAAGGCTGAGGCAGGAGCATTGCTTGAACCCGGGAGGTGGAGGCTGCAGTGAGCCGAGATCGTGCCACTGCACTCCAGCCTGGATTACAGAGTAAAACTGTCTCAAACAAAACAAAACAAAACAAACAAAACCCTAAAAAACCACAAAACCCTTTGAAAAAAGATGGAAGACTCAGACTAGTAAATTTCAAGATATGTAATAGTAATCAAGATAGTGTGGCTTTGGTGTAAGGACACAAGTGTAGATCAATGGAAAGGAATAGTGAGTCCAGAAATACATACAGCCAACTGACTTTCAAGAAAGATGCCAAGATAATTCAATGGGGAGGCCAGGCACGGTGGCTCATGCCTGTAATCCCAGCACTTTGGGAGGCTGAGGCAGGCAGATCACCTGAGGTCAGGAAATCGAGACCAGCCTGGCCAACATGGTGAAACCCCATCTCTACTAAAAATACAAAAATTAGCTGGACATCATGGCACACGCCTATAATCCTAGCTACTAGGGCAGCTGAGACACAAGAATCACTTGAACCTGGGAGGTGGAGGTTATAGTGAGCCTAGATTGTGCTACTGCACTCTAGATTGGGTGACAGAGCTTTCTCAAAAAAAAAAAAAATTAAATAGGGAAAGGATTGTCTTTCAACAATTGGATATCCATAGAGGAAATGAAGTCTGTTCCTAACTTCACATCATATACAAAAATTAACTTAATTCTAGATTTATATATAGGAGCTAAAACTATAAAACTTCTAAAAGAAAACACAGGAGAAAACCTTGACGTTCTTGGAATAGGCAAACATTATAAAAGGAAAAAAAAGTCAGTAAATTGGCATGTTCAAAACATGATTTCCAAAAATGATTTGTCATTTTTATTAACATTTGCAATAAATGTATTTCACAAAGGACTTGTATCCAGCATCTATAAAGAACTCTTAGAACTCAATAATAATTTTTAAAAAATCCTGTTTTATTAAATAGGCAAAAGATTTGAACAGATACTTCACAAAAAAAGATCCACAGATGCCAATAAGCATATGAAAAGATGTTCAACATTATTAGTCATTAGGGAAATGCAAATTAAAATATCAAGACATTATGACACACTTATTAGAATGGCTAAAATTTAAAAGACTGACAATACTAAGTGTGGACAAGAATGAGGAACAACTGGGTCTCTCACACATTGTTGGCAGTCACGTTTAATGGTACAACTACTTTGGAAAACAAGTTGACAGTTTTTTGTAAAGTTAAACATATACTTACCAAACAACCCAGCAATTCCACTTTAGGTACTTACCTCCTTAAAACGAAACACAGTTCAACACAAAGACTGGTACTTTAATGTTTTTTGCTTCCATATTAATAAAAATCCAAAATGGTAATAATCCAAATGTCCATCAAAAGATTAACTGGTAAACAAACTGTGATGCTGCTGTAGAATGGAATAGTACTCAGCAACAAAAAGAATAAACCACAGACACACAAAATGGTAAAGATGAACCTCAAAAACATGCTGAATCAAAGAAGCCAGGTACAAATGAGTCCATTATGATTCTACTCGTATGAAACTCTAGGAACAGTAATTCTAATTGTTAGAAAAACAGATCAGTGGTTGCCTGAGGCTGGATGTAGAGATGGGACTGACTGGGGAAGGGTACAAGGGATGTTTTTGGGACAATGAAAATGTTCTCTAACTTGATTGTTACGCCAGTTGCCAACATTCATTGAACTATATACTTAAAATGGGTGTATTTTATTGTATGTAAATTATATTTTAATAAAGTTATTTTAAAAAAACTTCTAAGAGTACAGTATTCCTACTGATAAATCCACTGTAATATGAATTTTATTTGTAACTAAGGTATTATGTTTGTAGAGAAATCTAAAGGTCTTTGTTGTCATGCCCCTTTCTTCTACCATTCTCCAATACAGATTTTTCTACAATTATCTAAAGTAAATTCAGCAAAATTCCAATTTGAGAACTTCTGAAAATCTACAAGGACACAATGAAAAAGTTCAATTATTAAAAAATCAAAAGGTTGTATATTAGAGTGTATGAGAGATATAATGGTTACTGGTTGCAGTAGAATTGATTTGGCTTTCCCAACAAAAGCCTGATGACTCAACCACTACTGTTCAAGTGTCTTGGAAAGCTGACAAACAGCCTCAGCTTAATGGTAACACTAAATTTCTGCCACCCCTGCACATCTCCCTCTTCTTTTTTGTTTATAGTGAACAGTTGTCTCCACAAGAAAGAAAGAAGCTGTCAGGTGACAAGCACACAAAATGAAAGGAGTTAAGTATTTCTGGAACTGTCCTTCAGCTTAGTTCTCAAAGGCTAGGGACTAGTTTCCTCTCCGAAAACATATTTCACGTACCACTTTCAAAATTACCATGAATTTCTCTGAAGCTGCAGCCTGGGCCAGGAGGGAAAAATAGACACTTGCAGACACCAACTGGCTTGATCATCAACTATCATTGTAATACTAAGTATGCTGACTTTACTAACTGTATTATGTATAGGTTGGGAAATACATAGTGGACTGACTGAACTTTATGGTGAAATGACAAGTATTTCTAGTTTGCATCCAAATCTGCTTTAACCAAAAGGAAGGGTATAGTAAGTAGAGAAAGACATTCCAGACATAGGACACTCTTTAGTACTGGGGTTGCAAGGACTAGATGAACAAAGTATTTATGACAAGAAAGATGCAAATGATAAAAGATATCTAAGGATTCCATTTGGCTTTGAGAAAGGCTTTAAGGAAAGGCTCTGGCATTGAGAACTATGGGGGGAAAGGGGATATAATGATTAAATGCTGAATTAATTTAAGAATAAAATAGGCAAGGGTTTTGCAGGGGATAAGGCTGTAGCCTAGGAGGGGCAGGACAACAATTTTGACTAAACCTGGAACTTTAGTGGTATCAATCAACCAACAACAGTTTATTGAGTGACTACTCTATGCTGGGCACTTTACCAGGTAATAGGGAAACTGCTGTGAACAGGCATACAAAGTGTCTTTGCCTTCTCTGAAGAGGAGTGGAGAAAGAACATATATAAATATGTTAATTTCACAAACCAGTAAGGATTGTGAAGAAAACAAAGAAAGATAAAATAAGGAGTAAAGGCAGGCATGGTAGCAGCTCATGCCTGTAATCCCAGCACTTTGGGAGGCTGAGGCGGACAGATCACTTGAGGTTAGGAGTTCGAGACCAGCCTGGTCAACATAGTGAAACTTCGTCTCTATTAATACAGCCAGCACGGTGGCTCACGCCTGTAATCCCAGCACTTTGGAAGGCCAAGGTGGGTGGATCACTTGAGGTCAGGAGTTCAAGGCCAGCCTGGCCAGGCATACATAGCGAAATCCTGTCTCTATTAAAAATACAAAAATTAGCTGGGCTTGATGGTGTGTGAACCCTCGCTTGAACCCGGGAGGCAGAGGTTACAGTGACCTGAGATTGCCCACTGCACTCCAGTCTGGGCAACAGAGTGAGACTCTGTCGCAAAACAAAACAAAACAAAACAAAACAAAAAACCCAAAATACAAAAATTAGCTGGGCATGGTGGTGCGCACATGTGGTTCCAGCTACTTGGGAGTCTGAGGCACGAGAACTGCTTGAACGCCTGGGCAACAGAGTGAGATCATGTTTAAAAAGAAAAGAAAAAGAAAAGAAGTAAAGAGTGCAGCCTACTTTAACTGGAGTGGTCAAGAAATGCCTCTAAAGGAAGTGACACCTGAGCTGAGATTTGAATGACATGTCAGTCTTGTGAAGATCTTGGGGAAGATCCTTCTAGATAGAAGGAAGAGCTAGTGCAATGGTATGTTCAAGTGAAAGACAGAAGGCCAATGTGGCTGGGCAGAATGAATAAGAAAATGGTGGGAATTAAGGAAAAATGGTGGGAATTAAGGTGGCTGGGGCTAAGATCACATAAGGCCTTCTAGGCCATCCTACAGAGTTTAGATTTCATCTGAAGTGTAAAGGAGAGCCCCTGGAGGTTTTGAAATAGTCACATATGGCATTGTCTGATTTGTGCCTTACAAATATTTATACTAGCTGCCACACAGAGAATGGAGCAGGGGCTGGAAAGGTGGGGAGGGGATAATAAGAGCAAGTTGCAAAAGCAGAGGAAGAAAGATCAATTAGAAGGCTGATAAAATAATCCAGGCAAAATGTGACTATGGCTAGGATTAGATTAGGCAGATTAGGAAATGTTTAAAAGAAAGGTATTTTAACTCTCATGACAGAGGATGAAGGAGGAGAAACCAAAGGAGGAGAAATCCCCTGTTGAGAATTGTAAGTCTGGGTCATAATATACATTTATTTTAGTATAATACTTTACTACCTCATTAAGGCTGATCCTTTAGATATTTAGTCTGGTACATTAATCTGGATGGGGATACAACAGTGTTCTTGCTCCTGCGGCCAGGAGAAACAAGGCAAAACTTACAAGGATTTTGAGGGGGAAAGGAAGAGATTTTTTAAAAGTCTATATTATACTCTCTAGAGGCTGTTGTCAGGTTTTAATTAAATAAACATCTAACAACGACTTTTTTTTTTGTTTTTTTTTAAGATGGAGTCTCAATCTGTCGCTCAGGTTGGAGTGCAGTGGCGCGATCTCGGCTCACTGCAAGCTCCAACTCCTGGGTTCACGCCATTCTCCTGCCTCAGCCTCCGGAGTAGCTGGGACTACAGGCACCCACCACCACGCTCGGCTAAATTTTTTTGTATTTTTAGTAGAGACGGGGTTTCACCATGTTAGCCAGGATGGTCTCGATCTCCTGACCTCGTGATCCACCCACCTCTGCCTCCTAAAGTGCTGGGATTACAGGCGTGAGCCACTGCACCCGGCCAAAAATAATGACTTTAAAAGATCTTTTTCCGATTATTTTCCTTTGATTTCTTTGTAAAAGCATCTTTCTTTTTCTTTTCTTTTTTTCTTTTTTTGAGACAGAGTCTTGCCTGTCACCTAGGCTGGAGTGCAATGGTGCAATCTCGGCTCACTGCAACCTCCGCCTCCCAGGTAGCTGGGATTACAGACATGTAACACCACGCGCAGCTAATTTTTGTGTTTTTAGTAGAGACAGGGTTTTACCATGCTGGCCAGGTTGGTCTCAAACTCCTGATCTCGTGATCCACCTGTCTTGGCCTCCCAAAGTGCTTGGATTACAGGCATGAGCCATCGCACCCGGCCAAAAGCATCTTTAAAAAAAAAGCCAGTCAGGCATGGTGGCTCATGCCTGTAATCCCAGAATTTTGGGACGCCAGGGCAGAAGGACTGCTTGAACCCAGGAGTCTGAGACCAGCTTTGGCAGCATAGTGAGACTCCATCTCTACCAAAAAAAAAAAAAAAAAAAAAATTAGCTGTGTGTGGTGGTGCATGCCTGTAGTCTCAGTTACTTGGGAGGCTGAGGTGGGAGGATTACTTGAGCCTGGGAGGTTGAGCCTGCAGTGAGCCGTGGTCATGCCACTGCACTTCAGCCTAAACAACAGAGAGAGACCTTGTCTCAAAAAAAAAAAAAAAAAGGCTGGGCGCGGTGGCTCACGCCTGTAATCCCAGCACTTTGGGAGGCCGAGGCGGGCGGATCACGAGGTCAGGAGATCGAGACCATCCCGGCTAAAACGGTGAAACCCCGTCTCTACTAAAAATACAAAAAATTAGCCGGGCGTAGTGGCGGGCGCCTGTAGTCCCAGCTACTTGGGAGGCTGAGGCAGGAGAATGGCGTGAACCCGGGAGGCGGAGCTTGCAGTGAGCCGAGATCCCGCCACTGCACTCCAGCCTGGGCGACAGAGCGAGACTCTGTCTCAAAAAAAAAAAAAAAAAAAAAAAAAAAAATCCACATTGCCACTGTCATGCTTGAATTGAGAGGAAATAGGATTGTTTACACTTTGATTAGAATGGAAAGAGATAAGTAAGCACACCTAGTGATGAAGATGGTGATAGCAGGGAGACCTAGATTTCTAAAGAGCTAGAATGGAAAAGAAAAGGAACCCCGAAGGGCTAGCGCCCATTGGCACCTGAGCATCCTTTTACAAGGAGATTTCAAGATAAACTGAAAGAATTTAGCTACAAATTGAACATGCAGAAAAAAGGAAATTAATGTTCAAAAGTGGGATAATAACTTTTAACATTCTACTTTTAGTTTTTTTTTTTTTTTTTTTTTTTAAGATGGAGTCTTGCATTGTTGCCCAGACTGGAGTGCAGTGGCACAATCTTGGCTCACTGCAAGCTCCGCCTCCTGGGTTCACGCCATTCTCCTGCCTCAGCCTCCCCAGTAGCTGGGACTACAGGCGCCTGCCACCACACCTGGCTATTTTTTTGTATTTTTAGTAGAGACGGGGTATCACCGTGTTAGCCAGGGTGGTCTTGATCTCCTGACCTCGTGATCTGCCCGCCTCGGCCTCCCAAAGTGCTGGGATTACAGGCGTGAGCCACCACGCCCAGCCTACTTTTAGTTCTTAAACTTTATAACTCTCAGTGATCAAAGGAGTAGTCCATTCCTTTTTTTGGAGTAGGGTGGGAAGTGGGAGTGCAAATGAAAAGAAAATGGTACATATAGAATGGGGCACACATTTCAACAGAAGTAAACATCATATTTCTCAGTGGGATTATTATATTAATATTTTAACAGCCTCTACTAAATATGATTACATATTAGGTGAACTCATAAACATGTCAAATCTGATTAGTGAACATGGAAGACAGGAAGGGGCAGATTTGTCAGTAGAGGGAAAGTTCACATTATGAATCTGAATGATTTCTAATAACCAACAAGAAAAAGCTTGCAGTCATTCCAATTCCTTTAAATAAAGCCCAGTAGGAAATGAACTGACATTGCCCAGTATATATGATTATTTAATGACTGGACACTTGCCAATCTTTTTTTCCTATTTACTAACTATAGGAAAAGTCATATATAAAATTCATCAAATTCAGAACAAAGCAGTTTTTCATTATTTTCTGATTTCTGACATAGTTAAAGGGACAGGATAGTCATTTAACATTTTTAGGTTTCAAAACTGAAACTCAAGCTTCTTTATTGGCCCCCTCATGCAACTTTATAGCTTCCAGGGTGATAGGTTCTTTTGTTCTAAACCAAGAAATTCACAGCAGTTTAATTTACTGTTGCATTATTATAGCTACTAACTACACACACCTCCAAGGCTGGTAAACCCACTGATGTAGATAGTGCCACCTTAAAAGGATTTTTGGATGGGTCCTAGTGGTGAGGGAAAAAAAAAGGACATAATGTTTAATTATAAGAAATGATTGAAATAGGCACAGACATACCCGGGGTGCCTCTGCACTGCAGCAAGCTCTAAACTTGTTATCGTTAATGGTTTAAATTTCACTGTGCTAATCATTTCAGGACACAGCCTTTCTTGATAATCTAATGAATTATTCCAACATCCTTCAGCAAAAAAAAATCTTCCATGACAGCACTAATTACAAGACATTTTCCCAGTGCTTATGTAAAATATGACAGAGCAGCAGCTTAGGGAATTGCAGAAAACTGCTTCTAATTTCCACTGAGAAGCTGACAAACACCTCTCTTTCATCTCTCCCAGCTCTCAAGTAAGATTTAACTTTCTCATTTAGTTAATTACCGAGTGAGGATCATCATTTCCCCGGATCGGAGCGGCACAGAGCCTTTATCGTGTTAACTTGTGAACTTGATCGATGGCTGCTGCTAAAACTTAATAACTTCACCCCCTGGCAAATTGTAAGATAAATATAATAGGAGAAACTCTGACAGTAAAAACCTGCCAGAAATGAGCGCTGTGTTTATGTTTCTTTGCAGGCAGCAAAAAATCAACCGACAGCTTATTACTGGTTGCGTGTTACTTATATTTAAAAGACTCCAGGCAGTTAACTTTCTACGTACTGTTAAAACTTTGCTCACAAGATGGGAAAAAATGGGAAAAAAGCCCCAGTGATACAGACTTGGGGAAGTAAGAGAAGAAAAAACAGGGAGAAGGGCAATGCAAGGAAACAAGTACATTGTATAAAATCTTTTAAAATGTCGTGGTTATCTTATTAAATGTTCAGTCAGCATATATAGGCATAAAATCCTTCAAAAAATAATTCTGGATTCCTAAGACATGGTATGAACTATATCTAGGAGCAAAGCAAGAGAATTTTGCTCACTCAAATTTTTTCAGAGACCCTGAGTCCATGCCTGAAGAATTCAATTAACTGCAGAATTCCTAGATCTCTTTTCAAAAACCCCTGCAGCTAGAAAAGCATTCACTAACTACATAATTTAACCCTTTGTGAAACAATGAGTACACTATAGCTAGGAAATAAGTAAACTTCAGTTGTTTAGAGCACTTCATCTAGCCTTGCC